>NC_000022.11:15754318-16054318 GCF_000001405.40 Homo sapiens
TTACCACCAAAGTTTTCTTGTGTTTTTTCTACTCACTTTTTCCTGCCTATCCCCCCATCTCTTCCACAGGTAACCACTGATCCACTTCCAGTCACTATCCATGAGTTTTTATTTCCAAATACATGAAATCATATGGTATGTATACTTTCTGATCACTCAGCATCACTATTTTTGAGATTAATTCATGTTGCTACATCTATCAATTGTTCTGTTCTTACTAGGGAGTATTATTTCATTATATACGTATACCATAGTAAGTTTATAAGTCACAAATTCACCTGCCATGGACATTTGGAATGTTTTCAGGTTTTGGCTGTTGCAAGTAAAGCTGCTATGAAGATTCATGTAAAATCCTCTGAATGGGCATATGCTCTTAGTTTTCATCTCTAATAGAAGTGGAATAGACAGCTATCATGTCTGTAATATGCAAACACAAAGGCTGACAAAACTGATTTTTAAAGTGGAAACTCCACTGGATAACCTTGACTCCAGCCTGGCTTTTGAGAGTATCTCCTATGTTTGTGCAATGATTGGTCCTGGGGTAGCCACATGACCCAAGGAGGACCATGTTTAAACTTCTGAGTTTTCATCGAGATTAACATGCATTTGTTGAAAGAGAAAGCCCTTTTTTTCTAATCCCCCAGCTGCAAATGCTTTCAGGGATCACATCTTGTTGGAACATTTGGTTACAGTGTTTCCTAAACTTCGAGGGTAAAAATTGTTCAAGTAGGTAAAAATGGAGCAAATACAAAGAAAAAAGGAGTCCAGAAACATCAAATAAAAAAGAAAGGGCCTCCATAAAATCATTTGAACTTATGATTAATTCATTAGTCATTAAAACAAGTTTAATGTACAAAGAGTCATCCCCCCAACCACCCTTTATTCCTTCACCAAGTTTAAGTTACATTTTTTTAACTTGCAAACAAAAGATTTGTCATTAACTTAGACATCAGAACTCCTTGTCTCCAAGAGCAATCATTCAACTCTGTCCCTCTCATTGTTACAATAATATGTTCACTTCATTCTGCATACACCTGCTCTTTGCCCTTGTCTCCCTATTCTATTCTATTAAAGTTACATCCAGACATTTATTTCATTTTGTATCAAAGAAACTGTATACATGTTTTTAATCTTAGAAAAATTTCTGAGTAATTTTTTGTCTCATATTTGATTTTAAGCCACCCAAGAAGCATTATTTTTTCATTTAGTATTTTAACTTTTCTAACCCAGGACTTTTATAGTAGATATTATGTCTTTTTCTAAATGCTCTGCTTCAATTTACATTTTAAATCTAATTTTTAAAAAGTGTACGTTTTCAATATTTGCATCATGTATCTCAGGCCTAAATATCCCTTGATAACCAATCCTGCCTTTTTTTCTCTGCATTTTTCACATATTTCAATAGGGAGCTATATCGCCTGACACAATAAAAGTTTTTGCCAATATAACATAACACATAGGCAAAATTTTGTTTCCAAGTGATTGATGATGTGGTGCCTTCAGTCTAGTCCCAATCCCTCAATGTAATCGTCATCCCTATCTAATGAAATATGAAATAAATATTTCACTTTGTTTCTAAAATTCAGCAGACAAATATATAGCCTGTCACATAGAGCCTGTAACACCAACATATAAAAATGAAAGCAGTTCCTTCTCCACTCCCACTGCTTCACTTGACTAGCCTTGAAAAATAATAACAATAATAAAAAATGAAAGCAAAATTGTTCCTTTATTTATCTTTGCAATTTAAAGGATATACTGTCAGAAAAGCTCTTCTATATATATGGAGGGCCTCTATAAAATATAGACTCTTAACTAGAAAAGTAGACTTACATGATGGTTAAATTAAAAACACAATTATATATAGTACCTTCACAAATGCACCAGTACTTATTTCAGAATGCATGATGTAATTGACTAAACCATTTAGGGCTAGACCTCTGAAATAAAAGGCATTCACACTTTGTGATTCTAAGGGGAAAATATTATTCAAAATAGAAGCATGCAGAACCTTTACCTGATCATGATAAAAAAATTTTCCTACTTGTTGTGAATATGCCACAGCTTTTCAAGGTCAGCAAAAAGAGATTATCCCACAATATAAGCTGATGGCCAAAATTATCTGCCTTACTTTAGTTACCATAATATCTATTAAGTGTAAATTTCTTCTGAAAGAAAACAGATACATTTTTCTCAGAAATGTCTTTAGATGAAGATCTAGCACATCTGTTTTTCTAACTTTTGAAAATTTTGTTTTTATTGATAAATATATATGGGGTACAATGTGGTACAATACATGTAAATATTGTGAAGTGGACAAATTAGGCTAAATAACATATCCTTCACCTCAGATATTTATTACATTATGGTGAAATATTTAAAATGTACTATTTTAGCGCTTTTAAGATATGCACTATATTATGAGTAACTGCAGTCACTTTGCTGTGTACCATATCACCAGAATGTATTTCTCCTAACTGAAGCATTATCCCATTGAATATTTCCCCTTTTTCCACCCCCGCCACCCGACCTGCTCAGCCTCTGATAAACCACCACTCTACTCTTAACTTCTATGAGTGCACATTTTTGGATTTCACATGTAAGTGGTATCATGAGATATTTGTCTTTCTGTGTCTGGCTTATTTTACTTAGTATAATGTCCTCTAAATTCATCCACGTTTTTGCAAATGACAGAATTTCATTCATTTATAAAGATAAGTAGTATTTTTGTATGCATCCTACATATGCTTTTAATTTTCCACAGCTTTATTGAGATATAATTCATACATTATGTAATTCACTCATTTAAAGTACAAACTTCAAATTCTTTTAGTATATTAACTGGGTGGACAAATAATCTTCATAAGATAATTTTAGAACATTTTAATGCCCTTAAAAGAGACTTGCACCCATTAGCAATCTTTCCCTATTTTTTCCAGCCTTTTTAAAACCCCTCCTATTCTAGGTGACCACTCATCTAATTTCTGACTATGAATTTGCCTATTCTGGACATTTCACATAAACGGAATCATAATAACACATAGTCATTTCTTACTCACTTCTTTCGCTTAACATATTTTTAATGTTCATCCATTTTGGAGCATGCATTAACACTTTTTTCCCTTTTGTTAAGAAATAAGATTCTATTTTATAGACACACCACATTTTATTCATCCACTCCTCAGTTGATGAACATTTCTGTTCTTTTCTACTTTTTGTTGCTATAAACATTTTTGTACTACTTTTTGTGTAGCATTTGTTTTCTTTTCTTTTTGGTAAATACATAGGAGTGGAATTGCTGGGTCATATGATAACTCTATGTTTAACCATTTGAAGAACTGCCAGACTGTTTTACATTTTAAGGTCTCACCAGTGGTGTAGAAGGGTTCCAATTTTTCCACATATTTTTATCCATTCTTCAGTTGATAAGCACTTAGGTTGTTTGTAATTCACGGCTATTATGAATATTGCTGCAATGAACATGAAATTGCAGATGTCTCTTTTTGACATATTGATTGAAATTCCTTTGGACACATATCCAGAAGTGGGATTGATGGATCATAGGGTAAATAAATTTATAATTTCTTGAGAAAGCTTCGTACTGTTTTCCAAGATGGCTGTACTAATTTCCATTCCTACCAACAGTGTACAGGGTTTCTTTTTCTCCACATCCTCACCAACACTTATCTTCCATCTTTTTTTATAATAGCCCTAGTAAAATGTGTGAGGTGATATCTCATTGTGGCATTGATTTGCACTTCTCTGATAATTAGGAATGTTTATGATTTTTTCATGTACCTGGTTGGCCTTTTGTATGATGTAGGAAATGTCTATTCTGATTCTTTGCTTATTTTTTAATAAGCATAGTTTTTTTCTTATTTTTGAGTAGGTTGAGTTGCTTATATATTATTATATGAGCCCCTTACCTGATGTATGGTTTAAAAATATTATCCCATTTGTGGGTTCTCTTAATTCTATCATTGCTTCTTTTCCTGTGGAAAAGTTTTAAGTTTTATGCAGTCTCATTTGTGTGTTTTGCTTTTGTTGCCTTTTGGAATAATCTACAGAAAATCATAGCTCAGGCCAATGTCATACAGTCTCCTTCTATATTTCCTTGTAGTAGTTTTACATTTAAACTTTAATTTTGATTTGATGCTTGTATAAAGAGCAAAATAAAAGTCAAATTTTATTCTTCTGTATGTGGATAGTCAGTTTTGTCTACACCATTTATTGAAAATAATTTTCTTTCTTCACTGTGTATTTTTAGTTATTTTATCAAAAAATCAATTGACCACAGACACACGGATTTATTTACAGGTTCTATATCCCTTTGTACTGTTTTACATGTCTGTTTTTATGCCATTGCTATGCTGTTTTAATTCCTATAGCTTTGTAATAGAGTTTGGAGTCAGGTAGTCTGATGCCTCCAGCTTTGTTCTTTTTGTTCAAGATTGCTTTGGTTGGTCCAGGTCTTTTGTGGTTCCATACAAATTTTAGCAGTAATTTTTCTATTTCTGTGAAGAATGACATTGGAATTTGATAGTGGTTGCATTTAATCTGTAGATTGCTTTGGGTAGCATTGACACTTTTACAATACTAATTTTTGAATCCATCAATGAAGGATGTTTCTCCATTTATTTATGCCATTTTAATTTTTTTCATCAATGTGCTATAGTTTTCAGTATGTAAATCTTTTATGGTTTTGATTAAATTTACTCCTGTCTTTTATATATTTATATATCTGTTTTGATTCTATTATAAATTGAATTGCCTTTATTTTTCAGGTAATAGTTTGTCATTAGTTAATAGAAACAATAATGATATTTGTATGTTGATTTTGTAACTATTAACTTTATTGAATTTCTTCATCAGCTATAACCATTTATTTTGGTGGAATCTTTAAGATTTTCTCTATCTTAAGATTATATTTTCAAAAAACAGAAACAATCTTACCTCTTCCTTCCCTATGTGGATTTCTTTTACGTCTTTGTCTTGTGTAACTGTTCTGGCTAGGCAATTACACATAATGTTTTCATCATTTATAATTTTACATCACATCCATCTATTGTGGCACATTGATTGCTACTTTTCAAGTTGTAAACCTGGACATTTATCACTACTCTTCCTCCAATACAGGAGTCCATGGCGTGGTGTGGGCCCTACTGTGCCACAGTCCAGGGCACGGCTGGGCTGAGGTTCTCTTGTGCAAGAGTCCGTGGCTCTGCGGAGCAAGAGTTCTCCAGTGCCTTAGTCCAGGGTTAGGCAGGGGTGGGGCTCCTTCAGTAGCTTAGTCCAGTGCGCCGCCCTGCGAGGGTCCTCCTGAGCAGGAGTACACGATGAGGCAGGGTCCTACTGTGCCTTAGCCCAGGAAGCGGGGGGCTGGGTCCTCTGGTGCCATAGTCCAGGCTGCCGGGAGCTGGGTCCTCTGGTGCCATAGCTCAGGCCGGCGGGAGCTGGGTCCTCTGGTGCCGTAGTCCAGGGTGCAGCAGAACAGGAGTCCTGCGGAGCAGTAGTCCAGGGCACGCTGGGGCGTGGATCCTCAGGTGCCGCAGTCCAGAGCGTGACAGGGCAGGATTCCTGCCTTGCTATATCCAGGGTGCAGCGGGGCGGGGGTTCACTTCTGCAGGAGTCCAGGACGTGGCAGAACGGGAGTCCTCCGTGTAGGAGTCCTCCGGTGCTGGAGTCCAGAGCACAGTGAGGCTGGGTCCTCCCGTGCCATAGTGTAGGGCATGGCGGGACAGGGATCCTGCCCTGCGATAGTCCAGTGACTGAGTCCGCAGTAAGGCAGTGGTCCTCCAATGCTGGAGTTCACGGCGTGGTGGGGTCACGGTCCTTCAGTGTCTTAGTCCATGGGTACCAGGGCGGGGGTCCACAGTTGCCATAGTGAGGACCTGGGAGGAGTGTGGTTCCTGCCTCACTGTAGTCCGGGGAGCAGGGGGCAGGGGTCCTCTCTTGTCAGAGTCTCTGGCGCGGGGTGGGGGTGGGGTGGGGGTTTTCCTATGCGATAGCCCACGGGGCGGTGAGGCCAGGTCCTCGCTTGCCTTTGTCGTGGGCGCAGGGGGGCGAGGGTCTTCGGTGGTGGAGTCCTCGGAGCGGCAGGGCAGGGGTCCTCCAGTGCCATATTCCAGGGTGCGGCGGAGTGGGCGACCTGTCCTGCAGTGGTCCAGGGCATGCGGGAGTGGTGGTCCTCCTGTGCCATAGTCCAACGCGCGGCGGGGAGGGGGTCACCTCGGCCTGCAGTCCACCACGCACGAGACCCCGGTCCTGCTGTGCCCCAGTCCAGTGCGCGGAGGGACGGCAGTCCTTCTGTGCTGTAGTGCAGGACGCGGTGGGGCAGCCGTAACCCAGAGAGCGCCGTGGCAGGGGGTCCTCCAGTGCTGGAATCCAGTTCATGGCGGGTCAGGGGTCTTATTGTTCCGAAGTCGGTGGCAAGGATCCTCCCGGGCCATAGTCTAGGGGGCGACGGGGCAGGGTTCTCTAGTGCAGGTGTCCAGGGTGCGGTGGGGCAGGAGTCCTCTGGTGCAGAAGTCCAGGACGTAATGGAGTGGGAGTACTCCAACGCCAGAGTCCAGGGCTCTGCGGGGCAGGGTTCCCCCATGCCAGAGTGTAGGGCGCTTTCAGGCGAGGGTCTTGGCGTGCAGTAGTTCAGGGTGCGGTGGGGCAAGGATAGTCCAGATCTCCATGGCGGGGGTTCCTCTGTGCAGGAGCCCAGTGCCCGGCGGATCGGGGTCCCTCCGTGCTGTAGTCCAGGGCACGGCAAGATGTGGGTCCTCTGGTGCCCTATCCAGGGGGCGGTGGGTCAGAGGTTCTCCCCTGTCTTGGTCTAGGGCCCGGCGGGACTGAGGTCCTGGAGTCCACGCGGTAGCCCAAGTTGCCTCAGGACCAGGTCCTCTGGATCCACAGTCCAGAGCACAGAGGGGCAGGAATAGCTCAGGGCGAGCCAGGGCCGAGGTCCTCGGGAGCCACAGTCCAGGGTGTGGAGGGGTGGGGGTTCTGCAGTGGCACAGCCCAGGACACAGCGGGGCGGGGCGGGGCGGGGATCCTCCGGTACCTTAGTCCAGGGCGGAGCCGGGGGAGAGGTCCTTCAGTAGCATAGTCTAGCGCATGGCGTTGCAGGGGTCCTCCAGTGCCTGAGGCCAGGGCGGGTCGCGGGTCCCACTGTACTCTCGTTCAGGGCGGAGCAGGTCTGAGGTCTTCTGCTTCAGTCTAGGGCGCTGGAGAGTGGGGGTCCTCTGGTGCCAGAGTCCATGGAGCCATGGGTCGGCGTCCTGCCATGTCTTAGCCCAGAACGGGGAGAGGCGGAGATCCTCCTTTGCCCTAGTCCAAGGCATTGTGAGGCCCCGCTCCTGCACAGAGGCGGTCTGTTCCTCTACTGCCGCGGGGAAAAACTGCACCATCTCTGGCAAGCCTAACCCAGCAGCTGTCCTTAAAAGATTCCCAGTTGAGTGTGGTTCGGAGCAGCCCTGAGAAGTGTGCCCTTAGATGGCTTCAAGGGCTCTGGGCAGTGTTTAAGGAATCCAGCTGACCTCAGTTACTCCAAGCCCTTTTCCACTCAGCAGAACTTCTGGCCACCCGGGTCCTCTATCTGTGGAGCCCTTCTATCATCCCAGATCCCCACAGGGTGGACTCCCTCTCATCCTCACAATCTCAGCTCAGGCCTTATTCATCACCGCATTCCTGGCACCAGGCCTGGCCCATGAGAAATGGGTCAGATTAAGAGCTAAATGTGTTTTCATGGTCACTTGTTTTCTTCAGGCCTCCTTTCTTTGTGCCAATATCTTTGGGTTTCTGGTTAAAGTTTTCAGCAGCTGCATGCGGTTCCATTTTTCTTACCAGGTAAGAGACATAGCTTCATGAAAACAAAGGCAGAACGCTTGTGACCAGAGAACTCCCAGTCCTCTCCCTGCATAGGAAAACTGGACTTCTCCGGAAGGCTCCAGCTCCTGGGCAAATCTCTAGGGCCACTTAATTGGGCTATCCCCCACCTTTGTTTCTGGTTTTGAAGGGACCAAAGTTGGGAATCCTTTTTCAGTCTCTACACACGGAGCCCTTCTTTGGTGGGAAAGTCTTAACATATACCAGGATTCTCACTGACCTTTCAGAGCCTTCAACAATCCTGAGCTGCTTTGGCTTCTGTTCCTGGAAGAGAGGCCACTGAACTGCTCTGGAGCTGGATTTCAAGTTCAGATATTCATCACTGTTACTAAGCCTTTACATAGCATGTGATTTCTTTCTGGCAGGCTCATGGTCACCTAGGTTTGCTTATATGTAGATGGAGGGTCTGCATCCTCATTCAGGTAACACCCTCAGTCTTTCATGCTGAGATTGGCCATTTTATTTGTAACTCACTGTACAATCCATTTGCTCTTCGAGTGTCCCTTAGAAGGATGCAGAGTGTTCTGTAGAATGCCATAGAGACCTGGGTTTAGGGAAAATATTTGACCAAATGTCCACCAACTCACATGAGTATCTCCCCACAACTTGTACAGTGCTAGTCTCTGGGTATATAGTAAATGAAACCGTGCCTGAGCAGATGTTACAAACACCCTCCACTGTGAGACTGCAGGGCTGCTTTATTCAAGCAACAGTGTGCTCTAATAAGGTCAGAGTTGAGAGAAACAAGTTTTCATTCCAGCTTTCTCAAAAACTCCCTTTGTGACTTTAGACATCATAATAACACTGCCTAAGTAGTGAACACCTCTGTGCCAAGAAATATCATGGTCATTGCCTGAGTTGTAATTCTCACAGTAGTCCTACAGGATAGCTGCTATTACTGCTTATTACGCAGATGGACAACCTGAGGCTCAGATGGAGTTAAGTGGCTTAATTGGTAGCAATCGAGCCAGGATTTGAACCCAGGGCTGCCTGACCACCAAATAAAATTGTATTCAACATGATGCACTTAACTTTTCTGGCCTCATTTCTCTCACCTGTAAAAATGCAGGTTTCAGATGTTTGTAATATTTTACCTGTGGTTTAAAGAGTTACCAGCCCTTCCTCGATGACCCATGGTAAGACCCATGAGCCTTTGAATATAATTATAGAAAACATTTGAAGAGGGATAGAGAAAGACGAGATCATGGCTCCTTTGATAACGTCAAATTTTCAGTGCACTAAGCCATACATAGTGCAGTTTTCTAGCTTCCCTTTCACAAACGGTGTTGAAGAAAGTAAATTAAGCAACTCAGCTATCACTGGGAATGCAGTAGAAGTAATCAAGTCCAGTGCTGGGAGATAGTTGCCATGATATTCCAACATGGACACCAGGATCACAGTCGATGACTATGCCCTCCCTTGAAGATGGTGGCTTGCCTCTCTTTCTGTAAGCAAATGTCATGTCATAACAGTATTAAACAATTACAAGTAATGTCCCCATCTGCTTCTGCACTGCCTTTGAAATACTATTTCAGATCTGCCAAAATAAATGGCAAACTCATTAACAAGAAAGCAGGGTGGGGGGTGCATTCATCCCTGCCTTCCTGAGTAGTCTATTCACCCAAAGACAAAAGGATGACCAGCTTCCATCAGGGATATTCAAAGACACAGTCACCCTGCCATGCAGCCAGAGGCTGGCAAAGGTCCAATCCCCTTTTTAAGAAGCTTGTTGGATGAGCTCTTTAAACATACAACCACAAAGGAAAGGCACAGCCAGTGTGAGGGAGGCTGATAAGATGGGCATTTTGTTTGCTTCAAGGTTAGAATGCAACTTGTCTATCAAAATGTGGTTATCTGACCTCCACAATGCTGCAGTCCAGTTAAATACTGCAAATATTCATCCACCATTTACTATGGATAAAACAATAATGTGCTGTGGGGAATCCAATTACACAGACACACACACACCCAAGAAAGTGCACACACACGTGGGCACACACACTGCTCCTGCTGACTCAGAGCTTCCAGGCCGGCAAGGAGTAAGTGCAAACATTAGTAGGTAAGTCTGCTACCAGGAAGAATATGATAAGTAGATCCAACAGGGTACAACGCAGTATGATAGAAGCAAACAAGGTTGAGATGAGTTCTGACTCCCTTTCACTTATAAAACTGATTATGGAATAGTTTATGAAAGACTCGCCTGGATGAATCTCATATTTTCCAAGTGTTTTCTATCCCAGTGATTGGAACTTTTATTCATCTATACCATTGTCCAAAAAGAAAGAACAGGAGATTTTCCTAAGACCATCCTCTGTCTTATCCCTCATATCCCAAACATCACCAAGCCCTGTCCACTTTTACCTACTCAGTTTCTCTCCACTTGCTCTATTTTCTCCATAAGCACTAGCAATACCTTGGTTACATGACATTCTGAGAAACTTCTTTGTGATGTGTGCTTTCATCTCACAGAGTTGAATATTTCTTTTGATTGAGCAGTTTGTAAACAGTCGTTTAGTAGAATCTGCAAAGGGATATTTGTGAGACCATTGTGGCCAATGGGGCAATAGGAAATATCTTCACATAAAAACTAGACAGAAACTTTCTGGGAAACTTCTTTGTGATATGTGCTTTCATCTCACAGAGTTGAACCTTTCTTTTGATTGAGCAGTTTGGAAACAGTCTTTTTGTAGTATCTGCAAATGGATATTTGGAGCACTTTGAGGCCTATGGTGAAAAAGGAAATATCTTTACTTAAAAACTAGACAGAAGCATTCTGAGAAACTTCGTTGTGATGTGTGCATTCATCTCACAGAGTTGAAGCTTTCTTTTGATTGAGCAGTTTTGAAACACTCTTTTTGTAGAATCTGCAAGTGGATAATTGGAGTGCTTTGAGGCCTATGGTGGAAAAGGAAATATCTTCACGTAAAAACTAGACAGAAGCATTCTGAGAAACTTCGTTGTGATGTGTGCATTCATCTCACAGAGTTGAACCTTTCTTTTGATTGAGAAGTTTTGAAACACTCTTTTTGCAGAAACCGCGAGTGGATATTTGGAGCGCTTTGAGGCCTGTGGTGGAAAAGGGAATATCTTCACATAAAAACTAGACAGAAGCATTCTGAGAAACTTCTTTGTGATGTGTGCATTCATCTCACAGAGTTGAACCTTTCTTTTGATTGAGAAGTTTTGAAACACTCTTTTTGCAGAAACCGCGAGTGGATATTTGGAGCGCTTTGAGGCCTGTGGTGGAAAAGGGAATATCTTCACATAAAAACTAGACAGAAGCATTCTGAGAAACTTCTTTGTGATGTGTGCATTCATCTCACAGAATTGAACATTTCTTTTGATTGAGCAGTTTGGAACCCGTCTTTTTGTAGAATCTGCAAGTGGATATTTGGAACCCTTTGAGGCCTATGCTGAAAAAAGAAATATCTTCACTACATGATGACCACCAGCAGCAGCTGGGGAAACCAGCACCCTGTGGAATTCCATACGGTGCATAGAATACATCCTCCCTTCAGTTGGCTTGGGTCAACTTAGGTCATGGGCCACCTGGCTGATAGCAGTTTCCACAGAAATGCTTCAAGATGGTATAATAATCCAAATCTCTTTGCATGGGGCATGGTGTGGCTATCTGAGAAAAACCTGGCTTTTATAGGAAGGAGAAAGAAGAATGCTTCTTGAGGGGAAGAAACCAACAGGAATGTGCCTCAGGGAAATGTCACCAGAGGAGAGTGAGCTGTAATGACTATTTTGGCAGATTATTTCTTGTGGTTCTTGGGTTCCTTGGCCCTGCACAGAGCTACCATTTACTCATTTGACAAATATTTGAGTGGTAGACTCCAGGGTTCAATAGTGATCAAAAATGCACAGAATTTCTTCCCTAGTGGAGCTTAGAATCTAACAGAAAGAGCTGACATTAGTCACAAAATTATGTAATAAGGGAAAGTGCAGCAGACCCAGGTGTGCTGCAAGAGCCTGTGAAGGCGGACTGACCCCAAGACAGAGGCAGGAAAGGATGCCTCCAGGAAGCAGCAATTGAGCCAAAATCAGGGAGAAAACTAGGCAAAGACACAGTATTCAGGAGGAGGTAGAAGCTGGCCCATGAGGACGGTGGTGTGGAGAGGTGAACCAATACCCAAGTCCTTGGATTTATTGTTGAGCTGCTGAATGAACCAGGGCTGGCTCTTGCCCAACCTCTGCACTTCTTGTTTTGCAAGGTTATAATTTTTTTTATTTAAAAGCTAGTATGAGTTGGGATCTGTTGCTTTTCTGAGACCCCGTCCTGTGAGGTAGACAGGGGGCCTCACTGTACTCTGGGGAACTAAAGATGGAGAAGGGTTTTAGAGTGCCTGGAGAAGAGGCCCTTTAACGGATCATTTAAGAAGAGGGTGCTACTGCTAGACTGCCCAGATTCCCTTTCTGTCTTTGTGACCTTGGACTCTCTGTGTCTGTTTTCCAATCTGAAAAACGGAATAATGATAGTATCTGCCTCTGCCTGCAAGACCCTGACCTATCAGACCAACTACCTTTTCACTAGAACTCTCTTCTTGCACTGTGCCCCAACTGGACCACTCATTAAAACTTAAAATGGGCATATTTTCCTTTTCTAGATTTTGCTCAAGACATTTCCCTCATCAAAATTAAATTTGGTCCATCTCCCCCTATTGGAATTAAACCCATTCTCCAGAAATCAGTTCAAATTTTATCAGCAGAAAGCCTCTCTCAATTACCCCCACCTTCTTTTATTCTTTGGGCCATTTCTGCTATCATTTCTGTTTTTCTTTTTTTGCTACATATTGGTGTAGGTACATACGATCTCCACTTCCACTCAAATGTGAGGTTACTGCGGGCAGTCCCTATGGATATAGTCATATCCCAAGAGTCCTGGGCAGAGGGTTTCCCTCTTTCACCCAGGCTGGAGTGCAGTGGTGCAACCAGAGCTTACTGCAGCCTCAACCTCCTGGGGTCAAATGATCGTCTCAGCCTTTCCAGTAGCTGGTACTAAAAGCGGGCACCACCATGCTTGGCTAATTTTCATATTTTTCATAGAGACGGGGTTCCACCATGTGCCCTTGCTTGGTCTGAAAGTTCTGAGCTCAAGCAACCCACCTGCCTTAGCCTCTCAACGTCCTGGAATGACAGCATGAGTTGCCACACCTGGCTGCATGCCGAATACTTTAGAGTTGTTTATGCCTGACACTTCCAGGGCATGCAGAACTATGGTGGCATTAACCGACACATTAACCAACTGCCTCACTTACTTTTCTTTTGACTCAGTTTATACATTTTCTTAATTTAAATTTTAATTTCAACATGTATACATCTTTGAAATAAATAAAATAAGCTCTTTGAATGTTTGACATAACGTAGAAGAAATTGACAAATGGACATCTTTACTTCATTTTCTGTCTCAAAATGTGGTACAAATAGCCTCCCCTAAAGTGATCCCAATTATTACATAGCCATCTTGCTGTGGCTAATGTAGAATGTTTTTGCAGTATCACATGCACGAAGGGCATATCCAAAAAACATTTGAGTGAAGATAATACTAGATTCTAGAAAGTATCTAGACACTTAAGAGCAGGTGGTGATGATGTTAATTAATAATAACAATGTTGAGGGGCTGGCTTCTGCCCTTCCCTAATAAGCATAAAGAGCATATAAACTCAGCAAATTTGCTCTTATTTTCTTCATTATTTGGTTTTTGAATCAGTAAATGCTTTCCACAGGGGTCATCTTGTTAGTCATCTTGTCATTTTGCTGTGTCCCATCTTCGTCCTTGCAATTTTTCCTTTTTCCCATTTTGGCATGTATTGAGAGGAGTGTTATGCTGATGAAATGCCCTGTCCTCAATTGCTATCTGATTAGAACTTCCCTCAATTTTTAAAATGCTTCTTGACATGGTTTGGATTTGTGCACCCCCCACCCCCAATCTCATATGGAATTGTAATTGTCAGTGTTGGAGGAGGGGCTTGCTGGAAGGTGACTGGATCATAGAGGTGGTTTCTAATGGTTTAGCCTCATCCACCTCGTGCTGTCTGATGATAAAGTTCTCCTGAGATCTGCTTGTTTAAAAAGTGTGTAGCACCTCCCCTGACTCTTTTCAGCCATGTGAATATGTGCTTGCCTCCTTTTCACCTTCTGCCATGATTGTAAGTTTCCTGAGGCCTCCCTATAAGCATAAGTCTGTACAGCCCACAGAACTGTGAGCCAATTCAATCCCTTTTCTTTTTCAATTACCCACTCTCATGTATATCTTTATAGCAGTGTGAGAACAGATTAATACACTCCTCCTCAGAAAGCATTCAATTTAGCTGTGTCTAAAGTATGCCAGGTGTTCTAGGGTGTTATCTTAGCCAATAATTCTTCCTCTTCAGCAAGATCTATTTGCCTATGACAGCTTGACCTACATTTCCTACCATACTTGTCAGTAACAAGTAGCCCATAACATCTGAATGGACTTCATTGAAATCACAGAGGTTCTTTAGTTCTCTACTTTATTAGCAGGCATTCGGGAAACACATCAACTTTCTAATTTAATAAGGTGCCTGTTGCTTTGAAAAACTGCTCAAAAGAAGATAGGAGAGGCTTACTTAAAGATATCACTATAGGCATGGCATGCTGGTTCACACCTGTAATCCTAGCACTTTGGGAGGCTGAGGAGAGAGGATCACTTGAGTCCAGAAGGTCAATACCAGCCTAGGTGACATGGCAAAGCCCCATCTCTACAAAAGAAAACAAAATCCAAAAAATATTTAGGCATGGTGGCATGTGTTGCATTCCCAGTTACTCAGGAGACTGAGGTGGGAGAATCACTGAGCCCAGGGAGGTTGAGGCTGCAGTGAGCCATGATCATGCTGCTGCATTCCAATCTGGGGACAGAGCAAGAGCCTGTCTCAAAAAAAAATGTTATCACTGTACTATCTATAACTATTCTTAATTAGAATAACTAGGTTTTTTTCAACAGTGGAAACTCAAAACAGACAAAATTGTTGTACCTCAGGGTGTGTTGTCGTAGTCATATAATTCCTTTGCTTGTAACTGCCCAATAAATGGATGAGGACTCACTTCACCCATAAATAAGAAAGGTGAACAGCACATGGGGCCTGTAGATGCCTTTTGCAGGGCCCTCTTTTTCTCTTCCTAAAGTTGCAATTTGAGTATTTCTCTAGATGGGCACATCATAGAAACTGTCGTCCTAGATCAGAGCCTGGGGAGAGAGATACAGGTGTCATGCTTACATCTGCAGAGTGGGAACAAGCCCAGAAAAATCAAGATGATTAAGCAGAGAGCTTCCATACTGGAGATAAACCAGCTGTGTAAAAAATCATTGCACCAAAAAAGCGTTGCACCATCGAAATAACTGCTTTAACTAAGAAGTAAAGGAACTGATGCCCCAGCAGAGCACAGAGAGCCACAGAGACAGGAGCTGCATTTCAAACAAGGTCATTGCTGTTGTCCCCACCCTGAGTTAAGTATCTCTGCTTCACCCTTCAAGTTCTGCTTGATCATCCTTTTGTTTTGTTTTCTTTTTTCTGCACTTCACTTCTTTGAGAAAATATAAACCAAAACCTTACATAAAACAGGAATTGAGCTTTTGACAATGTTAGCTCTTGAAACAACCGAACAAAAAGGTTTCTATTATTTCTCATCTCTGTGCTACCCAGTACAGTAGCCAATAGCCACAGATGACTATTAAAATTAAAATTAATTCAAATAAAACAAAATTTACAATTTAGTTGGTCAGTTGTACTAGCCACATTTCAGTTACTCAATAGCCACATGTGGCTAGTGGCTACTGAACTGGCCAGCACAAATGTAGAACATTTTCATCATCATAGTTCTCTAGGCCATGGAAAAATTACTGAACTCAATTTCCAGTGTGCACATTTATTTGTGTACCTAGGAGCTTTTTGACCCTGTGTTGAGATGCCTAAACAGCTTCCTGATTGACCTCCTGATATTTCTGCAAATGTGGACTAAGAGGCCAGGATTCCTCAAGGCCCAGGTGACTCAGGTTATTCCAAAATTATATTTGGACTACCAGTCCTCTGCTTGATTTGGGATGCAAAAGGGGACTTCTCTCCCTAATCACTAAAGTAGCTTTTCAATGTCCCCCTCTCATCACGGTAAGAGTCTCATTTCTTGAGACTCATTTCTTTCCATGACTTATGTTATGTTTTGGAGAGAGTGGATTCAGACAGAAGAGCTGGCTCTGTGCTGGTTTTCCAGGGGTCAGCCCTTTTGTCAGCGACGAGTCTGCCTCTCTACATGATGTACATTGTGTCCCACTACTGGTAATAGAATCTCAGCAATTGATTGACTGTTAGGTTATTTTCAAAGCTCAATATTCACAATAATCTAAAAGACATCCACATAACCACGAGGACAGACAGGGCTCTCATAACCTGCAAAGGACAAGGTGCAAATTTCTTCTTTCCATCCCAGCAACAAATCGACAACTCAGCCAGCACTAAAAGTTGGGGTAAAAATTAATTAAAAGAAAAATGTATCAAGGATAGATAAAAGAACAAAAAAGCTATTGCAGCTGTCTTCTCCATGACAGAGGGCTGTGATCTGAATTTTAATGTTTTCATCTACTTTCTACTTTTGTGTTTCTTTTATTAATTTTTTCACTGTCTCTTATTTGTAGATACAAATTTTTAATATTTGAAAGCTATTTTAAATATAATCTTTAAAAGGAGAAACATTCTTTTTTTTTTGCACAAAATACTGAAGGTGAGATCCACTGATTGCAATGCAATGGGACAATATATCTGGAAGCAATTTTATCCAGAAAAATCAATAGCTTTAAAACAATTCACAACCTTGGACCTAATACCTCTACTTCTAGGAAGCTAGCCTATGAAGGTTTCTGCTGAAGGATGTTTATCACAGTATTATTTATAATGTGAAAAAGCCAAAGAGGAGACCTAAAATGTTTCAAAGATGAAAATGGTTTGATAAAATTATTTTTTTTTTGAGACAAGGTCTCACTCTTGCCCAGGCTGGGGTGCAGTGGTGCAATCTCGGCTTACCACAACCTCCACCTTCCAGATTCAAGCATTTCTCCTGCCTCAGCCTCCCAAGTAGCTGGGAATACAGGCACACCCCACCATGCCTGGCTATTTTTTTGTATTTTAGTAGAGATGGGGTTTCACCGTGTTGGCTAGGCTGGTGTCAAACTCCTGAGCTCAGGCAATCCACCTTCCTCAGATTCCCAAAATGCTGGGATTACAGGTGTGAGCCACCGTGCCTGGCGATAAACAACATATTTAAACTCTAAAATGTTATGCAAGCATTCCAGGCATGCTTTGGAAAAACTATTAATCCCACAAAAGATGCTTATGTAATTATATAGACTAACAGACCAAGATTCTCCAGGACACTTACTTTGTTAAGTGTCTGAAGTAAAATGTAATGCTGTATATAAAATGTGACCTGAAGTCAGGTCCCAGTCTTTTCATCTGGAAAATTCTGTTAATTATACTGCCCTTCCCCTTTATAGGTTTTCTGTAGGAGTTAAAATACACTTTTTCAATTGCTTAACATAATGCTCAACACTGGTAGGGGAGCTATAAATGTCAGCTATTGTCCTATGTGCCAAAAAAAAAAACACACAGACGGACACACACACACACAAAGACACACATGGAGGGAGAGTAAGTAAAGATTAGAAAGCAGCACATAGTGTATCGGTAGGCAATGGGACCACTAGTGATTTTCATATTCTTTTTTATTTTCTTCTTTATACTGCTTACATTTTCAGTGTTATACAATGAGCATGTATTACTTCTGTAATCAGAAGAAAGTGGTATAAACCTGACCTTAATATAATAAAACAAAATTACTGGCCAGGCACAGTGTCTCATGCCTGTAATCCTAGCACTTTGGAAGGCTGAGACTGGTAAATCTCTTGAGCTCAAGAATTTGAGACCAGCCTGAGCTCAGTGAGACAGTGAGACCTTGTCTCTGGAAAAAATACAAAAATTAGCCAATGATAGTGGTGTACACCTGTAGTCCTAAGTTACCTGGGAAGCTGAGGTGGGAGGGTGGCTTGAGCCCAGGAAGTGGCTGCAGTGAGCTGTGACTGCACCACTGCACTTCAGCCTGGGTGAAAAAGCCAGACCCAGTCTCATACAAAAATAAAAACAAACAAACAAACAAAAAAGTTATTACTTAAATCTCACATGCTACCTTGGAGCCGTCTCAGTGTTGAGGGAGTCAAGAGACTGGAGAGACCAATGGGTGAGACAGGAGGATTTTATTAAAATGACCACTTGCCCAGTGGATTTGCATCCAAAAGGCTGAGCCCGGAAAAAAGATGGGGCCTGTTTTTTAAGCATGCAGCTTTGAAAAACTTACAGGGCAGGCTTAGCAAGCTTACAGAAGCAGAACAAAGGCAGTTAATCAAACAGTGACAAGTGTATGACTCAAACATGTCTGGTGACCTCTGCTGGGCCACCCAGCAGGCTCTCAGCAGATGGCAACTGTTTTAGGCTTGCACAGGCATGTCTTGTGACCTTCTCAGGGTCACACCGATGGAAAACAGGAACTTAAAAAATCCTTATAAACTTACAGAAATAGTTACAAAAATAGTTATGAGAGCAGAGCAAAGAAATATTGGCCTGGGAAAGAATCTCAAAGGGGGAAGCTGATAAGAACTTGTTTTTCTCATCCCTGTTCCTGGAGTCCATTCCTTCTGGGCTCTTCCTGGCCTTGTATATAAAGTTATCTTAGTCCTAGCAGGGCCTTGGACTGAGTCAGCCTGGAACAGGCCAGAACTTAGGTTTTTCTCTTTTTAATTTCTGCTTTAGTAGGCCAAGGTTCTGATTGTCACTGCTGAGAAAGTAAGGTGTGTTCAGGCTGCCCATGGTTCTGGGCTCCCCCACGTCTCTGAGGAGGGCTGTCCCCTCCATCACAGAGAATATCAGGACACTAGCCTGTTCCTAGTTATACTTACACACTCCTCTCATGTTGTCTGTGGAGTGGATGCTGCAGGGAGGGTGACATCCCAGTTAGTCCTAAGAGCCAGACTGCCTGAAGCTCACTGTAACAAGTCCTGCCTTGAGGAAGAAGGAAGTTTGCCTCTGTGAACCTCCCACCTGGGCCGAAGGGAAGCCACTCTCTCTGCTGCCTCTCCCCAATCTTTTCCTTCTGTGCTCCTAGTGAACCTCTCACCCCCTGCCTACAGGCCTGGAATCTCAAGACCATGATGACCTCTCATCACTCCTGAATCCAGAGCTTTCCCTTTACAAAGGGGAAACTGAGACCTGGAGCAGGGCTGATGTTCAGCCAGCGCACAAGGGAATGGCTGAATTGGTGGTAAAATATTGAAATAGTTCCAGTGTGGATGGAAAGGGGCCACTGCCCTGAGCATCTCTACTGCCCACCTCATCCCTTCCTCCAGGACCCTGGGTCAGCACCAGGAGTGTCAAAGTGGCCAGGATTGGCCGGAGCCCATGCTAATGGCTCTGCCAGCCCTTCTCCCCACCAGAGAGGGCAGGGGGATTCAGGCCCTCTAGAGGTAGCATTGTGACCGTGTCTGCAGTAGTCAATCCTTGTGTGCCACAGTCCCTGACTTTGTTGATAAGGGCATCAGCCTACATCCCTCTGGTACTCAGTGATAAGCATCTAAAATCTTCTTAAAGAAAAAATTTAAAAAGCTTTCAAAATATACGACTTAACATATGAGGCTGCATAAATATCTTTTTAGCAGTTGTCCAACTGGTGCTTCTGGTTCTGCCTCCCCAGAAAGTGGATGACCGGGCCACCCTCCACCACTGCCCTGTAAGACCATGGGACACACAGGCCACCAGTTCTTTTCATGTGGTCATCCCCTGTTAGATGGGAGAAAATACACCTGCCTCATTTTTGTACCTTCTGTGTGAACATTCCACGGCAGAGCTTCACTAAATGTGTGATGAAGAATTGAATGAATGAATGAATATGAGAGAAAATGAATAAATGGTTCAGATCCTGGGCTGGAAGGCTGTGTATGAGGATGGTGGGTAGAGGAGGGTCTGTTTTTCTTGCCTTTAAGTCACTAATTGTCACTTTGGGGCAGGAGCACAGGCTTTGAATGCAGACTGACTGGACTTTAATTCTGGCTTTACTAGTTGTGATTGTGTGACCTTGTGCAAGTTACTTAAACCCTCTGTGCCTGTTTCTTTATCTGTAAAATGGATATAATAAGATGTCAAAGGACTGTGGTAAGAATTAAATGCTTTAAAAAAATCGCAGTTTGTATTAAGTCCTCAATAGATTGGGTTTAGCATCATGAGTGCATGTGTTTCTGGAGCAATGCTCATCTTGGGCTGGATGGTGCCTACACAGAGAAAGACTCTGGCCTCTTCTCATCCACATGTATCTGTCTTATGCCTGGTTCCCATTCCCAGATCCTTGGAAGATCCATATTGCTGAAACGGTGAAGGGTGATGGGCACCTCAGGACAACTAAGCTGCTCCCCAAACATCTTCCCCCTCCCAAACTCTCCTGTGGTCTTTAGCATTTAACAGGAATCTCTGGACACTCCAAGGGTTGATCCTCTCATGGAAGACCAGTGGGGAGGAGGCTGCGGGAAAGGTCAGGCACTGTGCACTTCCCTGACAGCTGCAAATGGTTGTTTCCAAGCCCACTGGTCACTACAAATAAGGCAAGTTATATGACATCATAATGTGATTCTTTGGTGCCTCAGTCCACACTGGCACTTTAATACTCCTAGAGTGGATTGCATGGTGGTCTATCAAAAGATATGTCTACCTGGAACATGTGAATGTGCCTTTATTTGGAAAACAATCTGCAGATGTAATTAAATCCAGCACCTTGAGATGATTAGGATGGGCCCTAAATCCAATGACAAGTATCCTTATAAGAAAAGCGGCAGGTAGGGCACAGTGGCTCACACATATAATCCCACCACTGAGAGAGGTCAAGGTGAGAGGATCATTTGAACTGCAGGCTTTCAAGATCTGCCTGGGCAACATGGTGAGACCCTGTCTCTCCAAAATGTATGTAAAATATAATACAGGCATGATGGCACCCGCCTGTAGTCCCAGCTACCAGCTACTCGGGAGGCTGAGATGAGAGGGTAGCTTGAATCTGGGAGGATGAGGCTTCAGTAAGCTGTGTTCATGACGCTGCTCTCCAGCCTGGGGGGGCCTCTCCAGCCTGGGGGGCCCCTGGCCCCTCCACAACCTGCGCTAGAAGAGCTGGGCCCTGGCTCTGGCACCATGCAGCCTCTGAGGTGAGGCTGAGAGCCAGTTTCTGCCCTCCTGCGGCTGGGGACCAACACCCCTGACTTAGGCGTCGTGGAGGCTTCTGGCCCAAGGGTCCGCGCTGCTGGTGGCGCTGGCAGGGTCAGAATTTGCCACAGCTGCTGCTGCGCGCCTTGTGCAGGTTACCACTGCAGCTGAATCTACAGCAGAGGCAGGCAGGGCTGGTCCCAGACAGCCTGGGGGTCGCTGAGTGGACGGCCCTTTCACCCTAGAGTCAGCTCTTTCTTGTAGGTGCCCAGATCAGGGTGTGCAGGGGCTGGGCACAGGGCAGCCGCCAGGAAATGGCTGAGCTGCCGGTTCCCGCCCTCCTGAAGCTGGGGCCGGACCACCTGAATTGGCCGCTGGGCGGCGCCTGGCCCTGGAGTCTGCCTGGCTGGCGTGAAAGCGTGGTCTGGGGTTGCCATCAAGGCTGCTCCCCCGCCATGTGCAGGTGGCTGCTGCAGCTGAGCCCATGACGGAGGCTGGCAAGGCGTTTCCCAGGCAGCCTCAGGGTCATTGAGTGGACCACTATCCCACCCTAGGGTCCGCTGTTCCTTTGCCTGAGCCCAGAGTTCCGGGTCGCGGGCACTGGGAACTGTGCAGCCAAGGAGACTGGGCCGAGGGCAAAGGTTTCTGCCCTGCTGCAGCTGCGGGGCTGACTGCCTGAATTAGGCGCTGAGGCTGCGTTGTCCCCGGTGTCAGGGCTCTGGTGCAGGCAAAGTGCCGGGTTGCTCTGCTGCTGTCGTGCCCTTGTACAGGTGGCAGCTGCAGCTGAGCTCTCAGTAGAGGTCGGCAGGGTTGGTCCCAGAAAGCCTGAGGATCGCGGTGTGCACCACCCTCCCAGCCTAGGGTGCACTCTTCCTTGGCACGCGCCCAGAGCTCGGGGTTTCGGGCGCTGGGCCCTGTGCAGCTGCCCAGAATAGGCTGTGCGGCTGGTTCCCGCCCTGGCAAGGCATCCAGCCATGGAATCTGCACTGCTGTTGGGGGCAGGCAAGGTCGGGGGATGGGGGTGTGGTTTCCACCATTGCTAACGGGCGCCACCTGGCGATGGTAGCTGCAGCTGAGAGCATGGCAGAGGCTGGCAGGGCTGGTCCCAGACACCCTGAGGGTCGCTGAGTGCACCGCCCTACCACCCTAGAGTCTCCTGTTCCTTAGACTGCTCCCAGGACGTGGTGTGCGAGCGCTAGACACTGAGCAGCCTCCAGGATGGGGCTGAGCGGCCGATTCCCGCCTTGCCGCAGCTACAGTCTGAATTAGGCGCCACCGCATTATCTGGCCGTGGGGTTCGTGCTACTGGTGGCATGGACAGAGATGGGGGCTGCCACAGCTGCTATGGGGCTGAGCAGCCGATTCCCGCCCTCTTGCAGCTATGGGACCGGCCACCTGACTTAGGTGCCTTGGAGGCGTCCGGCCCTGGGGTCTTTGCTGCTTGTGTCTGAGGGCAGGGTCAGGGCTGCCACTGCTACTGCCGTGCACCATGCACAGGCGCCAGCTGCAGCTGAGCCCAAGGCAGATGCTGGCAGGGCTGGCCTGAGGCTGCCCAAGGGTGGGTGAGTGCACCGCCTTTCCACCCTAGGGTCCGTTATTCCTAGACCAGCGCCCAGATTGCGGGGTCGTGGGCGTTGGACACTGTGCAGCCATGAGGATCTGGTTGGGTGCAGATTCCCGCCCTCCTGCGGCTGAGAGGCCAACCTCCTAACACGCGCTGCAGTGACTTCTGGCTCTACAGTCTGCGCTCCTGCTGGAGCTGGCAGAGACCAGAGCTGCCACCGCTGCTGCTTCCAGGAGTGTGCAGGTGGCAGCTGCCGCTGAGCCCGCGGCGGAGGATGGCAGGGCTTGTTCCAGAAGGCTTGAGGGTCCCCGAGTGCACCGCCCTCCCACCGTAAGGTCCAGTCTTCCTCGTCCGCGCCCAGAGAGTGGGATTACAGGCGCTGAGCACAGTGCAAGCGCTGGGATGGGGCTGAGCTGCAGGTTTCCTCCCTCTGGCTGCTGGGGGGCCGACCGTCTGAGTTAGGGGACGCGGCGGCTTTTGGTCATGGGGTCTGCACTGCCGGTGGCTTGCACAGGGTCGGGGGCTGCCACAGCTGCTATAGTTCACCGTGTGCACGTGGCAGCCGTCTCTGAGTCCACCGCTGAGGCTGCAGGGCTGGCCCGGTCCCAGACGGCCTGAGGGTCATTTGCCCGCGCCCAGAGCACCGGGTGGCGGGAGCTGGGCACTGTGCAGCCTCCAGGAATCCGCTGAAGGGCGGGTTGCAGCTCTCCTGCAGCTGTGGGCCGACTGCCTGACTTTGGCCACTAGGTGGCCTCTGGCTCTAGGGTTTCGGGGCCGCTGGTGTCGGCGGGCAGAGTCCGGGTTTGCCACCGCTGCCCACAGGCTCACCATGGCCTGACTAAATGCTCGCACTGCTCATACATCCACTTTTAAAAATTGGGTTGAACATGAGAACATAATCATTCATATTTTATCCATTTGCATGTATTCAATACCATCCTTTCGCTGTTCTTGTCTCTGCAGCCTTTTTCTTTAAAGAATGAATGTTTCCATGTTTTATATCCACAGAATTTCTGGTTTTTCCTGTTGGAGCCCAAGGAGCAAGGGCAGAATGAAGAACATGATGTTTCCTACCGACAGTTACTCATGACGTCTCCATCCAGGACTGAGGGGGGCATCCTTCTCCATCTAGGACTGGGGGCATCCTTCTCCATCCAGTATTGGGGGTCATCCTCCTCCATCCAGGACCTGAGGGGTGTCCTTTTCTGCGCTTCCTTGGATGGCAGTCTTTCCCTTCATGTTTATAGTGACTTACCATTAAATCACTGTGCCGTTTTTTCCTAAAATATATGGGGCGTGTTTTTTGTTCTCACTTCTGTTAGTCCTTTGGTCCCTAGCTCCAGTTTTTTTGTAATTTCTTTTGCAACCTAATATGAGTCCCATTTAGTAAGTATTACATATACTAGGAAATGATGTATATTCAGCATTTGTTGTGATTTTAAAATCTTTTATAAACACGTAACATTTTTGTCTATTTCCCATTTAAATTCAGAAGTATGAGTTCCAGCGTCCCTCTCTAGACCTGCTCTTCCTGTTAGTTTCTTTGTATGTCCTGGAGGCGAGGCCAGCGTTGGACTTGACGTTGCTTCACCTACTCGGTTCTATGGTCCCTCCATGTGCAGTGTCTATCCTGTTGTTCATTATTTCTTCCTTAAATTTTATTTGAACTAAAATTAATTTTGTGGTAGCAGCTTGCTTTCTGTGAATATTTACTTAAAATTTTTATTCCCATTGTTTTTCTTTCTTTAATTTGCAAGTGCTGCTTTGTTACTGATATTTTGTATTTTAATATATGAGGTTAATCCTTCTATGTTTGGTAGGAAAAAGTGATATATTTGAACTTATTTCTAGCATTTGATTTTGGATTTTGTATCCCAAAGCTTTATCCTCAATTCTCTTTTCCTTTCTTCAGATTTCTTTTCTTTTCTTTTTTTGGGGGGGTGGGGGATGGAGTTTTGCTCTTATTGCCTAGGCTGGAGTGCAATGGGGTGATCTCGGCTCACCACAACCTCTGCCTCTCAGGTTCACGCGATTCTTCTGCCATAGCCTCCGAGTAGCTGGGATTACAAGCATGTGCCGCCACACCTGGCTAATTTTGTATTTTTGGTACAGACAGAATTTCTCGAACTCCTGACCTCAGGTGATCCACCCACCTTGGTCTCCCAAAGTGCTGGGATTACAGGCATAAGCCACCGCGCCCGGACTTCCAGATTTATTTTCAATCAGCATTTCATTTTCCACTTCCTTCCTATGCTGGCTTTTAGGTTTTCCAGGCTATTTACCTTTAGTGTCAAAAATTATTTTGGGAACTTTTGAGTTGTCAACCAATATTGTAAGCATATTGGATATTGCTGTTTTTCTCCCAGTGCTCTGGTTATAATCTCTCCTATTAATACCTTGTAGCCTTATTGTCGTAGTTATTTTTTTCTATTAATTTCTGAGATATAAGAATTAGAATTGTCAAATTGTGGATTTATGCATTTATCCTTTTAATTCAATAACTTTTGCTTCGTGTATTTTGTTATTTTTCTTAGGTGCATACATGCTTATGCTTATTAGGTTTTCTAAGCAAATGGACTTATTGCATAAAACATCCTTCTTTATCCCTGTTGATGCTTGTCTTTCTTGTAGTCTGTCTTATCTGCCATTAATACACTGGCTGCAGTTTTTGATAACAAAGATTTGCATGGTGTATATTTGTCCATCTTTTCAGTTTGAATCTGTTTGTATCTTTACCTCATAAGTGTATATCGTTTTAAAAGCTGATATTGAGGTTTCCTTTTTACCTACTTTGACAGTCTCTGTTCTGCCTTCCTGGTCTTCTTCTGGATTATTGTAGTTTTCATTTGTTTGTTTGTTTGTTTTATGGGGTTTTCTTTTTTTTTTAGTATGGATTTTGTATATTGTATTTTTCTTAACTATGACTCTTTGTTTCATTTATTTATTTTTAGTGAGTTCTTTAGAAATTAAAATAAAAATACTTAAAGTATATTAAATATCATAACACTGTATATAAAATATAAAAACCTTACCTTACCCTCCTCCCTTCTCTCATCTTTTGTGCCATGTTGTCATAGATTTTTCTTCTGCACATGTTGTAATTCCTGGAGGATGTCATTAAAACAGCAGTTTCCCCTCCAGATGTTTACTATTTTTGGCACACTTTCATCTTTTCTGAGAACTAGAATTTCCAATTGTTATCATTTTTCTTCAAGCTGAACAGCTTTCTTTTGCATTTATTGTGGTTTGGGTGTGATGGCAACACATTCTCTCAGACTTTCTTTAATTGAAAATGTACTTTTCTCAACTTCAGTTCTGAATGCTGCTTCAGCAGGTTCAGAATTCTAGGGACACCTTCGACTTTGAACAGCATGAAGTCTCTGCTCAGCAGTGCTCTAGTCACCATCTAACATATTATTATATCCAGTTGTGTCAAATCTGTCATCGGCCATAGAACCCTTTAACAGGTGCTTCTTGTTGCTTCAGTTCTAAGTATTTCATAGTCTTCAGAGATATGGAGAAGTAGCAGTGCTAGTAACACTACCAGTAAAACCAGGATAAGCCCTAAAATAATTAAGCCATCGCATGCACACACATGAACGTTTGACTTCAGCTAAAATGCTTTCAAGTGTACTATTTTATCTTTACACAAGGTTATAATACAAATTAAAATTTTAAAAATATTTCCACTTTATATATGTGAAAACTGCAGCTCAAAGAATTTAAAAGACATGATTGAAATCCCATAACTAGGTAAAGATGGTCAAGTCTGGAGCCCACATGTCTCGGTCCCCCCACACCCTGTTACGGAGAGTGCGAGGCTTCACCAGGAAGCTCTTTTGGCTCAAGGATTAGCTCTGGGGAAGTTCAGCAGGCAGGCCTGCTTTGCATCCTTTTACCAGCAGAAATCCTACATTTGTTTCAAGTTTCTAGTTCTTTTTTTTTGTTTTGTTTCTTACCAGCATGGCTCTGGGAGTTATTTACACAATTTAATTTTAAAAGAGACAGTCCCCATCACTAAGGTTCCTTGGAAACTTATCATGCAAAAAAAATAATAATAATAAATGCTGGTAGATGGGAAACTTCTGCAAAATTGTTTTTTATATATATAATTGTAACTAAATAAATATGTGTATTATAGTAATAATTTATTACTGTAATTTTCTTGCCAGATTTGAAGGCAATTTTTTAAAGCTCTCCACATGTGGTTTACTGTGGACCAAACACTGGCAGCTTCAGGCTTACAATCTGCTGACAAACCCTTCTTAGTTCCTTCAATTGAAGAATGTGAGCAAGCACTGCTCATGTGCCTGGCAAGCACGCAAACCACTCAGGAGAAGGACAGTGGCCACTCAGGTCATCAGGTGAACTTGTGACGGGGCCATCAAGAGGCTGCACGTGAGCTCCAGAAAATGAAATTCCCACTATCAACCTATTTTCCATTTCCACCCAATGCCCCGCCCCTGCTCCAAATCAAGGTCTCCGCCTCTTAGAAATGCTTGATTTTCAGTATTGCTAAACAGGGATTGAAGAAAACAAACTGAACAAAGAAACAAATAAAGCCTTTAACACAGTGAGCAAAGACACAGCACCTACGCCTTCCCCGGGCCCCGCAACAGCTCCAGAGCTGCACAGCTGCTCCCAGAGCCTGAGCATGGACCTGAGCTCTGGCTCATGGATCTCACCAATGCATTTCTTCCCTCTGTGTCAAAAAAGCATCCAGAAATTGGATTCATTTACTTGGGACATAAAATAATGTATACCTACAGTTTTGTCCCAGAACTGTGTAAACCAGCATGCTGTCTGCCATAATACAGTCCTCCCCCTGCATCAGGAGCACAGATGGGGGAAACCGGCAGGGCTGGAGGCCTGGGAGTCACAGGTGCTTGGAGGGGAGAGAAAAGCACCACAGAGAGCCAGGCCCTGCCTACAAATCCCATTTTTAGGGGTCTAGTGGTCTGTGCAGGCTGGGAGATGATCTCTAAAGGAAAGGCAAGAAATATTGCCCCACATCTCCCACCACCAAACAGAAAGTGCAGGTGGTCAGCCCCAGGGCTCACCTGCCCTTTGCCAGGGTCATGAGCTAGGCCCAGGCTGCGCGCTCCACAAAACCATCAAGGGGACGACTGCCTGCCAGGCTGGGACAACTGCACCAGGCCCTGACATCCTGGGAAGAACAGGGTTGCATTTAACAGAAACAACTAAACCTGCAGGGATGAGCTTGCCTTTCCCCGGGGCCACGGGACGGTTTATAGAAAGTTCTGCCCATCAGGACGAGACCTCACATGACACCATCAGAGGAACTGATACCATGCCACAGAGGGAGGAAGACGGCACATGCCATAGGTCCGCTGGTCACAGCACACACACGCTCCTGGGAACTTCAGAGCCAGCAGTGTGGCTCAGGTGCCAGGTCAGGATGTGGGAGGACACAGTGTCTGGGTGAATCTGTCACCTTTGCTAGCTGCCTGGTCCCACCAGGTAGAAGATGTGGCAATGGGAGCACAGCAGTAGGAAGCCCAGTGTCCCCCAACCTTCCACCTCACACCCAGGACCTCTGAGGTGCATCTATGTCCTGCACATCTAGGCTCTGAAAAGCAGGAGGTCCTGGTTTCCACAGCTGTGGGGCTTCTAGACAGGACAGAGCCAGGTTCTCTAAAAAAAACAAGCTCTGGGTGCTGCTTTGTTCTCAGGCTGCTCCTCCATGGGACCTGCGGGCAGAAAGATGTGTACCACCTGGACCATGGTGTCAGCAGGAGCAGGGCTGTGCTGCCTGGGGAAGAAGGGGCTCTACGCAAGCGCCTCTCAGTACACAGCATTTGATGGTACCTGGACAAGTGCGGGAGCCCTAGACCAAGGACTCAGTGGTGAGCAAGACTCAGGACCCCTTAGGGGCGAGGGCCTGGGTTACACCACCAGGGGGTCACCTGGACCCTCAGCAGAAGGTGAAGGGGTGATCATTACCTTTGCGACCCTGAAATGGGTGGCAGCCACAGGACACAGGGTTCATTGAACCCACCTTGTGTAACTATTGCCCAGGAAAAGGCCCAGAATTTAATAAAGACAAGGCCCCTGGCAGTGCAGTGTTGGATGGGGTGCACCCCCTGGGGAACCCCTGACCCTCCCCCAGGGCCTTGGCTCTGAGCTTTGATTATAGACACACGTATGCCATGGCCCCTTCAGACTGCTCCCTTCACCTTTGAAAAACCAGACAGGATGCTTCTGTTCCTGGAAACATGAATGCCCTTCATGTGTTTTTTTCTTTGACTAGAAACTCAACTTCAACCAAAATATGACTCCCACACAATAATAATGGGAGTCTTTAACATCCCACTGTGAACATTAGGCAGATCAATGAGTCAGAAAGTTAACAAGGATATCCAGGAATTGAACTCAGCTCTGCACCAAGCAGACCTAATAGACATCTACAGAACTCTCCACCAAAATCAACAGAATATACATTTTTTTCAGCACCACACCACACCTATTCCAAAACTGACCACATAGTTGGAAGTAAAGCACTCCTCAGCAAATGGAAAAGAACAGAAATTATAACAAACTGTCTCTCAGACCACAGTGCAATCAAATTAGAACTCAGGATTAAGAAACTCACTCAAAACCGCTCAACTACATGGAAACCGAACAACCTGCTCCTCAATGACTACTGGGTACATAACGAAACGAAGACAGAAATAAAGATGTTCTTTGAAACCAATGAGAACAAAGACACAACATACCAGAATCTCTGGGACACATTTAAAGCAGTGTGTAGAGGGAAATTTATAGCACTAGATGCCCACAAGAGAAAGCAGGAAAGATCTAAAATTGACACCATAACATCACAATTAAAAGAACTAGAGAAGCAAGAGCAAACACATTGAAAAGCTAGCAGAAGGCAAGAAATAAGTAAGATCAGAGCAGAACTGAAGGAAATAGAGACACAAAAAACCCTTCAAAAAAATCAATGAATCCAGGAGCTGGTTTTTTGAAAAGGTCAACAATATTGATAGACCGCTAGCAAGACTAATAAAGAAGAAAAGAGAGAAGAATCAAATAGATGCAATAAAAATAGATAAAGGGGATATCACCACCGATCCCACAGAAATACCAGCTATCATCAGAGAATACTATAAGCACCTCTACGCAAATAAACTAGAAAATCTGGAAGAAATGGATAAATTCCTTGACACATACACCCTCCCAAGACTAAACCAGGAAGAAGCTGAATCTCTGAAGAGACCGATAACAGGCTCTGAAATTGAGGCAATAATTAATAGCCTCTCCCTGGGAATGGGCGGCCTGGGTCCAGTCCACAGGGCCCCTCGCGGGCCCTGACGCAGGATGGAGTTGAGGTGGGGGCAGCGCTGGACCCCAGGGCCCCTGCCTGCCTCCTGGGGAGCCCGGTGACCCAGGCAGCCCTGGTGAGGCTGTGGGTGTCTGGGCCATAGCGAGGCCCCCGGGCTCCCACAGGACAGATGCGGACAGTGAGGCCGGGGAGGCCCTGCTGCCCTCCGGACTGTCCCTCCAGCCCCCAGCTTTCTGTGGTTCTCTGGACCCCCTCTGCAGAGGGGCAGGGGAGCACACCCTGGATCCTGAGACGCCAAGCTTGAGGAACCCCAGAGCTCTAGCGAGGCTGCTTCCTTTGCGGATGGTGAAACTGAGGTCCAGAGGAGGGCAGGGGCAGGTCCCGGGTGCTCCCTAGGCAAAGGGAGCCGATCTCGGGGAGGGGGTCACAGGGAGCGTCCCTGCGACTTCTAGGGCCCGAAAGCTGGGGAGGATGAGAGACCAGGGGTCTTTCGTCGCCCCCTGGGGCTGGGCAGAGGCTCAGCCTGTGTTGCCACCCAAAGCTGCTTCTGGCAAGTCCGAGCCGCGTCCCTTTAAGAGGGGGTGGAGCTTCAACCTGGCACGAGGGATGCTGCCAGCGTGCGTGTCCCTACGGAAGCTGAGACTGCACTTCCTGCGAGGCCCCTGCAGCAGCAGCGGCGTGGTCAGAGCGAGCTTCGGAGAAGCAGTGGTGGGTTCCATGTGATGGTGGAGTAGGAGGCAGGTCTCCGCGGTAAGTGGCGGGGGCGTGGACCCCACCGGGAACCCTCCCGGCTCCTTCCCTGCCTCTCCCTGTTTTCGTGCTTTCACTTCTTCGTGGGCATCTGGGCCCGAGTCCTCCGCGTGGGGGCGGTTGTGGGGTCCTGGCTACTGCAGCGTCCGCACCCCGGCCGGGAAGGCTATGCCAATGTCCGACCCGCGTCCAGCGTATAGGAGCGCCCTGGCCCAGAGCTGGCGGTGAAACGCCGGACCTGGGTCCCTCCGAGCCTCAGGGGCCTCTGAGCTGGAGTCTAGGATTATTTTTGATGCCTCAGCACCTTTAAAAAGAGACCTCGCTAGAGCAGGGGACATCTGTAGTTTCAGTTCTTTGAGGAGTCTCCAGCTATTTAGCTGTTTTCCATGGTGTGTATCCTAATTTTCATTTCCACCTACAGTGTATGAGTTTCCCTTTCTCCAAAACCACACCCGCATTCCTATTATTTTTGGTTTGGGGTTTGTTTTGTTTTTGTTTTGAGACGGAGTCTTGCTCTGTCTTCCAGGCTGGAGTGCAGTGGCGCCATCTCGGCAGACTGCAGCCTCTGCCTGGTTTTAAACAAGTCTCCTGTCTCGGCCTCCGGAGTAGCTGGGACTACAGGGGCCGCCACCATGCCCAGCTAATTTTTGTATTTTTAGTAGAGATGGGGTTTCACGATATTGGTCAGGCTGGTCTCAAACTCCTGACCTCAGGTGATCCACCTGCCTCGGCCTCGCAAAGTGCAGAGATTACAGGCATGAGACACCATTCCCAGCCCCTCTTATTTTTTTTATAAAAAATCTAGGAATATTCAATAAGTGTGAGATTATCTGTGTGTGGTTTTGAATTACAGTTTTCTAATGAATAGTTTATTTTGAGGACCTTATCTCTTATTTGTTGTTCGATTTTATGGCTGTGCAGAATTGTCCGTTCAGGTTCTTTGCAAAATATTAGATTGGATGCTTTTGCTACTTTGTAGTGTTTTTTGTGTACATGTTAGATGACAACTCCTCGTGAATTACATGATTGCCTGAAATTTTTGCCTAATCTATAGGATGCTTTTTAATTTGGAAAGTAGTTTTCTTTGATGTGCAGAAACTTTTCATGTTGACATAGTCCCATATATTTATTTTTGCGTTTCATGCATGTAATTTTTGTCACCCATATAAGAAAATATATATCAGTGACAAAGCATTTAATTGTTAATGAGGTTTTTCTTCTAGGGTGTTTGTTTATTTTCCTCTTTGCAGAGGTGAGCAGAGATTCAAGTGACCCAAAATATATGCTCATCCTGTGTTTTAGTTAAAAACATTTTGTGGTTTATGGTCTTTTGTTTTGCCTTCAATTTGGGGGAGGGGGTGTTCATTTTCATACATCGTGTAAAATAAGGTCCTATTTCTCACTTCTGCATCTGAATATCATTTTTCTCAAAGGTACTCATTCTCTGCCTTCCACATTGCAGTGTTCTTTATCAAAGTCAGTTGACTGTGTCCATATTTGTGTTGATCATGTTTTTGTTCTCCCTGTTTTTGTCCATAGTTTATGCAAGTATCATATATCAGCTGTATAACTACAACTTGGCAGTGTAATTTGATATTGAGGATTGTGGGTCTTCACTTTGTATTTCTGAGGATTCCTTTAGATATTCATTGCTTTTGTGGTTCCCTGTGATTTTTAGCAATACCTATTTATTTCTATTAACTTTTTTTCACAACATAAAGGTCCATAATTAGGGGTACATTTTCATACATATAGGTTGGGTAATGATCAAATCAGGGTACTTAGGATCTCTATTTGCTCGTCCAGGCATTTTTTTTTTTTTTTTTTTGTGGGGAGAACATTCAAAATTCTCCCTTCTTGCTCTAGAAAAATATGATATTGTTTACTCCAGTCACCAGGCTGAGGAGGAGAACTTCAGATTTATTCCTTTAATGTTAAGATAACTTTGTTTCCATAATCAATCCTTCCCCATTCCCCCTCTATCTCCCAAACTCTGGTAACCAATATTGTGCTTTCTACTTCATTAAGATAAACATCTTAAGATTTCACGAGTGGTATCATGCAGTGTTTGTCTTCTAGGCCTAGCTCATTACATTTAACATAATGTGTTCCAGGTTCATCTGTGTTGCTCTAAATGACACTGCTTCATTATTTTGATGGCTGGAGAATATTTCCTAGTGTATGTATATGAGAGTTTCTTGATCTCTTTATCTGTGGATGAACAGGTAGGTTGAATTTATACCCAGTAATGGGACTGCTAGATGATATGGTATTTCTTTTTTTCCTATTCTTTGCAAGACCTCCAACTGTTTTTTATAGTGTTAATACTAATTTATGTTTCCACAAACAGTTCCCCTTTCTGGAAATTCATACCAGGAATTGTCTTTTTAAATATTTTGATCTTTTTGTAATGTTCATTCTATTGGAGTGAGATAAGATCTGAGTGTGGTTTTGATCTGCATTTTTCTCATGAGTAGTAATGTTAACCACGTTTTTGTAGACATTGGGTCAGTTTCCTGTCTTCTTTAGAAAAATATCTAATCCGGTTATTTGCCCAGTTTTTGTCTGGCAATTGTTCTGTTGTTTTGTTTTGTTTTGTTTTTTTTTTTTTTTGCCAGCTGGTAGTATGACTCGCTTGTACCTTTTCAAAAATAATCCCTTATCCCAAACTTGTAATTTTTAGTGTGCCTTTTTATTTTCTTTATTGTTTCCTTTGTTGGGCACAAACGCTTCAGCTTGACGTGGTCCCACATGTGCATAATTTCTTGGTGGCTGTGCTGTTGGTTACTAATCAAGAAAAAACAAAATCACAAATCACTACCAAAGCAGTTCATTGTCAATAATTTTTTCCCTTGTATTTTTGTTTACTTTTTGCGAACCCTGAGCATACATCCAAGTTGCCCTAAATATACGCACACCTGAGGTTGTCTTTATAGGAGCTTTATGGTTGCAAGTTTTGTGTATAATCTTTAATCATTTTGAGTTGATTATTGTGTATCTAGTACCATAAGAGTCCTGTATTATTCTTTTGCATATGGATATCTAGTTTTGGAAATCTTCCCCGTTGTGTCATTTTGGTGGTGTTTTGAAAAATGTGTTCATTCCATATAAATTTTTGTTTATTATTGAGCACATTCATTTTGCTCACTGGTCTGTGTTTCTCTGTGTACGCCAGTAACATATGGGTTTGTTAACTACAGATTTTCATTTAATTAGAACTCAGGGAATGTGACACATCCCATATGGTTTGTATTTCTCAGAATAACTTTGGAAATTCAGGGTGTTTCACATTTCCACATAAATTTTGGCATTGTTTCTTTATATTTCTTAAAACACTATTTGTCATATACTAAATGTATACAATTAAAAGGTACAAGGAAGATTTTGATACGTGTATATGTTGAGTAATGATAAAATCAGGTTATTTAGCATCTCTTTATCTCATATAGTTATTATTTTTGAGTGGTAACAACATTCAGAATCTTTCCTTCTAGCTACTTTGAAACATATGGTACATTTGTGTTAAGGCTAGTCACCCTGCTGTGGAATAGAAGGCCAGAATTGATCAGTCTCATCTGAGAGTAACTTTGTACCCATCACTGATTCCTTCTGAGACTGCCTCCACTTCCCCAGCAGCCTCTGGTAAGCCTTATTGAACTTTCCACTTCTAGAAGATAAAGCTTTCTTCAGTCTGCATGCCTGAGATCACGTGGCATGGGACTTTCTCTACCAGCCTTATTCTTTGAACCTCATGTTCTTCAGGTTTCTTCATGTGGCTGCAGATGGCAGGATTTCCCAAAGGTTTCTGGCTGAAACATATTCCGTGGTGTATCTGTACAGCAGTTTCCTCATCCCTGCAGCTGTGTTTGAACAGGTAGGTTGGTTCTCTACCTTGGCCACAGTTAAGAGTGCTTTAGTACCCGTGGGAAGGCAGATAGCTCTCTTCAACCTAGGGACTTCAACTGCTTTAAATGTGGAACCAGTGGTGGGGCTGTTAGCTGACATGGTAGTTGTACTGTGAATTTTTTCAGAAACCTCTAGCTGTTTTTTATAGTGTGTATACTAATTTACATCCTCACCAATAGTGTTTAAGAGGTTACCTTTCTGTAAGTCTACACTGGATGTCACCTTCAAAAATTTGTGTTTTGTTTTTGGTAGTACTCATTCTGAGTGGAATGAGACGGAATCTTAGTGTGGTTTTCATGGACATTTTTTTGTGAGGTTTAGTGATGTCGAGAAAGTTATTTGAGAAATCCCCACATTGCTTTCCATGGTGTCCGAACTAGTTTGCATTTCCACCAAGAGCAGACCAGCATCCCTCCTCCTCTGCCTTGCTGGTGTTCATTCTTGTGGACTGTGTCATAATTGTCATTCATCAGAATGTGTGAAATACTATCTCATGGGCCTTTAGCTTTGCATTTCTCTGATGATTCCTGAGGTAAAGCAATGATATCTTGTCTGTTGGTTGCTGTAAACCTTCTTTTGAGATGCATGTTTTCATGCCCCTTACCCTTTCTTCATTGAGTTTTTGTTTTTCTGATTTATTTGCTTAATGTATTTGAGGTAGATCCTGGATATTAGACTTCATCAGATGCGTATGTGGGAACATTTTCTCCCATTGTGTAGGCTGTCTGTTTACTGTGTTGGTAATTGCTTCTGCTGTGCAGCAGCTCTTTTGTATATTAGGCCCCACTTGTCAATAATTGTTTTAGTTGCACTTGCTTTTGGGGACTTAGGCATAGCCATGCTCTGCCAAATCCTCTGTCAAGAAGGGTATTTCCAAGTTCTCTTGCAGGCTTTTCATAGTTTGAGGTCTTGTGTTTACATCTTTCATTCATCTTGAGTTAATTTCTGTGCAGGGTGAGACACAGGGGCCCACTGTTTTTCTTCTGCAACTGGCTAGCACTTTATCCTGGCACCATCTATTGAGAGGAGGGAGTCCTTTCTCCAAAGCTTATTTTTGTGGATTTTTTTGAAGATCAGATGGTGTTAGGGGTGTGGGTTTACATCTGGGTCCTCTAATCTGTTCCACTGCTCTGTGTGAAATGGGGTCCCTAGCTTTTCAATGAAAATTAAAATCGGGAAGTGTGACACAACCAATGTAGTGTGGACTTCTCAGGATTGCTTTAGAAATTCAGGGTGTTTTGTGGTCTGCATGAATTTTAGCATTGCATATTTACATATTTTTTAAAAGGTTGGCCATATAGTAAAGGTATACAATGGGGGGAGTTAGAGTGGGGCATTTTGGTTAATGCAGACACAGAGGAATGTTAAAATCAGGATATTTAGAGTCTCTGTTATCACAAACAGTTGTTAATTTATTTGTGGTGAAAACATTTGGAATCTTCTTTTCCAGATTTTGTGAAAAAGCTGTGATGTTTTGTTAACCTCTGGTCACAGTGCTGTAGAACAGAGAGGAACAATTCATTGCTCTCATCTAAGTGTAATTTTGTACCTATTTCTGATCCCTGCCCATGCCTCTGCTTCCTTCCAATCTCTGGAAACCACTGTTGTGCTCTCTAGATCTATTGCAATAAAGCCTTTTATTTTGGGTTCTACATGAGTGAGATGTGGCAATGTTTTTCTTTCTCTACCTGGTTCAGGTCATTTACCATGCTGTCCTCCAGGTTCAACAGTATGGCTCCAAATGATGAAATTTCATTCTGATTTTCTGGCTGAAGACTATTCTCTTTGTGTATGTCCACCACAGTTACTTTATCCCTTCATCTGTGGATGGGCAGGTAAGTTTATTCCTTATCTTGGCGATTGTGAATAGTGCTGCAGTCCACATAGGATGGCTGATACCTCTTGCATAAACTGATTTCTTTGGCACTGAAAGTATACTTAGTAGTAGAATTGTTAGATGAAGTGGTAGTTGTAGGTTTAATTTTTGGAGGAACCTCCCACTGGTTTCTGTAGTATGTATACTAATTAACATTCTTTTTTTTTTTGGATGGAGTCTCGCTGTATTGCCCAGGCTGGAGTGCAGTGGCATGATCTCAGCTCACTGCAAGCTCTGCTTCCTGGGTTCACGCCATTCTCCTGCCTCAGCCTCCTGAGTAGCTGGGATTACAGGCACCCGCCACCACGCCCAGGTAATTTTTTATACTTTTAGTAGAGACGGGGTTTCACCGTGTTAGCCGGGGTGGTCTCGATCTCCTGAACTCGTGATCTGCCGGCCTCGGCCTCCCAAAGTGCTGGGATTACAGGCGTGAGCCACCGTGCCCAGCTGTATACTAATTAACATTCTTACCAAATGAGTTTTTCTCTGGAAATTTCCACCAGCATTTGTGTCTCTTTTAATATATTGTATCACTTTGATAACATCCATTTGAATTATAGTGAGATATGTGTGTTGTTTTGATTTATATCTTTCTCATGGTTTGTGATGTTATTCAAGTTTTTAAAACTTGTTTTCAATGTTATGTCTTTTTTGTAGAAATGTCTATTCAGGTTTTGTTTGGTTATTAGTTTCTCTTTTGTGTTTTTGCTAGTGAGTAGTGTTAGTTGCTTAGACATTTTGAAGACAGCCTTTTATCAGATGTATGTTTGTCGAAACGTTTCTTGTAGAATGAAACATATATGGAAATGTTCTGTGCAATCAAAACAGCAGTGGTAACAGAGGAGATGTAGGCTCTGAGTGTCTCACTGGAGACTGAAGTCCACAGATATGCAACAAAGCCTTTGTCTCCCTGATGTTTTTGCCTCCTGCTGGTCATGTGCTTTCACACATCAAGAGAGGACATTTAACATTTGAGCCACAGTGTCATTTGCTGTTGTCTGATGGGTGAGATTTTTGCTGGCGTAGTCCATATTGTCATATGTTCTTGGGGCCCACAAGATTATTCTTGGTCATCTAAGATGTTACTGACATCTTATCACCTTAAGATGTTGCTGACTTAATCACCTTCAACTGACTCCTATTCATTCTTTGAAATAAGCAGACACATGTTGTTTCAGTGATTCTTTCAGTTGGTGATTTGCCTGGTGCATTGCTGTGTGAGGTCACCTCCCGTCAAATGACCCACAGGTGGTAACAGTCTGTGAACAAACAGTTTACAGGAGGGACCAACCATGTGCGGACGGACATGGGGTGGGTCATTTCAAAGTGAGGTAGTCAACCTGGGCCCTAGACTGGCACAGACAGAAGAAGCCACAATCCTTTAGAGAGAAAAAAATTACAAAGTATAAATATCCTTTGTTAAGAGAAATAGAGACCATTTTCAGAGGGCGTAATAGTATTAAAATGTGTTCTCATTGTTCAGCTCCCACTTACGAGCGAGAACATGCAGTGTTTGGTTTTCTGTTCCTGTGTTAGCTTGCTGAGGATGATGGCTTCCAGCTTCATCCCTGTCCCTGCAGAGGACTTGATCTCATACCTTTTTATGGCTGTGTAGTATTCCATGATGTATATGTAGTACATTTTATTTTTCCAGTCTATCATTGATGGGCATATGGGTTGGTTCCAAGTCTTTACCATTGTGAATAGTGCTGCTATAACCATACATGGAGCAGATGGTTCGCAAAGCAAGATGGACCTCTGAGCAAGATGAGCTCCAAGCTTGATGGAGCTCAGAGCAGATGGAGCTCCAGGTGAGATGGAGCTCCGATTAATATGAAGCTCGGAGCAGATGTTTCTGAGTATGATGGAGCACCAAGCCTGTGGTCTCAGAGCAAGATGGAGCTCCGAGCAGATGGTACTCAGAGCCAGATGGAGCTAGGAGTGACTGGGGCTCTGAGCAAGGTGGAGCTCAGAACAGATGGTGCTCAGAGCAAGATGGAGCTTGGAGTGATTGGAGCTCCAAGCAAGATGGAGCTTGGAGCAGATGGAGCTCTTAGCAGATGGAACTCAGAGCACCATGGAGCATGGAGTGTCCAGCTCAGAGCAAATATAGCTCAGACAAGAAGGAGCTCCAAGCAAGATGGAGCTTGGAGCCGATGTTCCTCTGTGTAAGATGGAGCCCAGAGCAAGATAAAGCTTGGAGTCGTTGGAACTCTCAACAGTTCTCTGAGCAGTTGGAACTCTGAGCAAGATGGAGCTCTGAACAAGATGGTGCTCAGAGCAGATGAAACTCTGAGCAATAAGGAGATCTAAGCAAGATGGAGCTTGGTGCAGATGTTGCTCAGAGCAGATGGTGCTCAGAGCATGATGGAGCTCAGAATGATTAGAGCTCCAAGCAAGATGGAGCTCAGAGAAGATTGAGCTTGGAGCAGATAGAGCTCTGAACAAAAAGGAGCTCCAAGCAAGATGGAACTTGGAGCAGATGTTGCTCGGTGTAAGATGGAGCTCAGAGCAGATGCTCGTAACAACATGGAGCTTGAAATGATTGGAACTTAAAAACTTTACTCTGGAGGATTGGAACTCTGAGCAGATAGTGATCAGAGCAAGATCAGCCTCGGAGTGATTAGAGCTTCGAGCACAATGGGGCTTGGAGCAGATGCAGCTCTGAGCAAGATGTAGCTCAGAAAACATGTTGCTCACAGTAAGATGTAGCTTGAGCAGATGGTGTTCAGAGCAAAATGATGCTGGAAGTAATTGGAGCTCTCAGCAAGCTGGAGCTCGGAGCAGATGGAGCTTGGAGCAAACGAAGTTCAGAGCAAGAAGGAGCTCTAAGCAAGATGGAGCTTGGGGCAAATGTTCCTCAGTTTCAGATGGAGTTCAGAACAGATGGTGCTCAGAGCAAGATGGAGCTCAGAGAACATGCTGCTTACAGTAAGATGGAGCTTCGAGCACATGATGCTCAGAACAAAATGGAGCTGGAAGTGATTGGAGATATCAGCAAGATGGAGCTAGAAGATGCAGCTCCGAGAATATGGAGCTCTGAGCAGAGGGTACTCAGAGCAAGATGGAGTTTGGAGGGATTGGAGCTCTGAGAAAGATGGAGCTTGGAGCAAATGGAGCTCTGAGTAAATGGAGCTCTGAGCAAAGTGGAGCTCAGAGTGATGGAAGCTCTAAAGCAAGATGGAGCTGGGAGTAGATGGAGCTTCAAGAAGATGGTGCTCAGAGCAAGATGGAGCTTGGAGTGATTGGATCTCCGAACCAGATGGAGCTCAGATCAGAGAGACCTCTGAGCAAGAAGGAGCTCCAAACAAAATGGAACTTGGAGCAGATGTTGCTGGTGTAAGATGGAGCTCAGAGCAGATGGTACTCAGAGCAAGAGGGAGCTCAGAATGATTGGCACTCTGAACATTGCTCTGAGCAATTGGAGCTCTGAGCAAGATGCAGCTCAGAGCAGACAGAGCTCTGAGCAAAAAAGGAGCTCTAAGCAAGATGGAGTTTGGAGGAGACGTTGCTTGGTTTTAGTTGGAGCTCAGAACAAAACGGAGCCCACAGTGATTACAGCTCCAAGCAAGGTAGAGCTCAGAGCACATGTAGCTCAGAGTAAGATGAGCTCTGTCCACATGGTGCTCAGAGCAAAATGGAGCTAGAAGTGATTGGAGCTCCCAGCAAGATGGGGCTTGGAGTGATTGGAACTCCTAGCAAGATGGAGCTCAAAGTGGATGGATCTCTGACTAGATGGAGCTCTGAGTAAGATGAATGTCTATGCAGATGTTGCTCACAGCAAGATAGTGCTTGGAGCGATTGGCACTTCGAGCAAGATGGAGCTTGGAGCAGATGGAGCTCTGAGCAAGATGGAGCTTGGAGTAGATAGAGCTTGGAGCAAGAAGGAGCTCCAAGCAAGATGGAGCTTGCAGCAGGTGCTTCTCAGTGTAAGATGGAGCTCAGAGAAGATGATGCTCAGAGCAAGGTTGAGCTCAGGGTGATTGGCACTCCAAACATTGCTCTGAGCCCATTGGAGCTCTGAGCAAGAAGGTGGGAAGTGAGCAAGAAGGTGAAGAAGTGATACATTCCCACAGAACATTACAAGTTTAGCGGAAGCTATTATTGAATGTAAAGAGAAGAATGCCCCAGAATTCTATGTGGATTGTCGGGACAATACTCATTTCTGTAATCAGGCCTACTTTCTTTTAAAAAGTTTATCATATCAAACCTCACAAGGACAACCAGAACTCTGCGATATCCACTCTACAAACCTCAGACCCCTACAGTGTAGTAAAGGTGGCAGCCAAGATAGAAAGACAGAAACACACTGTTTGATGACCAGTCTTTGGAAGTTGAGACAGCAAATGTGGATTTACTCAGATTATTTTCCTGTCAGCACCTCCAGGTGTTATTTTGATGGTACTTTGCATTGGGCTGATGACACAATGGGGAAACATAAACTGCTGACGCTGGACTTCAGCAGTACAGTAACAGCCATGTGCAAGGCCATTGAAAAAGTAAAGACTGGTGGTTACATTGCCACGTGTTTTTCTGCATGGCATCATCATCTTAACTATGGACTTTATGTGCTTTCACAGCAAGATGTTTCTAGTATTTAGAAATGGACCTTATGCATTGTATACTTCCTAAGAGCTTGGAAAGCTCTCACCCAGGTACTACCAAATGCCAGACATCTCTCTATGTGGGCCATTTTCTGCCACAGCCAGAATTCATTCTGGGTGACATGCTGTTCTTGGCTGCTAAGGAAGTGATGTGGGGGAGCCAGGTGTCTCTCGCTGTCTGTGAGTCTATGGGAAAAAGGAGAATACTGAAAGGCACTAAGTTTACTGCCACGTTTAGAGGAGCTTTGTCAAGGCAACACAAGAGTGTTGTAGTCCTTTGTGGCCAACACCAACCTGAGTTTTTACAGCAGTTGTTGCATAATGATCACAGTCACATTCAAGTTCACTTTCTAAATCTTAGGTTCTACAAAAACTCTGTCTGATAATGTCCTATAGACCTTTCGGTAGCTAAAATCAATGAGTTTGAAAAATAATTTGAATTTGGCTTGCTCACCTTTTCAGCAGAATGCACTTGTGAGTCCTGCTCTGTCATTGTATTTTACATGTGTGGCTGTCCCTCTTGCTGTGTTGGAAGTCAGTGTTCCAGAATGTTAACTTCTACAAATACCTATGTATAGAGCAAAGAGAAAACTCTTCAAGTCAAAAGAGTGTATATTATTTCAGGGCAGCTCTCTAGCCTTGGATTTGAAACTATAGTATTTGTTACACAGAGAGAAGATGGTTCTTTTTTGTATTTTATTTTTAATGTTTGTGGGTACATAGTATTTATGGAGTACATGAGATGTTTTGACAAGGGCATTCAATGTGAAAAAAAACACATCCTAGAGAATGGGGTATCCCCTCAGTGATTCTTTGAGTTACAAATATTCCAATTACACTCTTTATGTTATTTTCAAATATATGATTAAGTTATTATTGACTATAGTCACCTGGGTTTGCTATCAAATAGTAGGTTTTTATTATATATTATTTCTTTTTTGTTTTTTGTATCCATTAACAATTCCTGCCTCCCCCTCACTCTCTCACTACCCTTCCCAAGCTCTGGTAATCATCCTTCTACTCTCTATGTCCATGAGTTTAATTGTTTTTATTTTTAGATCCCGGAAATAAGCGAGAACACATGATGTTTGTATTTCTGTGCCTGGCTTATTTTTCTTGACATAATCATCTTCAGTTCCATCCATGTTGTTGCAAATGACAGGCTTTCATTTTTATGGCTGAATAGTACTCCACTGTGTATATGTACCACATTTTCTTCATTCATCTGTTGATGGACACTTAGGTTGCTTTCAAATATTAGTAATTGTAAACAGTGCTGCAGCAAACCTAGGAGTGCAGAAATCTCTTTGATATACTCATTTCCTTTCTTTTGGGTATATACCAAGCAGTGGGATTTTTGGATCATATGGTAGTATATCTGTTTTTTTTCAGGAAACTCCAAACTGTTCAAGGAGATAGTTCTGTTGTGATTACTTCATTGAGAAATTTAACTTATGAGCAGTTGAAAGGAATGCAAGTTGCTGCAAAATCAGAATGAAGAGTGCAAAACGACCAAGCTACAATGTTTTGTCATTATTCACTCTGATGTGAAAAAGGCAGTGAATTTAATAGAAAATAACTTCGTAGAGCAAAATCTCAGGTGTGTTTTTTTAGTGCCGCAGTCTTGGATGATGGGTTCCTAGAAGCTCTCAACATCTCTTCTTAATTGGAGAAAGTGTTAAGCCCCAAAGTAGCTGGAGCAGTACATCTTCAATTTTTGACAAGAAAGCAGGAACTTGATTACTTTGAGTGCTATTCATTAGTTTCTGCTTTCATTGAGAATGCAACAAAAGCCAACTAGGCTGCTGCTAACTCCTTGCTGGACTTCTTCTGCCACTGTCACAGGAACTGTAATCTCACTGGACAATTAACTAGGGAGTCTTTCATCTTGAGTGACTGCTGCACAAATGATCTTCAAAGCATTTTAGCCACCAGAGGAATTCTCTTGAAATACCCAAAATCCATCAGTATCTTGAATCATGCTGGATTTTGAAGAATTCTTAACAAGCCATGTAAAGGGGGCTCTCTGGCCTTGAAATAGTGATGTTTTTTATACAGAAAGGAGAATGCAGAATGGTCAGACTACCATGCACTGTTAAATTTGATTTCAAGAAATTACAGGAAAACTTTCCAAAGTTCCATCTCACAGAAATTATTTTTACAAAGAATTCCAAGATAAGTTTAGTTTTATGGAAGACTTTTATGTGGTTTTTACTCACTCTTCATCTCAGACATCAACAGATGATTACATCACTTATTTAGCTAGTAAATTTATTAATATAAAAACTCAGAGACATTCCAATATCCACATTGCTTACACCATTAGTCATAGATTCAGTGTCAGCTATGACAATTGAAAATAAGCTGTTTTGTGATTTAAAGGTTTAAATTTCTCTAACCAAACTGCTTGATCCAGATGCAGGACTGCAAATGTTAATATTTGTTCTGGAAGAACAATCAAATAAGACTTAAGAGGAAAAGGAATGGCCACAATCCACCTGAAATTTTTTTTTAAAAAGTGTGCAGCCTACTAAATCAGAATGAAAATAGAAGTACAAGATTATAAACAAAATGCAATCAAACTTTTCTTAAGCTTACCTAAAGTTATTTCATCTGAAAATTTCAAGCAACTTTGTTCAACATTAAATTGACAATCTAAACTAACAAGTCTTTTGAATTTATGCATGGTAGTAAACATTCTCTCTATTAACTTTATTACCTAAGGCTAAACCTAAAATTTTTAAGCAAAATTAGAAAAATAGTCTTCACTCATCAAAAAATAAAGTTTGTTACATTTAGTATTTTCCCAATAAAATTGGTCGTTCTTGGTTTTTTATTTGGAGAGTCTGTGCAAAATGTCACTAAAAATAAATTAGCACTAGAAATTATTTCTAAATACCAAAAAAAAAAAAAATGAAGAATGGTTTCACAAAGAAAAAAAGAAAACTTTCTTAATTAGCAGAGTATCATCTCTGTGATTTTTGTGATTATTTGATCAGTGTGCTGAGATGGATACAATGGCAAGTAATGACAAAATTAAAATAAGCATGCAGATTTTTTTAAATTAAGTGCCAAAAAATAATGGGTCGTGCAAAGCCCTTAAAAACACTGTGGCCTAATTCTAAAGTTTTTTGCTACTATGCTACATCACACCCAACATCAGTTAAGTGCTCATTCTGTGACAGGTAGTACATTACACTTTAGCAAACTACACAAGACCCCTATGTGATAATATGCTTCGGGGTTGTAAGGTTGGGTGCGTTTAGTAGTCTTGAATTTTCTGGGAGTATACAAACCCAATATTAGTCTAGATGCCCAAAGATCTATTTAGACGTCAAAGTAGAATGGAGAGAAATCTTGACCACAGGAAGCTGTGTTGTGGCATTTATTTTGAAATTATTTTTTCTTGATTTTTTTGCCTTTTAATTCTTTTGTGAGTTTTATAATGCACAGAATATTTTTAAATTATTATATATATAAACTGATTAGTCTTCAATTTAAACTTACACCTCTGGGGTCTTACTTGGGTTTCTCCTAACAATATTATACACATATTTGCAATAATTTCTCTCATACTGCTTTTAACTCATTTAATTTTTCAACTTTTTAAGAATAACAAAAGTGATATTAACTGTAAAAATGCTGAAGTGACATATGAATTTATGAAGTGCATATGTATTTTTTATTTTACCAATGAGATGGGAGAAATGCTGTCTTATATTTTAACATACATTTTGGCCATTACACAGATGAAGCAACTTTTCATTTGTTAATACATAGCATACGTTTTCTTCTGTGTAATTCCTCTTTATATTCTTTGCTCATTTTCCCACTGGGATTTGCAAGTTCTTTATTATTTGATAATCTCTATACATTCTGAATATCCATTTTTTTGTTATGTATACCATGTAAATATTTTCTTCTAATTTGTTATTTGTCTCAATGGTATTTATCAAGTGTTTGCTAAAAATGAGTTTGTTTAGTTAGTAAAATTTGTCTGTCTTTTACTTCATGATATTTATATTTCATGTCATGAGGAAAAGGCATGAATATTTTAAAAACTTCCTTGTAGTATTAATTTTATTTTTTATTTCATTCTTTAAGTTATTTGAAATTTATTGTTTATTTCTTCAAATTCCAAATAATAACCAACTTTCTCAAAGTAATACTTCTTTCTACTGATTTCAAATGTTACATTTGTCTTCTCTGAAGTTCTTGTCTATTTGATACCTGATGGTCACACTACTGCTGTGGATGTGCTTCGTACCACCACAGTACTGCAGGGTTATAAGATTATCTGATAGCCAATAGAAGCAGACCTCTACTCACTGTCATTCTTTTTTCTTTTGGAGAAGAAAGTTAGCTATTTTTATCTGGGTTCTCAATTTTTTTTTTTTTCTTTTTGAGATGAAGCCTTGCTCTCTCACCCAGGCTAGAGTGCAGTGGCATAATCTTGGCTCTCTGCAACCTCTGCCTCCCTGGTTCAATTGATTCTCCTGCCTCAGGCTCCTGAGTAGCCAGGATTACAGGCATCCATCACCACGCCTGGCTAATTTTTTTATTTTTAGTAGAGACAGGGTTTCACCATCTTGGCCAGGCTGGTCTTGAACTCCTGACCTCGTGTTGCACCCACCTCTGATTCCCAAAGTCCTGGGATTACAGGCGTGAGCCACCGCACCTAACCGGGTTCTCAGTTTTGTATAAACTTTAAAGTAGATTATCAAATCACATACCAATTGCCATCTGATTGAAATTTCAATGTTTTTATATGTAAGTTTCGAGACTAAAGCCATCTCTATTCTTTCAGCACTTCAGATGTTTATCTTTCAATTCAAAATGTATTCTAAGTTTTATTTTGATGTTTCTTTGTGAATTATTCAGAAGTTTGTTGTTTGATTTCCAAACACTTGTGTGCTTACTAAGTATCTTATTGATATTCATTTTTTTCTTTTTTAATTTATATTTTAGGTTCAGGGGGTACACGTGCAGCTTTGTTATGTAGGTAAATTGCATGTTGCTGGGGTTTCATGGAAAAAATAATTTAGTCACTGAGGTAGTGAGCATAGTACCTGATAGGCATAAGTAATTTTTCAATCTTCACCGATTTTTCACCCTCTACCCTCACACAGGCCCTAGTATCTATTGGTCCTTGTTTTGGACCATGTGGAGCCAATGTTTATCTCTCATTTATAGGTGATAATATATGCTGTCTTTTTCTGTTTTTGTGTTAATCTGCTTAATTTGTGGGATGTAGCCTCCAGCTACATCCATTTTGTTGCAAAAGCCATAAATTTATTGTTTTTTTGTTGCTACACAGTATTTCATGGTGTATATGTACCAATTTTTTTTCTTTTTGAGATAGAGTCTCACTCTGACACCCAGGCTGGAGTGCTGTGGCATAATCTGGGCCCACTGCAACCTTCGCCTCCCAGGTTCAAGCTATTCTGCCACCTCAGTTTCCCAAGTAGCTGGGTCTACAGGCATGTACCACCATGCCTGGCTAATTTTTGTATTTTTAGTAGAGATGGTGTTTCACCATGTTGGCCAGGCTTTTCTCAAACTCCTAATATCAAATGATCCGCCCATCTCGGCCACCCAAAGTGCTGGGAATACAGGCGTGAGCAACCACGTCAGGCGGTACACATTTTTTTTTTCTAGTCCACCACTGATGAGCCTCTAGGTTGGTTCCATGTTTTTGCTACTGTTAATAGTGCTGTGATAATCATACAAGTACATGTGTCATTTGGTAGAACAATTCATATTTCTTTGTGTATGTGCCCAGTAATGAGACTGCTGCGCCAAATGGTAGTTCTGTTTAAGTTTTTTGAGAAATCTTCACACTGCTTTATACAATGGCTGAATTAATTTACATTCCCAACGGAAGTGTATAAGATTTCCCTTTTCTCTGCAACCTCAGCAACATCTGTTATTTTCTGACTTTTTATTAGTAGCCATTGTGATTGGTATGAAATGGTATCTCATTGTGGTTTTCATTTGCATTTCTCTAATGATTAGTGATTTTTAAAATGGAGCATTTTTTCATATTCTTGTTAACAGCATGTATGTCTTTTTTGAGAAGTGTCTGTTCTTGTCCTTTGCCCATTTTTCAATGAGGTTGTTTAGTTTTTGCTTAAAAATTTTTTTAAGTTCCTTACAGGTTCTGGATATGAGACCTTTGTCAGATCCATAGTTTGCAAATATTTTCTCCCATTTTGTCGGTTGTCTGTTTACTCTGCTGATAGTTTCTTTTGTTGAACATAATCTCCTTAGTATACTTAGGTCCCACTTGTCTATTTATGTTTTTGTTGCAATAGCTATTGGAAACTTGATCATAAAATCCTTGTTATTGCCTATGTCCAGAATATTATGTTCTGGGCTTTTGTCTAGGGTTTTTATACTTTTAGGTTTTACATTTAGGTCTTTAATCCATCTTAAGTTGATTTTTTTAATATGTTGGAAGGAAGTTGTCCATTTTAAATCTTCTGAATATGGCTAAACAGTTATCCTAGTACCATTCATTGAATAGGGAGTCTGTTCCCATTGCTTCTAATTATAGACTTTGTCAAAGATCAGATGGTTGTAGGAGTGCAGCCTACAACCTTCTCTAATCTGTTCCATTGGCTTTTGTGTCATGGTTTTTGTACCAGACCTATGATGTTTTGGTTACTATATCCTTGGAGTATAGTTTGTGAACCCTCAAAATCTGAGACAGTTCTCAGTTAATTTACAAAGTTGACATTGCCCAGCTAGCCATATGTAGAAAGCTGAAACTGGATCCCTTCCTTACACCTTATACAAAAATTAATTCAAGATGGATTAAAGACTTAAATGTTAGACCCAAAACCATAAAAACCCTAGAAGAAAACCTAGGCAATACCATTCAGGACATAGGCATGGGCAAGGACTTCATGTTTAAAAACACCAAAAACAATGGCAACAAAAGCCAAAATTGACAAATGGGATCTAATTAAACTAAAGAGCTTCTGCACAGCAAAAGAAGCTACCATCAGAGTGAACAGGCAACCTACAGAATGGGAGGAAATTTTTGCAATCTACTCATCTGACAAAGGGCTAATATCCAGAATCTACAATGAAGTCAAATTTACCAGAAAAAAACAAACAACCCCATCAACAAGTGGGCGAAGGATATGAACAGACACTTCTCAAAAGAAGACATTTATGCAGCCAAAAGACACATGAAAAAATGTTCATCATCACTGGCCATCAGAGAAATGCAAATCAAAACCACAATGAGATACCATCTCACACCAGTTAGAATGGCGATCATTACAAAGTCAGGAAACAACAGGTGCTGGAGAGGATGTGGAGAAATAGTAGCACTTTTACACTGTTGGTGGTACTGTAAACTAGTTCAACCATTGTGGAAGTCAGTGTTGCGATTCCTCAGGGATCTAGAACTAGAAATACCATTTGACCCAGCCATCCCATTACTGGGTATATACCCAAAGGATTATAAATCATGCTGCTATGAAGACACATACACACATATGTTTATTGCGGCACTATTCACAATAGCAAAGAGTTGGAACCAATCCAGATGTCCAACAATGATAGACCGGATTAAGAAAATGTGGCACATATACACCATGGAATACTATGCAGCCATAAAATTTATGAGTTCATGTCCTTTGTAGGGACATGGATGAAGCTGGAAACTGTCATTCTCAGCAAACTATCACAAGGACAAAAAACCAAACACCACATGTTCTAACTCATAGGTGGGAATTGAACAAAGAGAACACTTGGACACAGGAAGGGGAACATCACACATTGGGTCTGTTGTGGGGTGGGGGGAGGGGGGAGGGATAGCATTATGAGATATACTTACTGTAAATGATGAGTTAATGGGTGCAGCACACCAACATGGCACATGTATACATATGTAACAAACCTGCACATTGTGCACATGTACCCTAGAACTTAAAGTGTAATAAAATATATATATGTATATAAAAATAAATGGCTGATCAGGAAAAAAAAATTTAGGAAGTAGAATTCAACAACACATCAAAAAGATTATACATCATGATTAAGTGGGAATTATCTCTGGCATGCAAGGCTGGTTTAACATATGTAAATCAATGTGATATATCACATTAACAAAATGAAAGATAAAACCACATGGTCACCTGAATTGATGCAGAGAAAGCATTTAACAAAGTTTAGCAACCTTTCTTGATAAAACCTTTTAATAGTTTATGTATAGAAGGAAAGTTCCTCAACATAATAAAGACCGTTTATGAGAAACCCATGGCCTACATCATAGTCAGTGGGGAATAACTAAAAGCTTTTCTACTAAGATTGAGTACAAGATAGGGATGCCCAGTCTCATCACTTTTATTGAACATAGTACTTGCAAGAGCAATCTGATGAGGAAAAAAAAGCAACTAAATTAAAGAAGTAAAATTATCTCTATCTGCAGATGACAAGACCCTTTATGTAAAAAACTCCAAACATTCCACAAAAAACTCTGAGAACTACTAAATCAATTCAGTTAAGCTGCAAAGTATAAACTCAACATATAAAAATCAGTTGCATTTCTATATACAAATAACCTAGCTGACAAAGAAATCAAGAAAACAATCTCATTTACAATAACATCAAAGAAAAACATATACTTAGGAATGAATTTAACCAATAAGACGGAAGATGTGTACACTTGAAAACCATAAAACATTGATGAAAGAAATTTAGATATGAACAAATGAAAAGATATCCTATGTTTATGGATCAGAAGAATTAATATTGTTTAAATGTTCACACTACCCAAAGCAAATATATAGATTTAACACAATCCTCATCAAAGTTCTGGTGGCATTCTTCACAGAACAGAAAAAAACAATCCTGGCCAGGTGTTGTGGTTCATGCCTGTAATCCCAGCACTTTGGGAGGCCGAGGCAGGTGGATCACGAGGTCAGGACTTGGAGACCAGCCTGGCCAATATAGTGAAACCCTGTCTCTACTAAAACTACAAAAATTAGCTGGATATAGCGGCATGTGCCTGTAGTCCCAGCTACTCGGGAGGCTGAGGCAGGAGAATTGCTTGAATCCGGGAAGCAGAGGTTGCAGTGAGCCAAGGTTGTGCCACTGCACTCCAACTTGGGCAACAGAGTGAGACTTCATCTCAAGAAAAAAACAAACAAACAAAAAAAAAAAACAGAAAAAACAATCCTGAAACTTGTATGGAACCACAAAAAACCCCAAACAGCCAACAGATTACTGTGAAAGAAAAAGTTGGAGGCATCACACCTCTTGATTTAAAATTGTATTACAAAGCTATAGTAATCAAAACAGTATGATACTGGCATAGAAACAAAAAGTATAAACCAACGGAACAGAACAGAGACCTTTGAAATAAATCCAAACATATACTGTCAACTAATTTTTGACAAGGGCAAACAAGACAACACAATGGAAAGAAAAATAGTCTCTTCAATAATAGTGCTGGGAAAACTGGATTTTCACATTCAAAAGAATAAAAATGGACCCTGATCATACACCATACACAAAAATCAACTCAAAACAGATACAAGACCCAAGACCCAAATAAGACCTGAAACCTTAAAACTCCTAGAAGAGAACATAGGGGGAAAGCCTCTTGACATTGGCCTTAGCAATTATTTTTTTGATATCACACCACAAGCCAGGCTACAAATGGAAACATAAACAAGGAGGACTGCATCAAACTAAAAAGCTTCTGCACAGCAAAGGAAAAAACCAACAAAATGAAAAGAGAACCTACAGACTGGAGGAAATATTTGCAGATCACATATCTGATAAAGAGTTAATGTCCAAAAATCAGTAAAGAACTCTTTTAATAACAGGAAAACAACCCAGTTGAAAAATGAGCCAAATAGGAAATGACCAATAGCAAATGGGGAGACGTACATTAAGAAAATACAAAGCAGACATATAGGATGATCAAGTTAGAGATCTAATGTACATCATGAGGGCTATAGTTAATAAAAATGTATTGTCTTTAGGATTTTTGTTAAATACGTAGATTTTAGCTGTTCCTGTCACACAAAAAAATGTAACTATGTACGATGGTAGATATGTTAATTTGCTTCACTGTAGTAACCAGTTTACTGTCTATATGTATCCTTAAGGTCATGTGGTCAACCTCAAATATATAAAATAAAATTTATTTTAAACAAGAAAAGTTTGTCTTCCATCCAGAAAGAACCACTATTGCCATTTTTTGGTATTCCGTTCCAAAATATTCCATGAATATACAATTGTTCAATCAAATTTAATGTTAGACTTTCTACTTGAACATTCAAAGCACTTAAGAAATTATAGAAAAGTGTCTGTGTGACTCCCTGTCTGCAGAGCACAGGCTGCATCTCCACTAATACACATGCCACCGGTACTTTATACAGAGTCCTTGTTTGCCTTTAGTCTGATGCCGTGGGTGAGCCTGAGTTGTCCTGTGGTCCGCGTTCCTGACCAGGTGTCTTTCTCACCCACTGGTTTCAAAAAAGATGTTACTGGGTTATAGAAGGCTGGGATGGAAACAGGATACCAAGTTCGCATGAAGACAGTATCTGAAAAGAGAGGTAATTTACTTTAACATTTTCAAAAGAAGATGCATATCCATATTGTGAAGAAACGAAGAACAAAACCTTCACTCCAAAATTCTCTACCTGGTTGCAAAGTATTTGAAGGGAAAGCTCACTAAGGAAGCTACTCCCATAGATCCCAGAACTGTTACTGGGTGTGGCCAGGGGACTGCAGACACAAAGCGAATGGGCACACCGCATAAGACTGGGAGATCTAAGGCTGGAGCTGCTCAACTCTCTAGAGACCTGACTCCAGCCTCTCGTCACACTGGCTAGAAGTCAAGCATGAATGGTAACATGCTGCCCTGAACACTACTCAAGACACTCACTGCTCATCAGCAGCTTATGCTCAAAGCTGGCCTGGAAGGCTCCTTCTGGAGCCCGGAGTGCTTTCTTGATCTGCTGCCTTATCTCGCTGACAGTTTGAATCACAGCACCTTCAAATATGGCCACTTCCAAGGCAGAATTAAACATTCCCTATGGGTATAGCAAGATAAAAATACACACAAAAAATCATATACTTTATGCTTTACTTCTTACCTCAAACATACATCCTTGGTTAAAGAACAAAAACAACTCACTGAAAGGTGATAAAATAATCAAAATGTATTTGCCCCTGGAAGTGGAATTACTACCACAAAAAGAATACAACTCTTTCATTTTTCCCAAAATAATCATGTGGGTTCGTGGGCATGCTCATCACTGCTGTCTGTGTGGAAAAGAAGATTAAAGAGGGATTTACTGGACTGCACTGGCCTAGGCAGCCTTTGCTGGCATCTCTCAGCCTAGACTGCAGCCCAGATCCTTTTACTCAGGTGCATGCATTTAGAACATGAAAACAGTAAGATAAACACTGGTGGTATTATTACTTTATATTGCAAGAACACTTAATGATCTTACTATGTGTTTTTAATAGAAACATCCCCACTAATGAAATTGTCAATAAATACTGCTCAAACCACCTTCCCCAAATACTGAAAAACAGTACATCCATTTCTCTACCCTTGCCAAGTTGTCTGCAAATGCTCTGTTTTTCTACTGAATGGTTAGACAAACTTGTGATTTTTTTCCCCTTTCTTAACACAAATCAAAAAAGTAGGAAACAAAACCCAGTGGATAAAACGACATTTTTTTTTTCTTGAGACAGAGTCTTGCTCTGTCACCAGGCTGGAGTGCAGTGGTGCAATCTCAGCTCACTGCAACCTCTGCCTCGCAGGCTCAAGCAATTCTCCCCCATTAGCCTCCCAAGTAGCTGGCCCCACAGGTGCGTACCACCACACCTGCTAATTTTTTGTATTTTTGGTAGAGATTAGGTTTCACCATGTTGACCAGGCTGGTCTCAAACTCCTGAGCTGTAGCGATCTGCCTCCCTCAGCTCCCTACAGCTACACCTGTACTGGGATTACAGGTGTGAGCCACTGCACCTACACTTAGCTGTATCTAAAAATACATCACCAAACCCAAGGTCACCTGGATATTCTTGATCTAGAAGTTTTCTGATTCTGCATTCTACATTTAGATCTTTGATCCATTTTGAGTTTTAATTTTTGAGAAGGGTGTAAAGTCTGAACTTAGATTCTTTTTTTTTGTACATGGACATCAATTTTTAAGCACCATTTGTTGAAGAGACTGCATTCTTTCATTTAATTGCCTTTGCTTCTTTGTCAAAGCTCAGCTAACTATATTTGCATAGGTCAATTTCCGGGCTCTCTCTTCTGAACCATTGATCAATCTGCATATTCTTTCACTAATGCCATGCTAACTCAATTATTTAGCTGGAGAGTAAGTCTTAAAGTTGGGTAGTGTCAGTCCTCTGAGTTGTTATTCTTCAGCATTTTGACTATGAGTCTTTTGCGTCTTCATATAAGCTTTAGAATAAATGTGTTTATATCTACAAAATAACCTGCTAGAATTTTAATTGGAGTAGAGTTGAATCTATAGATCAAGAAGGGGAGTATTAACATCTTAACAATACTGAGTCTTGCTATCCTTGCACATGAAATATATATCAATTTATTTAGGTTTCCTTTGATTTCTTTCATTAAAGTTTTGAAGTTTTCCTCATATAGATCCTGTACATATTTTGTTTACTGTATGCCTACATATTTCATTTTTGGGGTACTCATGTAAATAGCATTGTATTTGAAATTTCAAATTCCAGTTTTTTTCATTGCTAGTATATAGGAAAGCAATTAACTTTTAATACTAACCTTATGGTTTGGATTTGTGTCCCCACTCAAATCTCATGTCTAATTGTAATCCCCAGTGTAGGAGGAGGGGTCTGGGCAGAGGTAATTGGATCATGGGGGAGGATTTCTCCCTTGCCATTCTTGTATAGTGAGTTCTCACCAGATCTGATTGTTTAAAAGTACGTAGCATCTTCCCTTTTGCTCTCTCTTCCTCCTGCTTCAGCCATGTAAGGCGTGTCACCTCCCTCTTCACCTCCTGCCATGATTGTAAATTTCTTGAGGCTTCCTCAGCCATGCTTCTTGTTCAGCCTGCAGAATCGTGATCCAATTAAACCACTTTTCTTTATAAAATTACCCAGTCTCAGGTAGTTCTTCATAGCAGTGCAAGAACAGACTAATACAGAAAATTGGTACTGGGAAGTAGAGCATTGCTATGAAGATACCTGAAAATGTGGAAGCAGCTTTGGAAGTGGGTAATGGGCAGAGGTTGGAACAGTTTGGAGAGCTTAGAAGAAGACAGGAAGGCCTGGGCCCAGTGGCTCATGCCTGTAATCCCAGCACTTTGGGAGTCTGAGGTGGGCAGATCTCAAGGTCAGGAGATTGAGACCATGCTGGCTAACACGGTGAAACCCCATCTCTACTAAAAATACAAAAAAAAAAAAAAAGAAAGAAAAGAAAAGAATTAGCCAGGTGTGGTGGCATGCACCTATAGTCCTAGCTACTAGGGAGGCTTGGGCAGGAGAATTGCTTGAACTCAGGAGGCAGAGTGGTGAAAATGAGCATCTCTTGTTCCAGAGCTTAGAGGAGAGGCTTTCAGTTTTTCTGCCATTCAGTAAGATACTATACTTGTGGGAGTGTCTTATATGGCTTTTACTGTGTTGAGGTATGTTTCTTCTATACCCTGTTTTTTGAAGGGTTTTTACAATAAAATGTTGAATTTTATCAAATGCTTTACCGCATCAATTGACATTATTATATAAATTTTGTCCTTCATTCTGTTGATATGATGATCACATTGATTTGCATATTTTGAACCATCCTTCCATTCCTGGCATAAATTCCACTTAGTCATTATGAATAATTTTCAATATGTTGTGGATTTGTTTTGTTTGTAAATTTCCTTGAGGATTTTTGCATCAATTTTTCATAGGGATATTGGCCTGTAGTTTTCTCTTTTAATTTGTCTTTGGTTTAAGTATCAGGCATTGAAATATTCCTCCCTCCTCTATTCTTTGGGATAGTTTGAGTAGGATTGGTGTTAGTTATTCTGTATGTGTTTGGTAAAATACAGCAGTGAAGCTATTGCTTCCAGGATTTTCTTTGTTGGTAGTTTTTATTAAGGCTTTGATTTCATTATTTGTTATTGGTCGGTTCAGGTTTTGAATTTCTTCATGGTTTAATCTTGGTAGGTTAAACTACTACAAGAAGACATTGGGGAAATTCTCCAGGCTATTAGACTATGGAAAGATTTCTTAAGCAATACCCCACAAGCACAGACAACCAAAGCAAAAGTGGACAATTGGGATTGCACTAAGTTAAAAAGCTTCTGCATAGCAAAAGAGACAGTCAACAAAGAGAAAATCCAAAAAATGGGGAAACGTATTTGCAAACTATCCATTTGACAAGGGATTAATAACCAGAATATATAAAAAGCTCAAACAACTGTATAGAGAAAAATCTAATAATCTGATTTGAAAATGGGCAAGAGATCTTAATAGATATTTCTCAAAAAAAGAAATACAAAAGACTAACAGACTTAGGAAAAGGTGGCCAACATCACTGATTATCAGAGAAATGCAAATCAGAACTATGAAGAGATATCATCTCACCTCAGTTAAAATGGCTGTTTTTTCAAAAGACAGGTGATAACAAATGCTGGTGAGGATATGGAAAAAAAGCCAACCCTTGCATACTGTTGGTGGGAATGTAAATTAGTGCAACCACTATGGAGAACAATTTGGAGGTTCCTCAAAAAACTAAAATTAGAGCTATCATATGATCCAGCAATCTCATTGCTAGATATATACACAAAAAAAGAAAATCAATATATCGAAGAGATAACTGCACTCCTATGTTTATTGCATTACTATTCACAATATCCAAGATGTGGAAGCAACCTCAGTGTCCATCAACAGATGAATGGATAAAGAAAATGTGCCTATATATGATGGAGTACTTTTCAGCCATAACAAAGAATGAGATTCTGTCATTAGTGACAACATGGAATGGTGCTGTAGGATATTATTTTAAGTAAAATAAGCCAGCCACAGAAAGATAAACTTTGTACATTCACATTGATTTGGGGGAGCTGAATATTAAAACAAACTCATGAAGATAGAGTAGAATGGTTGTTACTTGAGGCTGGGAAGTGTAGCCAGTGGGGGGAAGTGGGGATGGTTAATAGGTACAAAATGTAGTTACAATGAATAAGATCTTTTATTTGATAGCACAACGGGGTAACTATAGTCAGCAATAGTTTTTTGTACATTTTAAGATAACTGCGTATAACTGAATTGTTCATAATACAAGGAAATGATAAATGTTTGAGATGATGGATAACGCATTTACCCTGATGTGATTATTATGCATTATATGTTTGTATCAAAATATCTCATATACCCCATAAATACATATATGCCTACTGTGTACCCATAAAAACTACAAAAGACCCATAGATGGTGACACCTGGGGATTTCCTGATACAATAGTGGGTTCTGGCTGATCATCCCACAGGGAAGCCACTCAGCAGCCACACAGTTCCCCCTACACACACCCCCCTAGTAATCGGCTTTGTTAGTATATAAACCTTAAAATATGTGCAGAAAATATCACAAGTCATACGGGAGATGTAAAGCAAGATCACAAAGAGGTACAACTTCATACCCATTAAAATGGCGATTATAATGCAAACAAACAAAAGATGGAAAATTAAAAGTGTTGACAAGGACATGGAGAAAATGAAACCCTTGTGCATTACTAATAGTAGTGTAAAGTGGTGGACTGCTCTACAGAGCAGCACAGTGGTTCCTCAAAAAGTTGAACATAGAATTACTATATGACCCAGTAATTCCACTTTGAGGTATATAGCCCCAATAATTAAATGCAGGGACCCAAAAAGATATTTGCATAGCAATGTTTACAGCAGCAGTACTCACAGTAGCCAGAAGGTGGAAGCAACATCATGCCCACTGGTGGATGAATGGATAAACAAATGTGATATATGCACGCAATGGAATATTATTGGAATATTATTCCTTTTTAAAGGAAGGAGATTCTGACACATTTCACAATGTGGATGAACAATGAAACCTTGAATACATTATGCTAATGGAAATAAGCCAAACACAAAAAGACAAATACTGTATGATTCCACTTATATGAGGTACCTAAGATAGGCAAAGTCATAGAGGCAGAAAGTAGAATGGTGGTTAATAGGGACTGGAAGATGACAGGAGTTAGGAATTACTGTTTTACAGGTACAGAGCTTCACATGAAAAAGTTCTAGAGAGGAATGGTGGGAATCATTACAAAACATTATGAATATAGTTAAAGCAACTGAACTGTACACTTAAAATAGTTAATGTGATACATTTTATGTTACATGTATTTTGCCCACTGAAAAAATAAAAATATATAAACACACAGCAAATGATGACCAGGCCTTTGAAGAAAGCTTATAAAACAAAATTAAGAAGCCAAGGCTGGGAGCGGTGGCTAACGCCTGTAATCCTAGCACTTTGGGTGGCTGAGATGGGCGGATCACGAGGTAAAGACATCGAGACCATCCTGGCCAACATGGTGAAATGTATGTTTAGTCTCTACTAAAAATACAAAATTTAGCTGGGTGTGGTGGCATGTGCCTGTAGTCCCAGCTACTGAACCCGGGAGGTGGAGATTGCAGTGAGCTGAGATCGCGCCACAGCACTCCAGCCTGGCTACAGAGCGAGACTCTGTCTCAAAAAAAAAAAAAAGAAAAGAAAAGAAAAAGAAACCAAAACACCAGGTAGCAATGGGGAGAATCGAAGAGGTGGGCAGAGTAAACAGAACACAAGGGCAAGGTCAGGAGAAGGCGTTTGACAACTGTAAGAGTGACAGCATATGAAAATATCACCAGAAAGATAGAAAATCAAGGTGAATTAGATACCAGAAAATTAAACACAAAATACAAAAAATGAGAGAGGGAGATGACAAAAATTAGAAAATCAACTCAAGAGGTTCAATACCTAACGAGATCCAGAAGAAAAAGGGAAGCTAGAGGGGAAGAAAATTATTGTAGAAACAATAGAAAGACATTTCCAAGAATTAACAAGAAAAACAGACATGTACCACTAGGGGTTTATTAAATGCACAAATTAAAAAAAAAATAAGCCTACCCCAAGATTCATGATTGGAATGGTATATGCTAAGGATACTCAAGAAATTTTAAATATTCTGAAGGGGGTAAAGCCAGAGTAGGGCAGGATGGGTGAGAGACAGGTCACATAAACATGTTATTTTGAAATATAAAAATACATTTTTTAAGTAAAAAATGTTGAAGTTGGCTGTGTCTGGGGAGTAAATAGGAAGTACTGAATGAAGAGCAGTCTGTTTCTTTGTGAAATCTTATACTACCATTGGACTTCTAAAACCATGTTTCTTTAAATTTTATCCTGGCTCTCTTTCAAAGTAATGCATTCACAGCTTATATTTACATGTAAAAATATGCAGGTGAAAAATGCTAATATAAAATTATTCCAAAGCCTTTTCTAAAGTGTCAAGAAGTGCTAGGATTTACTTAGCAGAAATCATCTCAGGATGAATTCCTTGTCAATTCTGGGAAATGACTGCCAGAGAGAGAGGAATAACAGAGTGGTCACAAAACTGTGATCAAAAGACAGCCTGATCAAAACATACACTAAGAAATTCATGATTGTTAGATAGAAAACACAAATGTGCAGATTCCCTGGGATTTCTCACTAAGTTAATATTTGCAGAAATAAACCATGTTTTAACTGTTCAGTTTCCTTTGGGATGCATTTAGTTTTAAATACATTCAATATTAATGAAATAACTAAATCTATTATAAATACTCTTTAAAAACATCAGAGAGTCAAGATAATTTGACTAAGTATCTAAAAATAAACTCATTTTCTTGAAAGAATGCAAGTAAAATGTTCAGTAAGTGATTAATACACGTACCACAGGTTACTCTGGCAATGTTGTGCTTCTTTTAGTTCATGGTAGTCTATGTAAGAGTCCTAGTCTTGTCAGAAAAGAGGTATTTTACCTAAATCAGAGAAACAAAAATATAGTATTCTGTTGTTTTTGACTCCACCTCTAGCTGAATTCAGAAGGCATATTCTGAAATAGCACAGAAAAACATGTAAAGTTTCTCAATCACTGTCACTACCACAATGAAGATGCATCTAAAAACAGCATGGGTCTGCTACAGATTATGTCACTTTCCACGATGCAAAGTTTTACAGATTTAATACACAAAGCTCTCAACTCACAAAGGTGAAAAGATAACTGACTGAGTAGGTCAACAAGCAAACCATCTCAACAAGATTAAATGAATGCAAAACAGATGCACTCCAAATGCAAATGTGGTACGCAGATTACGTTACCTGTGGCCATATGTACTAAAGAAGAGGGAGAGAACTCAAGGCCCCAGAACAAGAGAGAAGTCCAGGCCAGGCTCTGGACACTAACTAGCCATGTGGATTGTGAACAGTCACCTCATCCTTCATGGCCTCAGTTTCCACATCTATGAAATAAGGGGTCTGGTCAGGAGACACATAACAGCATTCTACATGTAACTGGAGAAATTGTGTCATGGATAGGGAAGGGAGGGTAATTAACCCAATTGCCTCTAGAGGGCAAATAATTAACAGAATTGCCTCCAGTTTCTCCATGGCTTTCTAAAGAGGGGTCAAGACTTGCTGGATGCCAGATGTTTTCCAGGGATCCCAGAGAATTGGTCTATGGAGGCAGTGCTTTACTGTATTATGGAAGAGGAATTAATCACACTAATTGCTTACTCTGTACTTTTGCTTAATGATACAATATAAACAAATACAATGAGAAATCATTTTAAAGCAATCAAACGGGCTTCAAGTTATTAAAGCTCCTGAAGAATCAAACATTACCTCCATATATAGAATTATTATACTAGGTGCAATTAATGATTTGATTTATAGATGTTTTTACATAGGTTTGATATGCAACAAGTCTAGGGGTATAAAATCAATAAAATCTGCCTTCTAATAAGCAGTGGTTTCTGCCTTTTTCTTTAAAAATTATATCAAAATAGTAAAACATGAATATTTTAAAATAAAAAATTATTGACATTTATTTTCATTCTGCCTGCTGAATTTTAACTTTTCCTCAAAAAGAAAAACTTCTTTCTCATGCAAACTATCCCCATATCCCTAATTAGGATGAATTATTGAAGCATCCTGGGTGATTTCTGAACACTTTCAATCCTTCAATTATTCAGGTCTAGTTTAATGGCACCTGAGAACAATTACATACTGAGAACTGTCCTAAACTGACAAAGGCGACCAAAGAGCTTATACAGGAGCATACCTGTACCCTCACATTGGCTCCAAAGTCTCCAGAGGGAAACGGACAGGACATGATGAATCAGCTCTTTTTTTACTGTATTATGCTTGGAAAGATTGTTATGGAAACATAGAATAAATAGATAGATAAATCAACCTTGCCTGGAAAACTGGAAAAAGGTTCAAAGAGGAGGCAAATTTAGACCAATATGTACCAAGAACTCATTGATTCTTACGGGAGTAGGTTATTACCAGACAGACAAGTGAAATTCAGTAGGCAGAATGATAATAAATGTCATTTATTAAATATTAAAAAGACAAATACCTTCCCTATTTTAGAAATAAGGTAGGCAAAGGAACTGAGGAGTGGAAGTTGAAGGCCAGCTCTGGGTGCTTTGTGAACAGAGCCCAGTTGACAGTGGGAAGATCTGTGCTCTATGCTAAGGACATGCTCTGTAATGACAATCCACTCGGTTGCACTAAGAATTTAAGAGCATTTATATGAATATATACAATTTAAGGAAAGATAAAGAGAAAAATTTGCTATCAACTCTGTGTAGATTTGGAAAATGGTGTCAAAGGAACAGTTTCACCTGCATTTCTTTGTCTAGAAAGTTTTATTTTATTAAAAAATGTAGTCTACAAACGAGCCTCAATTTTTGGCAATAAACTCAAAAATGCTACACAAACCATCACAGAATTCGGTTTGTCCTTGCAGGAAAGAAAAAAGAAGAAAACAAACCTCCATACGAGAATGGGTCTAAAGGAACTTCCCAAACCTCCATGATTTTGCAGGAAACAAGATAAAGGTAATCACCTGCAGCACCTGGACCCATCTAGATTAACTACTCAGCCTCCAGAGGAAGGTCTTCAGGACTCAGACCTTAGTTATAGATTAGAAGTTAATCACTTATGTCTTCAGACAGGCCCTGTTCCATGTTTAGAGAGAGATCTTTGAGCACCCATCTTCATACATTTGAGAACAGGGTCACAGAGAGGGAGTCTCTGAGGTCACAGAGTTTATTAGTTCATTTTCACACTCCAGGAAAGAAGTTTAATTCACAGTTCCACATGGCTGGGGAGGCCTCAGGAAACTTACAATCATGGTGGAAGGGGAAGCAAACACATCCTTCACGTGGCAGCAGGAGAGAGAAGTGCAGAAGAGGGGAAAGTCCCCTTATAAAACCATCAGATCTCGTGGGAACTCACTCAGTATCACGAGAACAGCATGTGGGAACCACTCCCATGATGTAATGCCCTCTCACAAGGCCCCTCCCCCAACACGTGGGGATTACAGTTCAAAATGACATTTGGGTGCAGACACAGAGCCACACCATATTACAGAGCCAGAAGAGCTGAGCAGTGGGCGCTAAGTAAATGTTCATTAAACCAAACCCCTGCACAAGGCTGGCTTCATAGAGGTGCCACCTGTGCAGTGGCAAAAGCCCCACTGTCAGAGGGGACCTGAACTTGGTTTAGTGCTATGTTGTCACTGCCTTCAAATTCTTAACAATTTTTGAACAGACTCCACATTTTCAGTTAGCACCGGGTCCTGCAAATTATGTACCCAGTCCTGTCCCTGAAACAAAGATAAGGTTTGTTCATGAAGGGACTCACTCGACCCCTCCCTGCCCATCTCACTCCAAGATGCCCTAAGTAAAGGGGAACACAGAGCTAGGAGAAGGCAGTATTTGAGGATGATCTTGGAGGTCCCACCTGATCATGGCTGGTGATGCATGTGTGTGGGTGGGAGAATTTGGCTGCTCTCTTCTGGCACCTTCCATCCCATGTACAAGGCCTGCACTTTGCCTGTCTGTCCCAAGTCCTCCTACCTGACTCAGACCAGGAATGTGGATGGGGGTGGGGGGTGGTGGCGGGCACTGGGGCCCAGTACTCCTGGTCCCAGCTGGAGTTCCCTGTTGACTGGGGGAGATTTGGCCCCTCTGACTACTCCTACCCCATCCCCACTAGGACAGGAGTTGGTGAAGGGGACAGGGTGGGAGGCTTAACTAGTAGCCAGGGGCAGGCGGCAGGCAGTGGGGCGAAGATCAGGCTGAATTTTCCTGCTACTGATCTGCTCTCTGGAAGAGGCATTCATGAACTGGCTTAGGCTGTGGCTTGGCTATTTTAGGAATATTCTTAACCCTTCCTGAGTCACTGCCGCCATCAGACTTCTCTCCCAGAGCACAGAGCACCAGACTATTCCCTCTCCTTGTCCCCTCCTCCCCAGTCCCTGCTTTCCTCCCTGGCAGCTGAGGTCAGAGTTTTCTCAGGGGCGGGGCAAGTTGACTTCTGCCAAGGAAAACTCCGGGGTCCCTGAGCCCCCTTCTTTGTCCTGTGACTTCTCCCTCTTCATCACAGCTCTGGACTCAGCAAAGTGGCAGAATGGGCATCACCTCAGCCCTTCTTCTCATCTTATAAAATTGGAACTTCAGCATCTCTCATCTGAGGGAAAATAGTTGACCTGCATCCCCAGAGTAAGATGGGAAGCTGCAGTCCTGATTTCCAGCCTCTGGCAGAGCAGGAGCCCCTGCCTGCCTGGCTTTGATGCCCTGTTAGGGGCACGTTTCCAGCAGGGAGTCACATGCCAGAGCCCCTCATGGGGTTACCTCTGCCTGGTTTTTTCCTCCACTCCAGGTTCTTCCCAGAGTCTGGCTTTTTGGAAAAACCTAGGCCATGATATAGGCATTACCTCTGTAAGGCTAAGGGGGGTCCCACTGCGGGCCAGGAGGGCTCAACATCAATATATCTGAATTTCAAGCCAAGACAGGGGGAAAAGATCTTGGCTCAGTGTCAGGGGTTTCTGTGTCCCTGACAGCTGGGCTTGCCTGAGCTGGGAGGCCCAGCATATCTGGGCCTTGTGATGCCTTCTGACAGTAGGAGTTGGAGTTTGCCACCAACTGCTATTGGGAAAGCTTGACATGGTGATCCAGGAATAAGGCTGATGATGCCACAAAAATGCCCAAGGGCCTGTGGTGTGCCTGACAGTGTCCTGGGAAGTGGATATAGAGGATCAATAATCAATAATCATTATTTCCCTGAGAAAGGAAGCTCTCTTGGGGTGGTTAACCAGGTGTCTGGCCACAAGCCTAGGCCAGGGTTGATGGGCTGGGGCAAGTGAGTCATCCCAACTCATTCCCCCTCCTCCAGGTTATCACAACCAGCCCAGCTCCAGAAGTGAAAGAGCTGGCTTCAGCTGGGCATGAGGCCAAATGAAAATGCTTTCACTCCCCTCAAGGGCTGCAGAGGGGGCCCTTGCAAAGGGAGGGTCACCGAGCTGCAATTTCTTCTGCCTCCAATCCAGAAAGAGCCTGAAGGATTGCTCAAGGTGTCCTGGGAAAGATTTTGATTTCAAAGAGACAATCTCCCCCAGGAACTCCAGGAGAATTTTGTGTGGTGTTTAAAGGGTAAGAAGCTGCTGGGTGTGGCAGCTCACACCTGTAATTGCTGTGCTTTCAGAGCTACAGGCAGGAGGATCACTTGAGGCCAGGAGTTAGAGAACAGTCCGGGCAACACAGTGAGACACCCCCCACTACAAAAAACAAGAAGACCCCTCTTTTTACCCCTAATTGAGAGGCGTGACTAGAAGGCAGAAAGCTGGCTGTTGAGGTGGGAGTCTCTCTCTTCAGGCAGAGGTAGGGCCGCTTCCTGGGGCAGAGGCGTGGATGGTGTGTCTGGCTCTGCAGTTCCTGATGAAGACATACTGGGGTGCCCAGGCTAACCTTTGGCAAAACTAGGAGCTGAACTCAGGAGTCCCTGATGCCAGCCTTTCTGATGCGGTCCCCCCTCCCCTCCCCCATGTGTCTCGCTCCATAGCTCCAGGCCAGGAGCCCCAACTGGCTGGTGGAGGATGTCTTGCTCCTCAGCAGCTGGGATTTGTAAGTATTTGTAGGAACATGGAACAGATCAGTGGCTGACAGGCCCAGGAAGCAGACAGTCCCCTTCCCATAGGTCACCAGCTTCACTTCCCCTTCCTGCACCCCATCCTGATTTGAGGGAGCCCAGGATGACAAAGAGGGAGTAGTTGAGCAAGGTATGGAGTGGCAGTCTCTACAGGAGCTCAAAGGATGCATTTGTCCATCTGCCCTGGGCTCAGCTTCCACACTCAGAGTCACTCACATCCCTCCACCGTCGCCACAGCTCACCTGTGTGCCCACACAGACAAGGTCACACTGACCCCAAACGCACACTGTTTCAACTCTCAGCACTTCACTGTCACACTCGCGTGTGTACACACATGCTTTCTAATTTCCACAGCCACATGGATGCTCACACACTCACACCTTTGCACACACACACAAGCTGGCTCACAGACACACTGGGGGCCCAGATCCTGGTCATTCCCCACAGGTCTTAATAAAGGTTCATGGAAGGAAACCTGTTTCCTAAGGTAGGGTGGGAGTGTGTGTGAGTGTGTGGGGGGGAGAGGGTGAGAGTGAGTGTGTGCGTGTGTTAGTGTGTGTGTGTATGTAAGGAGCAGGAGTGACTGGGTCCTGAGTTTAGGGAGTTGGGAAGAGGAAGGAGAGATGGAGACAAGCCTGGACCAAGAGCCACTCAGAGCTGCCTGGAAGGGAAGCCAGGCTGAGATAAAGGCAAGGCAAAGAAATAAGACACTGACAAGGATCAAGCCAGGGTTGGGTAGGGACTGGGAACAGAGTCTGCCTCCATGAGAAGCTGTCACATTGCTGCTCTGGTGCCCTGTGACAGCGGCACCATCTCCAGCTGGAGACTCCCCTCTCTGGATCTTGTCATTGTGACTTTGCTTTGTTGGACAACCAGGAGTGGTGACAGGCAGGGAATATGGTGCCCAGGGCAGCTAGCCATGCCACGCCAGTCCAGCTGCCAACCCACCCGTCACTGGCCATCTCATCACCTGCCAGAGGGAGTGGGGTGGTGCAGATGAAACCAGCGATCAGCTTGGCTGCCCTTGCTTCGTAGTGCCACAGTAGAGGCTAGGGGAGCAACTGGCTTTCCTCCCCAAAAGGCGGGCAGGGTTATCCACACTTTGCCCAGGTCCCTGAAGCCTGCGGCTGAGCTCGGGGATAACAGGGGCCAAGTCACCGGTCCCAGACACCTAGGAACTATTAGAGACAGGAACCAGCATATGAGACAGGGGCTGTTAAGTAGGAGGTTGGAGAACACACGTTTTTGGTCTAAACCGGGGGCCCCTCTCTTTGCCCACTGAGCCCGCGGCCTGCGTGGTGCTGAGACTGCCTCTGGCCGCGTCCGCTTGGGACAAGGCCTGAGCGGTGGCTGATCCCACCTGGATGTCCCGGGCCGGCTCCCACCCGAAGCCCGCCATCCCGGGACGCGGTGGGGAGAAGCTGGCGCTGCTCCTTGCCATGCTTGGCGGCCGCTGCTGCCCGGCTGGGGGTCCCGAGTCGCACACGCCCCGCAAGCCCTGGCCACCGATCCGGAGGGAACGCCCTGGGCTGCGGTCCCCGAAGCCAAGAGAAGAAGCAGGTCCCAGGGCCGACTCCAAAGCCGCATCTCCAGCTTTGTTCATGGGTCCGGGAAGCAGAGGCCGCCGCCGGCCACCGTCGTGGGCGAGAAGAAGGGCACGAGGCGGCCGGGGCTCCTGCCCGGAACCACATGTGCGCGCCGGGCCCCGCTTCTTCATCGCACTTGCGGCCCAGGCTGCCCGGGGCCTGCGAGTTTCCAGCCAGGGCCCGGGACTCTGGCGCGGTCCGGCCGCGAGGAAGGAAGGCGTGGCCCGGGTGGGGGTAGCGGCAGGCCTGCGGCTCCGGCCACGGGGCAGGGGCAGAAAAACGACCCCGGCGCTGTCCGGGCATCCAGCTCGGTTCCCGCTGCAGCCAGGAGACTCCCGGGAGCGCTCTAGGAACCACAGAGCCCTGGAACTCACCTGGCAGCCTCGCGGCGCTAAAGCCGGCGGAGCCTGAGACAGCGCGCGGCGAGGCGGTCACGCTCCACCCCCGCGTGGCGGCAGGACTCGGATTTCGCCCCTGGTTTTAAAATTGTGCCGGTGGAGCCCGGGACGCTGGGAAGAGCGTTCTGCGCCCCTCCAGTCGCGGTCTCCGCCCTAAACCGACTTCCAGAGCCGCCTCTGCTCCCTGGAGGGGCGCAGTGGCGGACACCGGCGTCCCACGAAGTCGCAGGTCCTCAGTCTGAGGGCTGCCCCGCACGCTCGGAATGCAGGAGGGTCTCCGCCTCGCTGCGCTGCCCCTGGGGGCGGAGGCGTGCGCTGCAGGCGAGAGAGGCGGCCCGGTATCGATGGAGAAGCACAGAGGGCTTTGAGGTCGCAACCTCCCGGTTGCTGAGCGGAGTCGGGAGTCAGGTTCCAAAGGGACAGCGCTCAGGGTTGTAATCACCACCCGGCCCACCGCTTCCGCAGCTGCGAGTCTAGGGCGGAGCTGTTGGGTGGACCGAGCAGGCGAGGCGCAGGCAGGCAGCGGCTCCGCCTCGGAATCCGCCTCGACCGGGGCCCAGGTGCCCGCCCCACCTGTCCCTCGGTCACCCCAACCCTGTTTCCTCGACCCCCAGCACTCCTCCAGGCCTAGTTCGCTTCAGAGGCGCAAGACCCGGAAAACAAGGAAGAAGCGAGCTCAGCCTCAATCCCCGTCCCCACCCCACTTTCGGGACCGCTAAGCTGGAGAATTGAAGGGGGCGGACCCCGGATTAAAGCCGCTCCCTTCCCAGCCTCGCCCCGCTTTCCTAATGTCCGTGATGATTTCGTTATTGGCAGGGAAGAGCCAGACTCCCTGCGCTCCCAAGACGGGGCGATTGGGAGGGGGTTCTGGAGCTGCCTGGGGTCGGCCCGGCGGGGGGTGACCCCGGGCCCTCGCCGGTGCAAGGAGAACAGGTGGTTCCCGCCGGGGCAGGGAAGCGTGGACGGTGTGGGCTCAGGCGCCTGGCAGGCACACGGGGCCTCTAAAGCTTGGTCACTGTCACAGATCGTGTGGTTGTTTCTTCCGTCCCCGCCACGCCTTCCTCCTGGGATGGGGATTCATTCCCTAGCAGGTGTCGGAGAACTGGCGCCCTTGCAGGGTAGGCGCCCCGGAGCCTGAGGCGGGAACTTTAAAATCAGACGCTTGGGGGCCGGGCTGGGAAAAACTGGCGGAAAATATTATAACTGAACTCTCAATGCCAGCTGTTGTAGAAGCTCCTGGGACAAGCCGTGGAAGTCCCCTCAGGAGGCTTCCGCGATGTCCTAGGTGGCTGCTCCGCCCGCCACGGTCATTTCCATTGACTCACACGCGCCGCCTGGAGGAGGAGGCTGCGCTGGACACGCCGGTGGCGCCTTTGCCTGGGGGAGCGCAGCCTGGAGCTCTGGCGGCAGCGCTGGGAGCGGGGCCTCGGAGGCTGGGCCTGGGGACCCAAGGTTGGGCGGGGCGCAGGAGGTGGGCTCAGGGTTCTCCAGAGAATCCCCATGAGCTAACCCGCAGGGCGGCCGGGCCAGTAGGCACCGGGCCCCCGCGGTGACCTGCGGACCCGAAGCTGGAGCAGCCACTGCAAATGCTGTGCTGACCCCAAATGCTGTGTCCTTTAAATGTTTTAATTAAGAATAATTAATAGGTCCGGGTGTGGAGGCTCAAGCCTTAATCCCCAGCACCTGGCGAGGCCGAGGAGGGAGGATCCCTTGAGTCCAGAGGTTCGAGACTAGCCTGGGCAACACAGTCAGACTCCATCCTTCCAAAACAAACAAACGAAAATAAAACAAACAGAAAACGAAATTAGCCGGGTGTGGTGGTGCGGGCCTGTGGTCCCAGCTCCTCGGGAGGCTGAGGCAGGAAGATGGCTTGCGACTGCACCACTGCATTCCAGCCTTCGCGACAGAGCAAGACCCTGTCTCGAAAAATGTGTATGTCTGGGTAAGTGTATAGATTTTACAACTATTTTGAAGGCGACCTTTTTAACTTTAAACAGACCACTCTGGAGGAGACCCCTGACCCAGAGCGCTTTACCTAAAGTTCGGTGCCTAAAATGCATCCTTCCTCTGGCTGGTGTCTCCCTTCTGCCAAGCTGTGCCTCCTGCAGAGGTAGGCTCCGTGGTGTCTCCCACTCCGCCCCAACTGGAGAACGGTGTAAAGAACTGTCAGCCGGGTGCAGTGGCTCACGCCTGTAATCTCAGCACTTTGTGAGGCCGAGAGGGGCGGATCACTTGAGGTCAGAAGTTCAAAACCAGCCTGGCCAACATGGTGAAACCCCGTCTCTGCTACAAAAATTAGCCAGGCGTGATGGTGGATGCCTGTAATCCCAGCTACTCAGGAGGCTGAGGCAGGAGAATTGCTTGAACCCGGGAGGCGGAGGTTGCAGTGAGCAGAGATGGCGCCACTGCACTCCAGCCTGGGTGACAAGAGCAACTCCGTCTCCCAAAAAAAAAAAAGAAGAATTGTCAACAAGAGGGAGTGGCAATTCAGAAGCATATTTAAGCCAAGTCCTCAAGACTAGAAAGCATGAAGCAGGGGAGGCGTTTTGAAAGCGTAAGAACAATAGACCATGGGCATGGATGGCCGAGTCTGGGGATCAGCATCGTAATTTGTTGAGAAGGAGGCCGTGCTGTGCTGCCAGTTATTAATTGGTTTAATCGGTTGATACACAGCCCTACTGGCCTAACCAGTAGCCCAGGGCCCTGGAGGATTTGCAGGTCGTGTCAGAATTTGATTGCAGTTCCTTCCACTTGGCATAAGGAGACACTATCAGCCTGATTGGGAGGGTGATGGTGGGATGGAGCCTGCCGAGGTGGCGGCGCTGAGCTGACCACACCACCGGCCATAGAGTGGGAGCCTTTCCTGCCCGCTTAACTGCAGCTAATATCAAAAGCACTGGTATGGGCTGTCTATCTGTGCTGGAACCTGAGTTTATCTTTGTCTGCAATTACGATTCTTCTGGGTTTATTTTGCCAGCTCATTATCCAGCCCCCTGGAATCAGGCCTCCCAAATTTAGCAGGTGCTGGGGAGGACCCTAGGGAGTGGTTTATGGGGGCTAGCTGGTGAAACTGCCCTTTCCTTTCTGTTCTATGAGTGTGATGGTGTTTGAGAAAATGTGGGGCTATGGTTCAGGCGCACTTCACATGTGCAAAGATGGAGAAAGCACTCACCTACACGTTTAGGCTCAGAATATTGATTGAAACATTTTGAATGATCAAAAATAAAATGTTATTTTTAAAGTTTCTCTCTGAGATTTTGCTTAAGTTTTGGTAGATATTCTTAAGTTTTAGTGACCTCAGTTTGGGAATTAAGTAAGCTAAACATTGTGTCCTTATTATTAGTTATATAAAACTATGCTTTAGACTTTGTTAGAAACTTCTGCCCCACCTTGACTGACTCCTTTTCCATTTCTGGTTGTACAAAATGAATTCACACTTTAATGCTATGGCCACCTTTAAATAAAGTACAGCGTGACTAAAAAAAAAAAAAAAAGAACCAGTACAAATGTTTGCTTTGGTGTAGAGCTGAAGACATAAATTGGTAACCAATGGAATTATCTGGCCTCAGACTTTATTTATTTTCATCATTTATTTCACTGATGTGCAAATTTATTCCGTACCAGCAAATGTCAATTTAATTATATTCTACAGTACACAGTGAATCATGTATACTTAGTTAAGTTGTAAATACACTAAACCATATAAACTCACAACAGTATATCAGCTCATGATGGGTAAATGACTTTTCCCTGAGAAAGAGTATCTGTTTAACCTGCATGATCTCACTCTTTAGTATTTGCTTCTTTAGTCTACGTTTGTTTCCTAGTTTTGAATATAATCATGATATGGAGAGACAAGTGAAATCACCACAATTTTGTTTTCCAAAATGTGAGACTATGCAAATGCTGAAATGAGAATTAATACATCCAAAATATCGAACCACAATTATGGCTTTGCTTTACTTTTTGCCCGTAAGAGACATGTGGCCTAAAATAGGTGGCAGGTATTCCTACCACAACCTTGCTTAGCATAGTGGTTGACTAAATATAAATTTTAGAGATGAAGGTTGTTCTATACCCAGATTTCAATGTGATTGCTATGCCCACTTCACTTTCTCTAAAATACATATTTTTCTTACTTCTCACTTTCTTTTTCTTCTTGGTTGACATTTTTTGGCTCAGGGATTTTTTTTTCCTTATGATCTCAATAAATTTTTCTCATATAAAAAGACATAATCGTGCTGGGAGCGGTGGCTCATGCTTGTAATCCCAGCACTTTGGGAGGCTGAGGCTGGTGGATCACCTGAGGTCAGCAGTTAAAGATGAGCCCGGCCAAAATGGTGAAACCTCATCTCTACTAAAAATACAAAAATTTGCCAGGTGTGGTGGCAGGCACTTGTAATCCCAGCCACTCGGGAGGCTGAGGCAGGAGAATCGCTTGAACCCAGGAGGCAGAGGTTGCAGTGAGCCAAGATCATGCCATTGGACTCTAGCAGGGTGACAAGAGCAAAACTCCATCTCAGGAAAAAAAAAATCATAAATTTTCCCATATTAAAAAAATAACACAAGATCCGGAATACAGAGAGGAGCATAATGCTTTGCAGGTCATAGATGTAATCTTTCTTCCACGAAAAATGTATTTCAGATGAGACCAGAATTGGAAACATATTCTGTGCCGTCAGATAGCACTGGCTTAGGAGATGAATGAGGAGAAGCCTGCAGGCTACCTCAAGGATAAGAAGCAGGCAAAAGGCAAGCACAGGGGTGGCATGCACTCACACTGGGGCTGCTCCTTCCTGGGCAAGTTTCAGAAACTCACTGACAGTTAGAGCTAGCAGCTCCCGTAGAGATGAATGCCCATGTTTTCCTGAAGGGAGAACTGATGCTTAGAAAGGCTGAATGACTTGTCTAAGACTCTGGGACCAGAACAGGGATCTTATTCCAGTATTTCTTGCATGAAGCCATTCTACTTCCACGTTTCTAATTTATAACTTTTAAAAGGTCATTTTAAAAACGAAATAGCATGAACATCAAGTCTGGAGGCTAGTGGTGGGATTATTCACATTTATTTTTCCACTTGACATTTGAGGGCGATAGTGATGCTTAAGTAAAACCAAAATTATCCTGGGAGTATAGAAAATAATATATCTGTTTACATTTTGGTGTGGGATGAGTAGAATCTTGTTTTCAAATTCCTTGCTTGAAAGGCTATTAAGAAGAATAAATCCTCACTTAACAGTTTTCTAAATCCTTGGTAGTGTCCTCTGTCCTTTGGTAACACATGAAAGTAGAGCACACTTTTCTACTTTTGTTCCTTCTGCACCCCTCATAAGGTGAAGCATGCATAGAGCACTCCCAGGGTCAGTGTGAGCCCAGCAGCAGCTCAGGCTGCCGATGCTCCAGAGTCGGATTCCACCTTCCACTTAAATGGCAGCCACAGGTAGACGTGCCCATCACAACCAACTCTGTGCGTTCATAATTTCTGTTTATTCTACAGGTGGTTTCCACAAGAAAAATGGCACAATGTTTCTCAGAAGACAATTACATAAGAATCAGCATACTTCAAATTCACAGCAAATAATCAGACAATTGATGAAAATACTTACCCAAACACTAATTGTAGACTATGCCTTCTGAATATGTTTGTCATAAACTTGGAGTAAGGAATCCTCACAGGCACTGGACAATTCAAAAAACGTAAAGTTGTTTGTTAGAATACTGGTGCTTTTGGATAGAAACCCTCATCCATATCCTGGTAAGGCTTGAAGTTGCACAGGAGTTTTCATTTGTCAAAACCCAGAAAACCATAAGCTTTAGATTTGTGAATTTTATATTGTATTATATGTGACCTTTCTTTTTAAAAAATGAGCTGTAAGCAGTCTCCCAGACAGTAGCTCAGCCTCCAGAACTCTCTTTCTGCATAGTTGAAGACCCCTCTTCACACAAGATGGTAGCAACAAATCATAGGTGCAATTGCACCAAATTCACAGAAGATCAATTGAAAATCCTCATCAATACCTTCACTCAAAAACCTTACCCAGGTTATGCTACCAAACAAAAACTTGCTTTAGCAATCAATGCAGAAGAGTCCAGAATCCAGATTTGGTTTCAGAATCAAAGAGCTAGGCATGGATTCCAGAAAACACCAGAACCTGACTTTAGATTTAAGCCACAGCCATGGACAAGATTAACCTGGTGTGGAGTTTCAAAATAGAGAAGCCAGATGGTGTTGTACCACCTATAGCACCTTTCAATTACACACAGTCATCCATGCATTTATGAAAAACCCATACCCTGGGATTGATTCCAGAGAACAACTTGCTGAAGAAATTGGTGCTTCAGAGTCAAGAGTCCAAATTTGGTTCCAAAATCAAAGATCTAGATTTCATCTCCAGAGAAAAAGAGAACCTGTTATGTCCTTAGAATGAGAAGACCAGAGAAGACCAGGGGCAAGGTTTCTGAGGGACTTCAAGGTACAGAAGATACACAAAGTGGCACCAGCCTCACTAGCACTCTCATTTCTCAAGAGCCAGAACATGGTGAATACAGTCAAGTTCAGTGTATTTGATAATATCAATTTGGGCCCCAAATCTCTCTCACAGTCTTCCTGGGAGTCTATTCTTCTTCCAAAAGTGCAAGCTAAGCCTTCTGAAGATGGTAAAGAACTTGGCCGGGTGTGGTGGCTCATGCCTGTAATCCCAGCACTTTAGGAGGCTGAGGCTGGAAGATGGCTTGAGCCTAGGAGTTTGAAACCAGTCTGAGCAACATAGTAAGACCCTGTCTCTATTCTAAAAAACAAAATAAGTAAAAAGGACTGTAGGAGGCCAAGACAGGTACAGGAGGCACCACACTACCCTGTTGACACAGCCTGGATCCAGAGTTCAGCAGACCTTGAGACAATGAAAACAAACTTAGTAATAATCATTTTTCAATCATTGCAGTAATTATTGATTTGGACAAAAATCAATTGATGTCAAAACCTTAAAGTGACGTTTCTCTGCCTATGGAGTGGTCATTCTTTTATTCCTTTAGTTTCATAATAAATTTTCTTTTACTTAAAAAAACTTATAGTTTGATGAAGAGTGAGATATATACCTCATCTCAAAGAATCTTCACACACGCACTTATTAATTACAAAAGGAAAATCAGTAATTTTGCAGTGGAGACATATGGCCAACTCCACCTTACCCAAGTGGCTGAAAGTCACTGCACCAGTAATGGCACAAACCAATGTGAGATGATTCCTGATATGATACACTAAAAAGGGCACTGTCTCTTCTGCATGTTGCAGACAAAAAGTGGGTAAGCTGACACTGAAACTAATAATTAGGCAATGTCAAGCAAATACAAATTCAGGTTGACAGTCTGCAAAGTAACATCCATGTACTCTTCAACAATGGATCGACCCTAGCTACTCAGGAGGCTGAGGTGGAATAATTGTTTGAGGCCAGGAGTTCCAGATCAGCCCGGGCAACATCATGCGACCCCATCTCTAAAAACATCTTTTTAAAAATGAGCCAGGTGTGGTAGCATGCACCCGTAGTCTCAGCTACTCAGGAGCCTGAGGCAGGAGGAAGGTTTCAACATAGGAGATCGAGGCTGCTGTGAGCTATGATCGTGCTACTGCACTCCAGCCTGGGTGACACAGCAAGTTCCTGTTTCCAAACAACAACAAGAAAACAAAACAAAACAAAACAAAAAATAGATAGAATAGTGACAATAAAAATGGAGAAACAGTAGGCTGACTCAGGAAATGCTTAGAAAGTACAGCCATACCTCAAAGATATTGTAGATTTGATTCGAGACCACCACAATAAAGCAGATATTGCTACAAAGTGAGTCACACAAATTGTTTTGTTTCCTTGTGAATATGAAGTTATATTGGCTGGGTGTGATGGCTCATGCCTATAATCCCAGTACTTTAGGAGACGGAGGCGGGAGGGTCACTTGAGCCCAGGAATTGTGAGATCAACCTGGGCATATAGGGAGATCCTGTCTCTATTTAAAAAAAGAAGCTATGTTTACACTACACTATAGTCTATTTAAAGTGTGAAATGGCGTTATGTCCTTAATTTTAAAACTCTTGATGCTGGCTGGGTTCGGTGGCTCATACCTGTAATCCCATCACTTTGGGAGGCCAAGACAGGTTGATTACTTGAATTCAGGAGTTCAAGACCAGCCTGGACAACATGGCAAAACACGTCTTTAAAAAAAGAAAAGAAAAAAGAAAAACAGAAAGAAAAAGAAGAAAAACTACTTGCTGCCCTTACTTGAAGCTCAATTATTTAAAACAAAGAAAAAATATAAAAATCTTTTATTGCTGAAAATGCTAATGATCACCTGAGCCTTCAGGGAGTCTTAGTCTTTTTGCTGGTGAAGGGTCTTGCCTTGATGTTGTTGGCTGCTGCCTGATAAGGGCGATGGTTGCTGAATATTGAAGTGGTTGTAACAATTTCTTAAAAGAAAACAATGAAATTTGCCACATTAACTGACTCTTCCTTCCACGAAAGATTTCAGTGTACCATGCGATACTGTTTGATAAGCATTTTACCCATAGTAGAACTTCTTTCAAAATTGGAGTCAGTCCTCTCACACCCTGCCACTGTTTTACTATGTTTATCAATATTCTAAATCCTTTGTTGTAGGCTAAACAATATTCACAGCATTTTCACCAGGAGTAAATTTCATCTCACAAAACCACTTTCCAGGCTCTTTCTGGACTGTAGAGTTCTTTCCAGGCTACCTTGTGGCAGTTTAAGAGTCTGGCATCATTTTCCGCTGGGACCTAAGGATCGAGGAGGTGCTTGTGACTAGACTGCCAATGGACCCATCACAAAGTTTAACCCAACCTTGATCCCCGAGTCTTCACAAATGCTCACTGAAGAAAATTCCTGGAACAATTCAGGGTCCTTTCATAACCTCTACTCTGAGGTGTTAATAAAAAACCTTAGTAACTTAAAAAAAATGAGCTGTACACAAATACTGAACAATAATGCTACATATGTTAAGTATGTAAGAAAAATATATACTTTGACATAAATAAGAAACGGTGAGTTGATAATTGGATAGAATGGTGGATAGAGTGATAGATATGTAGTAAAGCAAATATAACAAAATGATAATTGTACAATCTAAGTGGTTGGACTATAAATATGCACTTCCCACAACATTTTTATATGTTTAAACAGTTTTATAATACCATATTAGGGAAACTGTTTGTCTCAAGGAAATAGAGATTGTGATATGTTCTAGTACAATGAAGTGTAATCATGTAAAATAAAAGCTTTTACTTCTGGCAATTAAAGTTAATCATGTTAGAACACTGTCTAGGAATGGTTGGAAAATCATATTTTATTTTCTAATCAATATATTTATGTCATCTGTCAATCAGAATTACACTGACTTTAAAAAGCAATAATATGACTGTATATTCATGATGAAATATAGCCTAAGAACAAAATAATGCACAAAAATAATCTCAGATTGCTTATTATTTTTCAGAAGGCTGTATTTTTAGTCTTAGGCTATTGGTTTGTCTTATATTGCAGGATTTTAAAAAAATGATTAGTTCCCAGCACTTTGGGAGGCTGAGATGGGCAGATCACAAGGTGAAGAGATTGAGACCATCCTGGCCAACATGGTGAAACCCCCTCTCTACTAAAAATACAAACATTAGCTGGGCGTGGTGGCATGTGCCTGTAGTCCCAGCTACTCAGGGGGCTGAGGCAGGAGAATTGCTTAAACTCCAGAGGTGGAGGTTGCAGTGAGCCGAGGTGGTGCCATTGCACTCCAGCCTGCTGACAGAGTGAGACTCCGTCTCAAAAAAAAAAAAAAAAAGAAAAAGAAAAAAAAAAGAGAGTAGTTATGGGGCTGGGCACGGTGGCTCATGCTTGTAATCCCAGCACTTTGGGAGGCTGAGGCGGGTGGATCACGAAGTCAGGAGATCAAGACCTACCTGGCTAACACGGTGAAACCCTGTCTCCACTAAAAATACAAAAAATTAGCCAGGCATGGTGGCACGTGCCTATAGTCCCAGCTGCTCGGTAGGCTGAGGCAGGAGAATGATTGCACCACTGCACTCCAGCCTGGGCAACAGAGCGAGACTCCGTCTCAAAAAAAAAAAAAAAAAGCGCCGGGCGCGGTGGCTTATGCCTGTAATCCCAGAACTTTGGGGGACCGAGGTGGGTGGATCACGAGGTCAGTGGTTCAAGACCAGCCTGGCCAACATGGTGAAACCACGTCTCTACTAAAAATACAAAAATTAGCCAGGTGTGGTGGAGTTTGCCTGTAATCCCAGCTACTCTGGAGGCTGAGGTAGGGAACTGCTTGAACTCCGGAAGTGGAGGTTGCAGTGAGCCTAGATCACACCACTGCGCTCCAGCCAGGGTGACAGAGCTAGACTCCATCTCATTATGGGTGTGACATTGAAAACTGGTACTTTTCTAATGAAATAGAAGAAGATACAGATGTAATATCTCTGAGCATAATTAAAATCCTCTAATCAAGACTGTTAACCTAAAGGTTTGTTTAAAAGTTATAAATTTTTTAAAAAAATACACTTATCTTTTAGACTTATCCACTGAAAAGTCCTGGAAGCATTAAATAAAACAGAAGCAGAAAGCACCTTGGTGCCATAACTTTGGATTCTCCATGTCATCATTCACTAAAAGGAACCAAAGCTTCTTGGAGAAATGGCTGCTTTCTGGCTGCAGGCAGGCAATGTGCAAAATCAATCTAGAGCATCTCGTCATACTGGAATGCAAGGACACTTTTATACCCCCTAGGATCGTGTCCATAGGATCCAAGAGGCAACTTGAAGGAAGTCCCACTCTCCAAACATGAACTAATATAAGCATCAATAATATTGATGACCACAAGCCAGGCACGGTGGTTCACACCTGTAAGCCCAACACTTTGGGAAGCCAAGGCAGGTGGATTGCTTTAGCCCAGGTGTTCAAGACAAGCCTGGGCAACATAGTAAAACCTTCTGTCTACCAAAAATAGAAAACAAAAAATTAGCCAGGCATGGTAGCTTGTGTCTGTAGTCCCAGCTACTTGAGAGGCTGAGGTGGCAGGGTCACCTAAGCCCAGGAGTCTGAGGATGCGGTGAGCTGTGATTATGCCACTGCACTCCAGCATGGGCCATAAAGCAAGATCTGTCTCAAAAACAAACAAACCAAAATAATGATGATGATGATGATGATGATGACTGCAATGAGCAGGTGCACACCTTATATGTTTAAATCATTGAGCTTATAATGATGTTAAAGCATGCAGTCAATAGAATAAATACATTATGCAGGTATTGGAATTAGCATAAAAAGACTACAGTATTCCCTCTTTATCTGTGGGGCATACTTTGGAAGGCCTCCAGTGGATGTCTTAAACCATGGATAATACCGAACCCTACATTAGCACTTACTACACACTGTGTCTGTGACTTTTGAAGTTTGAGGTACAAAAGCGAAACTAGCAAGAATTTATTTTTCCTTTTCCACAATTGTACCAATAAAGGAATAGTTCTTACCCTAGATGTTAGCAATCTCAGCATATCTTTTTCCTCATTAAGTGCAAAACTTTCTGCTTTTCAGTTACTGAAAGCACTTTCAGGTTTCTCTTTTGCATATCTGAATTGCCAGCATCAACACTATTGCATATTGAGACCATTATTAAGTAAAATAAGGGTTACTTGAACACAAACACTGCGATACTGAGATAGGTCCATCTGATAACTTAGACAGCTGCAAATGTCTAATGAGCAGGAAGCAGGAATTGTGTATCTGCTGAGCAAAGGGGTATGTCACATCCTGAACTGGATACAGCAGAATGGCGGGAGGTTGCATCACATTCCTCAGAACAAGGTGTGACTTAAAATTTATAAACTGTTTACTTCTGGAGTTTTATATTTAATATTTTTTGACTGTGGGTGACTGAAAGTGAGGAAAGTAAAGCCACAATAAGGGGATACTACTATATTATAAACATGCTCAAGGATTGAAATAAAAATAAAATTGAGAAAACAGATGTGAAGCCTCAGCAGAGATAAAAACTTTAAAAAAAATTCTAGTACTTAAAAATACAACATCTTACAGAAAAATTTCATCAGACTGAGAAGAGTCAGGAGAATAATTCCCAAAATTAATTTTTAAAAAGTCAATCCATTTTTAATTTCTTCAAGTACTTTCTAGGATTTTAGGAAACCATATTGCTACTTAGAAAACTGGCAAATAAAAGAGTAACTGATAAATAGAAAATGGTAAATAAAGGGAAAGGATCACGTATTTATTCTACCTTTTCACTACAAGCAGTACCTCATGGTAACCAAAGAGACAGCGAAGAAAAACTATCTACAAAAATTTTCTATTTCATCTATGAAAGAAGAATAATAGAATTAAAACAGCTCCATTTATTGATCTCTAATTTAATCAGTTTTGAAGGTTATCATCCCTTATGCTCTTGGTTTGGTTCAGCCAGGAAAACAGCCAATTAAGTATTATAGAAATAAACAGTTTAATATAAGAATTAGCGCTTACATTTATGTGCATGTAAGCAAAAAAAATGAAAGTTTTTTTCTGCCTACAGAAAGTCAGAAACACAATCACAAATGACATCAGCTGAAAACACTGATATAGGAGCGAAAGCAGTAGCTCATCAAGGAGTCCAGGAAACTTCTGTATTCACCAGGATTATGAAGTACACGCTTGTGTGATGTCTATGATGGGCCTATATCTGGATACTAGAATTGCTGAGAAGAACCTTGTTAAAAAAAACTCTGGGCTGGGTGCAGTGGCTCATGCCTGTAATCGCAGCACTTTGGGAGGCCAAAGCAGGAAGATCATGAGGTCAGGAGATCGAGACCATCCTGGCTAACATGGTGAAACCCTGTCTCTACTAAAAAAAAAAAAAGAAAAAAAAAATTAGCCGAACATGGTGGCATGTGCCTGTAGTCCCAGCTACTCGGGAGGCTGAGGCAGGAGAATTGCTTGAACTTGGGATGTGGAGGTTGCAGTGAGTCGAGATAACACCACTGCACTCCAGCCTGGGCAACAGAGAGAGACTCTGTCTCAAAAAAAAAAAAAAGTCATTAGAATGATGGGGCCTGGAAAAAACCAATCTTGGGTCACGAATACACATTCAAAAGTAGATTAGAACATTTATAAGCTTAAATTTGAAATTTTGAAAATATTTTCTTTTAACCTGTATGAATCTAAATATTTGCCTTTCCTTAATAATTTTGAAATTAGTACTCATCAAAGGGGTTGGCAATCATGGCGAGTGGCTATTAATGACTGATTTAAAAAATAATACTAATTGCATTCATTAATTCCTTTATACATTTTTAAAAGTCCTCCAACATTTTTTCTTACTCTCGTTTGCTCATATTCTTCAATATCCATATTCTGTGATCTGTATTTTGATCTTTTAAAATACCTGTTGAGTATCCCTTGTCCAAAATGCAGGGAACCAGAAGTATTTTGGATTTGGGATTTTTTTCAGATATTGGAATATTTGCATTATACTTACCAGTAGAGCATACCTATTCTCCTTTGCAACAGAGTGCTAATATTCTCTTCTGTCTTTTTGTTTTGCATGGTAGTCTATTTCCATCTTCTTCTGGAAGTTAACATCTATGCCAGCAACATTTCTCTAAATTTGTCCTCATTTTTCATGTTTCTTTCTTCAAAGATCTCTTGAGATTTTTGGTTTCTATGCCCCACTTAATTTTTCTTTAGAATCTTTAACTAGTTATCCAGTCCCAAGAAACCCATCAAACTTCAGATGTCTTTACTGACAAATGGACATTGCATTTCTCATTGATTTTACTGATCTCTGCGGAGGCGTGCTCCCTGAAGGCAGCACTTTCTTTCCAGTGAAAAAGGCACAGTTAGGCAATATGGGAAAGGCATTTCTGAATTTCAGGACCAGTCCTAAAATTGAGTTTGGGTCAGTTCTCTCTAGAAAATATTCTATTTTATTTACAAAGCAAAATTATTTTATTCCTTACAATAATATCAGAGACAGTTTCGCTACTATTTACATTCAGTCTTTTGCCCTAAGTCAAATAATCAACTCTGGGAGGAGGAGATCTTTGAAATAAATTTATTCTGTACCTTATGGACAGACACAAATTCTTTGGAGGCCTTCAGTTATATCTCCCTAAGAACTGTGAGGGAAGCTAATAGGCAACTGACTTCAAAAAATTTTGTTCTATTTTTTTGAAAACTCGACTCATTTATGCTCTCCAGTGTCATATCTCCATACTGCTCTGTGTTTTACTTCTGAATCAATCTTCCCTCCCTCCCAAATATTTTCAATGTGACTTCTGGAAACCTCATTAGAGGACATTGACTCCATTTCTTTGCTTTAATTAAAATTCAGCTATCTATATGGGGACAATGCTTCCCTTGACATGTGCTCCACTGAAGGCTAGTCATTTTCCCAAAGGCTAAGGTGTCATAGAATTTATTTAATAGAAGTGGGTTGGCATAATTTTAGCTCCATATTTCCTATTCCCAACCACTATTCCTCTATTTTAATACAAAAGCCCCTTCTTTACTGTCTATCCATCTAACTATAATGTCTTCTAACTATAATGTCTTCTAACAACTGCCACATTTATTCCAGAACTTCCTCTACACCCAAGCAACATCATTTTCTCATTTGGCCTCCCTTTCACACTCATGTGGTTGGCTCATTTAACACCTTAACCTCATAGGTTCTTTGTTTCCTCAGCTCTGAGACTTTTTCTTGAATTCAGCCTTCCACTGCCTATGTCTTAGACATTTTTTAATGGCCTCAACTGTTCCATGTAAGTAACCATAAGCCTAAATATCCATATTCTCTTACCCTTATTTTGATCTTTTAAAATACTTGTTGAGTATCCCTTATCGAAAATGCGTGGGACCAGAAGTATTTTGGATTTTGGATATTTTTCAGATTTTGGAATATTTGCATTATACTTACCAGTTGAGTATCCTTAATTTGAAAATCTGAAATCTGAAATGCTCCAATGAACATTTCCTTTGAGCATCATGTAAGTGCTCAAAACTTTCAGATTTTGAAGCATTTCAGATTCAGTAACAGTGTGCAGTTGTGATAAACAAATTATATATGGAACTGACGTGATCCTACAACATAAACTCTTTGAGAACTGAGGCTGTGCATTTTTTAGATTAGTAGATACTTTGCAATTTTTTTGAATGGAGTCTCACTCTTCTGCCCAGGTTGGAGTGCAGTGGCATCATCTCAGCTCATTGCAACCTCTGCCTCCTGGGTTCAAGTGATTCTCCTGCCTCAGTCTCCCGAGTACCTGGATCACAGGCATGCGCTACCACGCCCGAATATTTTTTATATTTTTAGTAGAGATGGGGTTTCACCATGTTGGCGAGGCTGGTCTCGAAATCCTGACCTCAAGTGATCTGCCTGCCTCAGTCTCCCAAAGTGCTGGGATTACAGGCGTGAGCCACCTCGCCTGGCAATCTTCTTTCAACTTAATCAGCCCTTATACACTCAAAGAGTTACTTGGATGCATGCATTCTCATTATCTATTTTCATCACTGCATATATCTGAGGAAGGATAATGAGACTCTACTATCAGTAGAAGGATGCTTGGATTATCACGTGCAACACTTTATAGCCTATCTTGACTTTTCTCCCAAACTTCATAGAAGAAAAGATGGGATTTTCTGACTCTTTTTAACTTCCTAGGACTAGAGAGCCAGGAAGACAGAAAAAAGGGGCAAAAGGGGCCTTACTTTTAACTTGGTACAAAGTTTATAATGGGAACATAATAGTTCCAGAAAGCGGAATAGAAAATCTTATTAAAGAAACCAAGGCAGGGAGCTTCATTAACATTCTGCTCTTGAACTCATGCTTTTATTAGATACTTATGTGTAGGGCTATTCTGAGGACCTGCTATTCATTTTTTTAAATAATTCATATTTTAATGTATTTAGATAAGTAATTTACATGACATTATTTTTAGAAATCATGACCTATTTCAACCTGTCATTGTTATCTATGGCTTAATTTCTGTGAAAAGCAATGAAGTCTGTCTGCAATATAGCTATGATGATCTCTAATTTTGTAGTTCTCTAATTTGTTCACACATTTAGAATGACCTTTTATGCCTTTCCAACTATGGCATCTTCTATCGTTATATGATTCGGGTTCAAATGTTCACCAATATATAGTGCTTGAAATGCGTATTAAAAAAGTATGAACAAGGGAGAATAGAAGTTGATACAGAAGCAGTAATACACAGTGTTCTCAAACAATCCACCTAAGTTGCCATTTCTAGTTTCATATCTCATAATTCAAAATCCTGTGGAGCTGCCACTGAATCATTTCTTCTCCTAATCATAAATACCTAGACCCAATACACCAGGGAATACGAGGATCTTGAAAAAGATGAAAGAATGGAATAAAAAATTAGCCTCAGGAAAGCAGCCTAAATATATTTGAAGATGACAGATTGGTAGGTAAGTAGGTAGGTAGGTAGATAGATAGATAGATACCTAGATAGATAGACAGACAGACAGACAGACAGACAGACAGACAGACAGATAGATAGATATTCCAAGACTATAAAACTATGAACCAATTTTTAAAATCATATAATCTTCTAATATTATGCTGAGCTGTGATCATCTGCTTATATAAAATTCAAGACACATTCAAAGAGATCCTTCAGTGATAATTTTTTAATCAGAGGGAAAAAGTTTTAGATGCTACTTGAGAAAAGGACAAAGTATAGGTTGAGTTTCTCTTTTTTGCCAGTTGTTATTACTTAATTACACTATCTTTCTGGCCATAAAATGAACAAAAGGATTCATTCACTTGTCTCATTAGGTATTAAGCATCAGTTGTCGATTCATTCATTTCACACATTTCACTAGTGACACTGAATACTGCAGAGCCAAAGATGAAAGGGGAAGCAATTCCAGGCTGATGAGAAGATGCACGATTGCCATTCAGGTACTGAGGGCTGCAATGGGGGAAGGGTGGTGAGAGCACTAATGAATTCTTGCTATGTTCTGGTCGTTGTCTCATCCTAATAACAGCTCCCTGGAAAAGGTACTATTAATCCCTAAAGAAACTAAAATTCGGAGAGATTAAATGACTTTCCCAAAATCACAAAACAAATATGCAATAGAGCCATAAATCCAATTCAGGCCTGTCTCATATCACAATTATTTTCTATCTGCTATGCCAAGTGGCATCCTTGAGTTTTGCAAGATGCCCTCAGTGCCAAGGCATGAGCCCTTACCAGGGAAACTTACTTACTTTCTTCCTTTCTTTCTTTTCTTTCTTTCTTTCTTTCTTTCTTTCTTTCTTTCTTTCTTTCTTTCTTTCTTTCTTTCTTTTTCTTTCTTCCTTCCTTCCTTCCTTCCTTCCTCCCTTCCTTCCTTTCTTTCTTCTTTCTTTCTTTTTTTTTTTTTTGACGGAATCTCACTCTGTAGCCCAAGGTGGAGTGCAGTGGTGCAATCTTGGCTCACTGCAACCTCTGCCTCCCAGGCTCAAGTAATTCTCCTGCCTCAGCCTCCAGAGCAGCTGGAATTACAGGCGTGTGCCACCATACCTGGTGAGTTTTTTGTATTTTAGTAAAGACGGGGTTTCACCATGTTGCCCAGGGCAATCTCGAACTCCTGAGCTCAGGCGATCCACCTGCCTCAGCCTCCCAAAGTGCTGAGATTCAAAGAAATTTTCATGGAGAGGGGACAGATGGAGTCAATTCTTGTGGGGTGAACATGAGTACCACAGTTAGACTGAGGTTGGGAAAGATTTTCCAGACAATTGGAAGAGCATGTGAAAGACACAGATTTTGAGAAATGTTAAGTCTAGGGAACTGCAAGGCTTTTGGCACAAGAAAGCCACTGTAGACTATAGAGGCAGGATGCCTAGATTCAAATCCCAACTGCTACACTTCTAAGCTTTGTAATTTTGGCAAGTTTTTACCCTCTATTTTCTTATCTATAAAATATAGATTTTATATATATAGATATAGATATATAGATAGATAATAATTGTGCATGCCTAATAAAGTTGTCAAAGATTAAATGTTATATGTGAAGTATTTTGTACGGTGATAGGAACCCAGGAAGGGCTCTATGAATATTATGTATTATTATTATTCTAAAGTAGCTGGAATACAATGTTCAAAGGAGATAGTGGCAGGAGATAAGTTTGAATTGAAAGATTGAGGCCAGAACATAAAGTGCCTCCTATATTATATTTTACATAATTGGAACATCATTGAAAAATTTAAGTATTATTTATGTGTGTATGTGTGTTTTATATAATTAATTCTAGTTCATCATTTTAAAATATCTTTCTGATGTCACTGTGAACAACAGATGAGAAGAAGTGAATCCTGAGTTAAGGAGACCAGCTCTCTGATTACTGCCATAATCCAGGGAGGGTACCATAAGGATTTCAACTGGAAGTGAATCCATCATGATGGAGAGGAAGGACAGGGCTGAAAAATACTTAGGAAGTAGTATCAGTAGGACTGGTTAAGAGAGAGCAGAGGCAGGCTACAGGGGTTGGAGGTGTCAATCACAGAGATAGGGAAAATGGGAGGAGAAGCAGGCTTTGAAAAAGTGGCTTGTCTTGTAAAATTATGTGCTGTTAAAACAGTACAAGAAATTAATATATTCAATCCCAAAATACAGGGACAATTCTTTTTGAAAGAGTTACCCAGATAGTCTTCCTTGAAGTTTTCAGTTAAAGAAATTTCTTGTTAACAAATAATGTAGTCATAGAAGAAAACACTTAAAACTTTATTGAATAAAGCTAATAAATCATTTAATATAATTTATAGGAAATTGTTACATAACACACACATTCAATACTTTTTGCTAAAGTATAAATTAATGGAAGGAGAGCACGCACACAGAGGTTGAATTATGTTTATGACTTTATTAGTCAAGAATACAAAATTGAGTAGCTACATCAAGCAGAAGCACATGCTTTACAATCCAGCACAGAATCCCTTGACATCCAAACTCCCGAAACAGACATGTAAATACAGATGACATTGTCAGAACAAAATAGGGTCTCACCCGACCTATAATGTTCTTTTCTTGATATAAATATGCACATGAATTGCATACGGTCATATGGTTCCAATTACCATTATTTCCTCTGGGCTTAGCTATCCATCTAAGGGGAATTTACACCAACACTGTACTTCTACTTGCAAGAATATATGAAAGCATAGTTAACTTCTGGCTTAGGACCCCAACTCAGGATCAACAAAGCAGTGCTCTTGGGGGAAGCCCATTTTGCTACAATTTAAAGTCATTAGAAGCATTAAATAAAAGCTAAGAACTTGAAATCAAGTGTGTTATAATGTAGTTAGGGAATTAGATTTCAGGTGTTTATTTTTAACACAAATCCATTAATTCTGACACCTAAGGCAAATGCTAGTCAACATGAATGGAGAAACTTTTGATTAGTGGTATATGTTTTCAGATTTCTGGAACAGTCATAGACTCTTCAATGTCTTATGACTGAAATTTTTTAAACCACTGTTTTCTCTAGAAACTAATGAAACTCATCATAAACTCATTTTTCAATATTATAACATAGTCATAAGTAGAATATTAATCTTATATTAATTAAGATGTTAACATATGTGAAATTTAATACTTCCTTTAAGGTATGAACACTTATCCAATTCATAATTTCAATGAAAGGAAATGTCTAAAAGAGACTTTTAATTCTTCAACCGCATGGACTACACAGAGCAGTTTCAGCACCAGGGATAGTTTTCTTCCTGGATAACAGCGAATGCTCTAATACTGATGAGTAAATCCTGTGTGTCTAACTTCAAATTAATTGTTAGGTTTATATGAATGAGTATAACATGATAGTTAGGAGCATAGGCACAAAGGAAACATTCAAATTTGTTGTTGTTGTCCTTGCTATTATTCTTGTTGTATGTGAGGCTGATATGATAAAAGATACTGATTTAGGTCAAGTACACATATTACTTGTGGAAAATTAATAACTCTAATTAAATATTTCTTGTTTCATACACATTAATTTTAAATACAGCCCAACAATGGGCCACTATTTCTCAATACAAGAAAATAATACATAAGAATCATGAAGTTCTTCAATCAAACTTAAATAATCCTTATTGCAAACATAAAACATAAAGAAAACACATTTTTAAAGAAATATTATCTTTCCAAACATAGCCATATAATTCCTCTGTATTAGAATTTTTCACAGGAATTCTAACTAGTATATTTTTTGTACATGCTTTAAAGAATAAAAAAATTTGAACTGTTGACCAAATGTGATATATTATATACTATTGTGTGTATTTTAAAGTGAGGGTAAAAAAAGACACCAAAGCCTCTGGGAAGTTAAACTATAAATTGACTTACAGAATTAATTAATTAGGAAGTTAAACTATAATTAACTTACAGAACTTACCAAGAAGTGTTAATGCCTACCCTAGGAATGACTATAAACCTATTAGTTAGAATTTCCGTATATCTCAGTTTTTAATATGTAATTGTTTTGAAAAATTTGGCCAATTTGAAAAAAACAATTAATATGTAAATGGATATATCTACATTAATTCATATTCTTTATTAATTCTTTATTAGATACTAATCTGGGTTCTGTACAATTTTGTATCTGGCCATTCATTTGTTTTAGATGCCAGTAACAAATATACAATTTTTTGAAACCACCAATACCAATATATTTTTAATGGATGGAGCCATCTCTATGCTGATATATCACGGTTACTACACCAATTTATAGTTAAGAGATATCCAAATGTGGTGTTGGACCTAGGAAACTAATACTTATAAACCCAGTCACCAGGAATGCATGGTTGAATGGCCAAAATTCAGGAAATGTACAGGTGGATAAACCAATGATCCATTAACCTAACAGTATAATGGTTCCCAAGAACCAAGGGGAACAAAATTGGTTGGAGAAGAAATAGAAGATACTTGCAGAAAAAAAACCAACTTGCTGCTAAGGCCAGGTTCCTTACTGGCATGCCACCCCTCCATCCTGGGGGTAGCCAGTCCTGAGTGAGCCTCCCTGAGGTTCACTGGTAGTCACTACACATGTCTAGCTAGTGGCATTCCTTGGTCAGTTTTGAATGTAGAGATAGAAAGCAAACAAACAGTTACCCAAAGACAGTAATTCTCTCCCATCCACAGGAGGGTTTTGCCTAGCATTCACATGCATGTTGCTACAGTACAATTGATTCATTAATTAACTTTAGCCAATTACTTAGTAAACTCAGGTCAACAAGAAAGGAGGCAATGCTTTCATTCATAGCTGAAACCATACATACTGAGGATCTAATAATGAGTGCATACATCGACGATTGAGTTTTTTTACTTTCAAAATATTTTGTGGTATCATGAAAACATGGCATAAGTCCCAAGGGAAATTTGTCTAGAGATTTGATGAAGCTTTATCTTGCTGTCCAATTAGAAAATGAATGACTGGAAAGATTCTTCTAAAAACTGGCTAAGATATTTATTGCCAGAATTTTCTTGAGGAGAAAGTGTTGGTTCGGCTCCACCTACATTCCCTTACCTCAATCATGTAATCCTGAGCACCTGCTCCTCAAGAGTGAATGCTTTCCTTCAAAGGATCCTTATACATACACTGGAGCTGATGCACAAAACTGCCTTGCTGCATTTTTGAAGATCTCAAATTTGGCCTCTCATTTACATTATCCTTCTTTTTGTTCATCACATTTCCAGATTCCTGACTGTTTACCAAACTTTATATTGCCTTCCTATTCTGTTCTTGAGGATCCATGGTCACTGCAACTGTCTTTTCAGGTTTGACCCGACTGTGGCTTGTATGACTAGATTTGATTCCTTGCCATTTGATTCCTGACCACTAGCTCTGGGTGTGGAACCTGCCTAGCTCCGATGTTTGTTTTTTGTTTTTTGTTTTTTTTTTTTGAGACGGAGTCTTGCTCTGTTGTCCAGGCTGGAGTGGTGCAGTGGCCACTGCAACCTCTGCCTCCCGGGTTCAAGCGATTCACCTGCCTCAGCCTCCCGAGTAGCGGGGATTGCAGGCATGCACCACCACGCTCGGCTGATTTTTGTATTTTTAGTAGAGACGGGATTTCCCCATGTTGGCCAGGCTGGTCTCGAACTTCCTACCTCAGGTGATCCGCCCGCCTCGGCCTCCCAAACTGCTGGGATTACAGGCGTGAGCCACCATGCCTGACCCTGCCTAGCTCCTTTTAATATCCCCCACAACTTGTCACACACTTTATCCAAACCAGTTCCCTGCTCTGAGTCTGTAGCCATGACTCACTACTGCCTGTATTTCCAGATGACTGGAATTACTGCTCCATTCCAGACTGCTGCCAGAATTAATGCTATTGCTTTCTCTGTAATACTTTGTACTTTTCAAAGGATCATAATTTATCTCATTTGTGCTTACAACCCCTTTCTATAATGAGAGCTGTTCATTCCTATGCTCTCATTCCTATTTCATTGGTAAGAAAATCAAGACTCCAAGAGGCCAAATAATTTACTTAACACAACAATGATGGTTTAATACTTTGAATGCTAGTTTTGAGGACCTTATTATTCCCCCAAAATCATGTTTTAGGGAATTTAACAGTCCTTTAGAGGAATGATTTTATTCTGACTTTAAAACCTTTTGTTTTTCTTCCTTTAATATGTGACATTGCCTTGTAATGTAAGTAATCTGTATCAAACTACTGAATGTATTGAATTTTTACCTTTAAGTTATTTCCTCCTTTCTTTCCTTAATTGAGACATTTATCAAGTATTTACCATGTATCAATCAATGAGCATAGCTTATTGCTGCAGAGTTTATTTATAAGCTATAGTCCCTGCCTTCAAGTAGTGCTAAGGTAGTCAGGAAAAAATTGTATAACAAATTACTACAAGACTATATTTTTTTCATAAAAATAAATACCATAAAAAAGTATCATTTTCTGAAATCATATTATTTATATACATTTTACTAGTTTATTGTCTGTGACCTGTATTAGAACATAAGCTATATGAGGACAGGGACTTTGTTTCATTTACCGCTACATTTCCTGTACCTTGAAACTACACATGGCTTGCAAAATACATTCAATAGATAGGTGTAGTAAGGAATAAAATGTTAGTTCTCCTTTAGGCTTTTAAGGGCGCCTGTAGTCCCAGCTACTCGGGAGGCTGAGGCAGGAGAATGGCGTGAACCCCGGGGAGCGGAGCCTGCAGCGAGCCGAGATCGCGCCACTGCACTCCAGCCTGGGTGACAGAGCGAGACTCCGTCTCAAAAAAAAAAAAAAAAAATCTCTTATGTTTCTAGTGAATGAAGACTGTTTATTAGATACCACATGAGTGGCACTCATTGCATAATCGGTTAGTAGATTTACTTTTACATCTATCTTTTGAGTGGTCCCAGCAATAATTAGTGAAACATAGTGTAAGAACCAACCATTACCCTTGTTTTATAAATGACGAAACATACTCCAAGATTATGTGAATGGAAAAGGAAACATGGGAAAATCATATTTCTGAACATGATTTGTCCAATTATAGGTTTTGCTTTAGGAAGACTCACTATTAAATGTGTGTGAATGTGTGTATGCATGTGTGTGTATGTTTTTATTATAATAGTATATGTGCTCATTGCAAATCATTTAAAAATACATGTGAAGAAGAAATGGAAAGTCGCCAGTAATCTCATTGCTCCATGGTCACTATTGTAAACATTTGACATTTGTTAAATCTATTATTTATGTCCTGTATTCAAAGTAGTGTGGAGGTAGGCAAGACTAGTAGCCTACCTCAGGTAGCCTGGACTAGTCAGGAAATTTGAATATTCTACCTGTCTGTTACCTTAGTTTTTGACCTTGGTGTAGGGATTCCATGATTACCAACATTTAATTTTTAAAATTATTTCTTACCTTACCTTCTTCTCCAGTTTCTACTGTTATTTCTATTAAATAAATATGACTTTGTTTTCCAGTGAGATATGATACGTGATACTTTTTGAAATATTAAAAGTCACTTAAACAGTATCCATTTGTCTCTATAAAAGCCTAGCTAGGCTCTCCATGAAGGGAGCAATTCAAATAGATGGTTTGTAACATCTTTTTCAGTTTTAAAATGTGGATACTCTGATTCCATTGCACATTGATATATGAACTCATTCTTCCTTACGATTATTCCCCAAGTGGTAATTATTTTGCTTCTAGACCAGCAAGCTAATATCTCAAAAACTCTTACATGTAAATGTAGTTGTTTAAAAATATTTATGCTGTGTAATGTCAGTAATTTATGAGTTACAGACATGATATCCATTATATTTTTGCCTAATAATTCATTTTTAGGAAAAACTAAGAATAAAGTTATTCTTTGTATTTTTACTAATCTTTTCCCAACCAAGTGTTACTGAAACTGTCATCCCAAAGTCTTTTTACCTTTTAAGGTTCTCACTTTTGAGGCTGAGAACTATGAAGCTAGTATTCAAATTTGCATTCATTGTTGTAATTTCTGGCAGTATGTCCAATTTAATTCTACTGTTAGGTGCTTGTTTGTTGTACTTATGAAGAACTAAGGATTTTCTAGTAGCCCAGAGTTATGTTATTTTTTGCTTAGTGACAATTTTTACAAGAGACCTTATTATAATGAAACCAATGAAATGCATCACAGTACCTTTTTCAGAGTGCCAGTGGCTTATGAGATATTTTTTGATGTAAACTTGTTAAAGCCATGTAACTAACCAAGCTTATATCCTTACTGTAGAACTAGAGACATATTATAAATATTTATAACGAACAAAATTGGGGTAAGAATCCCTCATTTGTTCTATTTTTTGGTCAGTCAATAAATATATTTTTAAAAATTTGTGTCTGTGACTGGTTTTGGTAACAGGGTAATACTGGCCTCATAGAATGAGTTTGGAAGTATTCCTTCCTCCTCTATTTGGAAGGATGCCCTTCTCTTCTATTTTTCAGAATAGTTTGAGTGGGATTAATATTAGTTCTTTAAATGTTTGGTTAGAATTCAACAGTGAAGCTATCATTTCCCAGACTTTTCTTTACTGGGAGACTTTTATTACAACTTCAGTCTTGTAACTTGTTATTAGTCTGTTCAGGTTTTGGATTTCTTCCTGGTTCAATCTTGGTAGTTTTATGTGTGTAGCAATTCATAAATTTCTTCTAGATTTCCCAACTAATTTGCATGCAGTTGCCCACAGTAGCTGATAATGATCCTTTGAACTTTTGCAGTATCAGATGTAATGTCTCCTTTTTTATTTCTGATTTTCTTTATTTGGATCTTCTCTCTTAGTCTGGCTAAAGATTTGTCAATTTTCGTTAGCTTTCCAAAAAATAAACTTTTCATTTCTTTGATCTTTTGTATTTTTTTATTTCAATTTTATGTATTTCTGCTCTGATCTTTATTATTTCTTTTCTTCTGTTAATTTTGGATTTGGTGTGCTCTTGATACTTCAGTCCTTTAAGATGCAGCATTTGATTGTCTATTTGATATTTTTCCTCTTTTTTGATATTGGCACTTATAAACATCCCTCTTAGTACAACTTTTCTTGTATCCCTTAGATTTTGGTATGTTGTGTTCCTATTATTATTTGTTTCAAGAAATTTTTCAATTTCCTTCTTAATTTCTTCATTGACCCACTTGTCATTCAGGAGCGTATTGTTTGATTTCCATGTATCTGTATAGTTTCTGAAACTTCTCTTGGTAGTTCTAGTTTTATTCCATTGTTGTCAGAGAAGATGCTTTATATTATTTCATTTTTTTGGAATATTTCAAGATTTGTTTTGTGACCTAACATATGGTCTGTCTTTTCAACTGATCCATGTGCTAAGGAAAATAATGTGTATTCTGCAGCTTCTGGATGAAATGTTCTGTAAATATCTATTAGCTCAATTTGGTCTGTAGTGAAGATTAATTCTGATGTTTCTTTGTTTTCTTTCTGGAAGATGTGTCCAATGCTGAAAGTGAGGTTTTGAAGTCTGCAGATATTATGGAGCCTATAGCTGTCTTTAGCTGTAGTAATATTTCCTTTATATATCTGGGTGCTCCAGTGATGGGTGAATATATATTGAAATTATTATATCATCTTGCTTAACTGACCCCCTTATCTTTATATAGTGACCTTCTTTGTCTCTTTTTATAGTTAGTTTTTGTCTTGAAATTTCTTTTGTCTGATATAAGTGTAGTGACTTTTGCTCTTTTTTTGTTTTTCTTTGGCATGGGATATCTTTTTCCATCTGTTTGTTTTCAGTCTTTGTGTGTCTCTATAGGTGAAGTGTGTTTCTTTTAGGCAACAGATCAATTGGTCTTGTCTTTTCATCCTTTTAGTCTGTGTCTTTTGAGTGGAGAGTTTAGTGTATTTACATTCACTGTTATTATTAAGTAAGGATCTACTCTTGCCATTTTGTTTTTGGTTTTCTGGTTGTTTTGTGGTCTTCTTTCTTGCATTCTTGTCTTCCTCTAGTGAAGATGATTTTCTCTGGTGATTTAGTTTCTTGATTTTTATTTTTTTGTGTGTCCATTGTATGTTTTTTGGTTTGAGGTTACCATGAGCCTTGCAAATGCTATCTTATCACTCATTATTTTAACCTGATAACATGACACTATTTGCATAAGCAAACAAACAAGCAAAAAGAAAACTAGTAGAAACTTGCCTTAACTTCATTTCCTTGCTTTTTAACTTTTTGTCGTTTCTGTTTATATCTTCTACTGCCTATGTCTTGAAAAGTTGGTGTAGTTATTATTGTTGTTTAATTCATCATTTAGTCTTTCTACCTAGGATAAGAGTAGTTTGCAAACCACAGTAACAGTGTTTATAATATTCTGTACTTTTCTGTGTACTTATATTACCAGTAAGTTTTGTATTTTCAGGTGATCATTTATTGCTCATTAATGCCCTTTTCTTTCTGATTGGAGTACCCCCTTTAGCATTTCTTGTAGGACAGGTCTGCTGTTGTTGAAATCCCTTAGCTTTTATTTGTTTGGGAAAGTCTTTATTTCCTCTTCATGGTCAAATAATATTTTCACTGGATATGTTATTCTAGGGTAAAAGTTTTTTTCCCTCAGCAATGTAAATATGTCATGCCACTGTCTCCTGGCATATAAGGTTTTCACTGAAAAGTCTGCTGCCAGATGTATTGGGGCTCCTTTGTATGTTATTGTTTCTTTTCTCTTGCAGCTTTTAGGATTCTTATTTTATTCTTGACCTTTGGGCGTTTGATTATTAAATGTCTTGAGGTAGACTTCTTTGGGTTAAATCTGCTTGGTATTCTATAACTTTCTTGTATTTGGATATTTTCTCTAGATTTGGGTAGTTCTCTGTTATTTGAAGGTTTACTCAAAATAAACTTTCTCACCCTGTTCTCTACCTCTTTTTCAAGGCCAATACCTCTTAGATTTGCCCTTTTGAGGCTATTCCCTAGATCATGTAAGCATGTGTCATTGGTTTTTATTCTTTTTTCTCCTCTGTGTGTTTTCAAATAGCCTTTCTTCAGAAGCTCATTAATTCTTTCCTCTGCTTGATCCAATTTGCTCTTGAAGGACTTGATGAATTCTTAAGTATGCCAATTGCATTTTTGAGCTCCAGCATTTCTGCTCGATTTTTTAAAATTATTTCAATATCTTTGTTAAATTTATCTGATAGAATTCTGAATCCCTTCTCTGTGTTATCTTGAATTTCTTTGAGTTTCCTCAACGCAGCTATTTTGAATTCTCCATGTGAAAGGTCACATATCTTTGTTTCTCGAGGATTGATTCTTGGTGCCTTATTTAGTTCGTTTGGTGAGGTCATGTTTTTCTGGATGGTGTTAATGCTAGTAGATGTTCCTCGGGGCCTGAGCATTGAAGAGTTAGGTATTTATTGTACTCTTCATTGCCTGAGCTTATTTGTAGCCATCCTTCTTGGGAAGGCTTTCCAGTGACACTGGTTCTTGCAGACTTGTAGAGGTACTGCCTTGATGGCCTTGGATAAGATCTGGGGTGATTCTCTGGATTACCAGGCAGAGTCTCTTTTTCTCTTCCCTTACTTTCTCCCAAGAACACAGAGTCTCTCTCTCTCTCTGTTCTGAGACACCTAAAGCTGGGGCTGGTATGATGTATGATACAAGCACCCCTATGACCACCACCACCACCACTTCAGGTACTGGGTCACACCTGAAGCAAGCACAGTGCTGGGTCTTGCCCAAGGCCTGCCTTAATCACTCCTTGGCTATAGCCTATATTCACTCAAGGCCCTGGGGCTCTACAATTGGCAGGTAGAAAAGTCGGCTGGGCCTGTGTCCTTCTCTTCAGGGTGGCAAAGTCCCCATGGCCACCAGTGGGTCCACAGATGCCATAGAGGAGTCAGGGACTAGAGTCAAAAAACTTAGAAATCTACTTGGCATTCTGTTGTACTGTGGCTGAGCTGGCACTCAAACCACAAGACACAATCCTTCCCACTCTTTCCACTTTTTCCCCTTTCCAAAAGCTGAGGAGCCTTACCCCGTAGCCACCGCCACACCTGGCCATGAGGAGTACTGCCAAAGTACCACCGATGTTCCCTTAAGGACCAAAGGCTCTTATATCAGCTTGTGGTGAATGCTGCCTGGCCTGGGACTCACCCGTCAGGGCAGTGGGCTCCCCTTTGGCCAAGGGCAGGTCTAGAAATGCTGTCCAAGAGTCAAGTCCTAGAATTGGGAACCCAAAAGCCCACTTGGTGCTCTACCCCACAGTGGTGGTGTTGGTACCTAAGATGCAAAACAAAGTCCCCTTTACTCTTCCTTCTGTTTTTATCAAGTGGAAGGAGTTTTGCCCCATAGCCACCACAGCTGGTAATGTGCATAGTCTCACCTGAAGCCAACAAGTCTCAGAAGCTCACCAAGGTCCTCAACGTAGTACCCGGGTATCACTGCTGGTTATTCAGGACCCAAGGGCTCTTCAGTTAGCAGATGATGAATGCTGCCAGGACTGGGTCCTTTCCTTCAAGGCAGTGGGTTTCCTTCTGGCTCAGGGTGTATCTAGAAATGTCATCCCAGAGCTAGAGCCTGGAACAAGGGCCTCATGACCTCAAGGTGCCCTGTCCTTCTGTGGCAGAGCTGATAAGCAAGATGCAAGACAAACTCCTCCCAACTCTTCCCTCTCCTCTTCTCAAGTGGAAGGAAGGGGTTTCTTTTGGATCCACAAGCTGTGCAGTCTCAGGTTAGGGGAGAGGTGATGCCAACATTCCCTTAGCTGCCCCAGCTGGTATCTCAGTATGTCCCATGCCACTTCAGTCCATTGTCTTTGGGCCTAGTTCAGCACTAGGACTCACCTATGAGGTGCAGTCCTTATGGCCTAGACTACCTTTCCAATTTACTTAGACAACAAGAGCACTGTGGCCTTTGGTACTGAGGTTTGCGGGCAGTCAGGTTTGGACTGCTGGTATCAGTGATTGCCCTCTGGCTAAGGCTGGTTGACATGCCTTCTTTTGGGTGGACTTCAGCTTAGTTTGGTCAGGTTTTCCTTTTTGCTGCAACAAAATGGCACTGAGTTCAGTGCCTCACAATTGCTCTGTTCTCCCTTCACCAGCACCCAGAGGTGCTCTTGGCACCAAGCCACACTGCTGGGGTCAGGGAGGGGTGGCATCGGAGACTCGGAACTGTTTTTCTGTCTTTTCAGTGTCTCTTTCAGTGATACGAGGTTAGAACCAGGTACTGTGAGTGCTCACCTGATTTTTAGCTCTTAGGAAGATGCTTTTTCCTGTGTAGTTGTTTGTTAACTTAGTATCCTTGTGGTAGGGGTAGGAGGATGATCTGTGGAGTTTTCTGTTCTGCCGTCTTGTCTCACCTCCCTCCTAAAAAAATATTCTTAAATGAGATTGTAATGTTTATATGAACTTGCACGAAGACAGACGTCTTGTGCTTGGATCCTGGGTCTCTTACCGGTTTTGTAACATTCTTCAACATACTTATAACTCTGTGCCTATGATGCCTTCTCTGTAAAATGAAGATAAGAATAGTGTCATAATGGATGTAAAACCTTTAAAACAGGACTAAACGCCATGTAAGGTTAGGTGGTGGTATTGTTACTATTTATCTTATTTATATCATATTCTGTGGTGACCTGTCCGTATTTGCGAATACCTTTCAGTGATAGGAAATTAATTCTACTTCTTGATCCTAATTCTACTCCCTGTCTGTTCCTAATCTTGTTTTCCTTTGCTTCCTCTTTTCTCATCTACTCATATTTTATGCCTTCCTTCATGCTTTACATAACTTGTAGCCACCTTCAGTGTTTTTTTGGAATAAAGTAGTGTATGCATACATACATATAAATCTTTGTTCCTAGAATTTAGCACTGTTAGTGCATGGTCTTTATCTTGGATGTTCATATATTCTAGTTCCCAGAACAGTAACTTCTAGACCTTAATAAATTATTTATTGAATGAACAAAGGAATTAATTACTTTGAATTTGTGAGGTGTTGTATATGATTATTATTTTATTCCTAAATCTTATCATTCTTTAGACCAAAAGGATATCCAGTTTGACAGTGTTCTTTTTTAAGAATGATGCTTATAACCGAATATAATAGTTCTTATGGGATTCGATCAACAGAGAGTAACAGAGTATTATTATGTTATTTTATTCTGTGTGTATTTGTCTATTACTGTACTTAAAATACCAAACGGGAGGGGCAGTATGACTTTGGACTCATTTGCCATAATATTGAAGTCAAATGTGTTGCTGTTAAATCAGCTTTCTTTACCCAATTCACATTTGTGCTTAAAAAAAAAAGCATTACAAGACCTTGCATATTTCTGTTCAACTTATTTTTAACATTCATTTCATTATTGCAACATTTATTGTAAGTTGTATCAGTTTCATGTTTCTTCATCTTCTATATATGGAGATTATGCCCCAGTTACATCTCTTTATCTGTAAGACTAGTAATATCAAAAAGGAAAATGAATTTCATGTCTTAAAATTTATCCTTAGTAAATTCTATATTTTCTGTTGATTATCACTTTTAAAGGCCAAACCCTCTTTTTAGGAATTTTTCCTGAATCCCATCCAGGAATCACATGCTGTAGTTTGCTCTGATTTACTAGATTTGAAATCACCCTTTCCCATTTATGTGAAAATTAGATTTCTGTTTGTAGGGAAAAGAAAGAGAGCTCAGACTGTTACTGTGTCTATGTAGAAAGAGAAGACATAAGAAATTCCATTTTGACCTGTACCTTGAACAATTGCTTCACTGAGATGCTGTTAATTTGTAACTTTGCCCCAGCCACTTTGCCCCAACATTGAGCTCACAAAAACATGTGTTGTATGGAATCAAGGTTTAAGAGATCTAGGGCTGTGCAGGACGTGCCTTGTTAACAAAATGTTTATAAGCAGTATGCTTGGTAAAAGTCATCGCCATTCTCTAGTCTCGATAAACCAGGGGCACAGTGCACTGTGTGGAAAGCCACAGGGACCTCTGCCCTGGAAAGCCAGGTATTGTCCAAGGTTTCTCCCCATGTGATAGTCTGAAATATGGCCTCATGGGATGAGAAAGACTTGACCGTCCCCCAGCCTGACACCCGTGTAGGGTCTGTGCTGAGTTGGATTAGTAAAAGAGGAAAGCCTCTTGCAGTTGAGATAGAGGAAGGCCACTGTCTCCTGCCTGTCCCTGGGAACTGAATGTCTCGGTATAAAACCCGATTGTACATTTGTTCAGTTCTGAGAAAGGAGAAAAACTGCCCTATGGCGGGAGGCGAGACATGTTGGCAGCAATGCTGCCTTGTTATTCTTTACTGCACTGAGATATTTGGGCAGAGAGAAACATAAATCTGGCCTACGTGCACATCCAGGCATAGTACCTCCCCTTGAACTTAATTATGACATAGATTCTTCTGCTCACATGTTTTTTTGCTGACCTTCTCCTTATTATCACCCTGCTCTCTTACCGCATTCCTCTTGCTGAGATAATGAAAATAATAATCAATAAAAACTGAGGGAACTCAGAGACTGGTGCCGGTGCAGATCCTTGGTATGCTGAGTGCTGGTCTCCTGGGCCCACTGTTGTTTCTCTATGCTTTGTCTCTGTGTCTTATTTCTTTTCTCAGTCTCTCATCCCACCCGATGAGATATCCCACAGGTGTGGAGCGGCAGGCCACGCCTTCAGTGTTCGCTAGTTTCAATGCTTACAATGCCTGTCATTTATCTGTAGCTCTTATACTTTTTATAAAAAGTAATTTTACACCAAAAGCCTTGAAACTTTTTTAGAGTAGTAGATTTGAACTCTTGTTATTATTTTATTCTACTGTTATCAGTAACCTCCCATGTTAACACTATTGTTTCTTTCTGTTTACTTTCAGCTGGTTGGTGGAGAATTTGAACTGGAGATGAACTCTATTATCCAGGATGCTGAGAGTATAATACGCATGACAGAGCTTTTAGAGCACTGTGATGTAACATGTCAAGCAGAAATAGGGAGCATGTTTACAGCCATTCTATGAAAAAGTGTTTGGAATGTACAGACTAGCACAGAAGTTGGGCTAATTAAACAAGTATTGCTGAAAATGAGTGCTGTAGATGACATGAGAGCAGGTATGGGGTTGATTGTTAGGGAAGTATAACTTAAAAGTTTATAAAGTTTCACATACTTCTCTTTATATTCTATAGGTAATGTAGATTTGTTGACACTACTTTGATTTAAAATAAATGGAAATGTATGGAAATTTTACTTTTTATATTAATGGAAAACCTGAAGAGTGAAAGAAGAAAAATATACTTACTATAGTAGACAAATATAATTACTAATGTTGTTTTCTAAATTTTAGAAAATCTCAGTACCACGGAGTGCTATGAAATCTATCAGAAAAATAAACAGTATCTTTTTATGTAGTATTTCATTAAGCTTTTACATAATTAAAATGCCACAATAGGTATTACAGTTCTGTATAATGAGCATTTTATCAAATTCCCCTAGTTCTGTGCCCCTCAATCTGGCATATATGCAACTATGACAGGAGGTACTAAAAGCCTTAGATAAGCATGGTGTATCTTTTTTTTTTCCCACGTATATTTTTTGTTGTTTTTTTTTTTTTCTGTTATATGTCCTGGTTCTTCCATAACTTATAAACTTGATTTATACCGAGGAGGTGGGAAAGTGGGCGGGGCAGGGTGGACTGACCCGGGATGGGGAAGCTCCTCTCGCTGCCCCCTCGGGGCGGGCCTAGGCCCTTTGGAGGATGGGGACGCCAGGACACTCCTCCCTGAGGTTGTCTGGCCGCCTCTGCCCCTAGTGCTCAGAATCCTGCGTGCCCCTCAATTCCGGAATCCCTCCTGGGACCCCATGCCCACTGGGCACACTGCCCCTGGTACTCAGAATCCCGAAGCACCATTCGGTTCCAGAATCCCCTCCTCAGCTGCTGGGGTGGCGGGGTCCCTCCTTTCCGATGTCCCCCCCAACCCCTGAGGGGGGAGGGAAGGGAGGGGGGTCAGGTCTCCCCTCTGTGGCAGGGGGAGGTGGAGGCGGAGGTGGAATCGGAAGGGCGTGGAAGGCGGGGGCCAGGAGGGCTCAGCCGATGGTGAGTCCAAAGCCACACTGGAACTTGTTCTTGCGGTGATTCAGGAAGGCCCCAAGGGCCAGCGTCAGGGGCAGGAGCTGGAGCTTCTTCTCCAGCGTGGCACCCACGATCCAGTTGCTATCCACAGAGCCTTTGAAGAGGAGGTTGGCCTTGGGCAGGTCCAGCTGGTACCCGAAGGAGACGCTGGTATCCTGCATCCTTGTGCTGGCCTGAAAATCCACACCCACCTGCAACTGGTCACTGGCTTTGTGGTAGTATGTTGCGTGCATGCCCGCCTGGCTCAACGTTAACGTTGCCAACCAGTTGTTCAATGTGTATTTCCCAGCTAGAGACATGACAGTGCCCTCGTCCCCAGGCCGCCGGTTGTAGACCAGCTCTCTGCCCAGGGCCAGGCAAGGCCTGATGCTCTGGAGGTAGTGGGCTTCGAGAATTCTTGAACCCACGAGGACGTCTGGGTTCCCCAGGGTGACGGCTGCTGTGAGTCAGAGCCCCGATACTCCCCGTCCACCTGCCAGTTCACAAACTTCGACTGCTGGGTCTGGATGGCCATCTTGGACCTGAGACCGGGGCCCAGCTGGTGAATGACCTGAGCGTGGAGACTGCCGCTGTTGTCCATGTCACCTACCAGTACAGGGAACGCCTCTGTGGGACTCAGCTGCTTTGTCCCCACATACGTGACCCCGAAGTGGTAGTTGGACTCCCCGATTGCGCTGAGGGCTACTGTGTGGTTCACCTGGAAACGGTTACTCAACCCTTTGTTGACTGTGAGCTTGACACCCTCCATCTGAATGGGAAACAGCTCCTTACACCTCCGGTGGCACTCCTGGAATGTGCCCGGGTTGGGCAGGCAGCCGCAGGCCCCATCCTCGGCGGCCCCTGAGGCGCTGGCGGTTGCAGCCCCGGGGGTCCGTTCCGAACCTCGACTCCTAGGGGTGCCGGCGCCCAGGCCGCCTCTCAGCGGCGGCAGCGTGAAGCCCGGCGGCGAGGGCGGAGGTGGCGGCCCTGCGGGCGGCGAGCTGGCGGCCAACATGTTCCCCATGGTCGCTGGCGGTGGCGCCTGCTCCCGGCCTGGTCTCCGCTCCCACCCGGTGCGTCACGCGCAACCGAACTCGCTGCCGCCGCCGCCACCCCCGTCGCCAGCATGGTGTATCTTTTGGACATGTCCATTTTGGAAGAAACTTTTGTGTTAAAATAAACTAATATATTATGGGCTAGAACATAAAATTCACCAAGAATTTCAAGATAAAAATACTAATGTTTTGCTTGTTTGGGTTATTTCAAACAATAACTTTGAAATCTATAATTTTTTCACCACCGACCCTCTACCTCCTTGCATGCTCATTCTCCTGTGTGGCTAGATGCATTTCGGAAAAGTGTTTTGAATATTATTTCAGAGCAAGTATCATTCCAGAAAATAAGTTTAAAGTTTGAAATGTTTATTTTTTGTAACCCATGAATCTTCAGCTTAAGTATCTTCTGACATAAAAGCATTTTCATAATTATAAAAGTGCTGATATTACTCTCCACAGTATTATATCTGATCCTGCAAAGTAGTTCAGATACCAGAGAATACTCTTAAACATTTTGACTCACGCATTTAATTATGTTTAAAATTTATGTAACAAGACATTAAATGAGAAAGAATGGAATGAAAAATGGGTTAAAAGAATGCAAAATCGCAAAAAGAATGCTTTGAATTTAAATATTTCCCAAAATTTGATTTTCTGAGAAAATATATTAAAAATCATACGTAATTACCTTCAGGGTGGCAAGTATCTTTTTTTATAATGACTTAGCACCCCTGTATTGGGGACCGATGGCTAACTTGGTGAAAAATGAGATTCACACATCTGTTTCTTAAAATACCTTTTTAATACAGATATATTAATAGTAGCATTTCTATAAATTCTAGAGTTACTTAATAGGAATTTATTAATATAGACTTATGTGTACACATGTTTTATAGAACATCATATGATCCTTCAATTCTTATATCTGAGTTTAAGCTCTTAATTTTTTTTTTTTTTTGGAAATTGCCTGCTACTCTATGGAGTGCAGTTTAGAGAATGAGCCAAAATTACATGCATAGTAGTTTACTAGTACATAATTCATCAACACTGAAATGTAAAAGTGACAGTGAGGGTGATCGTACCATAGAAGTTCATATTTTGACATTGCCATTATATAAAGCTTCTTCATTCTCCTATCTTTTTCTCAGTAATAATATTAATAACACAAAATTTTTCACTTTTTGTAATTTCTAGTATTTCCTTTCAAAAGAGCTTGATGATGGAAGGATATGAGAAAAGAGAATAAATGTCAGAAAAATACCTCTGTCTTGCTTTTTAACAGAGAAATTAAACTTTAAATATTATACTAAGGAAGAACCAGTAGCCACCAAAACACTTCTAACTGTTCACATCTGAATGTATTGTAGTATGTTAAGTTCAATGGGGTACTTTTTGTTTAATAATGTAGTAAAAGTGTCACTAGAAGGTGGCTAAATTAAACATTTATAGCAAATTGATAAGAAAAGCTATCTTGTTTGATAATAAAATGCTAGTTATATTGTATGATAATAAAACTGCCTGAAATAGTTGCTTACACACTAAAATCTGAAAGGTTAGTATAGGGTTTAACTCATTTGAAATAGTGTGTATGTGTGCATGCATGTGTATGTGTGTGTATGTGTACTTTTTTTTCATGGCAAGCACTTAGAATTCTTTGACTACTTTGAAATTATTTATTGGCCACCTACAGAGTATTTTCTATATCTTCAGCCATTATGTTTGGAGTAGATTACATTCCTTATTCTTGAAGAACTCTGATGGCTAGACATGCAAATACAGCTTGTTTTATAACTGATACTGTAGATTTAGGTACTCAAAACTATGGGGACACAATTGAAAAGAGAAACCAAGCTAAGTTGAAGTCCAGAAAAGCTTCACAGATGAGGAACATATTAGTCTGCTATTAAAGAATAATCGAGATTTTGTCGGAAGGAAGAATGATTTGGATAGAAGCAACGTGATGTATAGGAAGAGGAATTGTAAAAGAACAAGTGCAACAGCTGGTATATTTAGATGTACTTTGGAATGTGGGGTTGGGTACTAGAGGAGGATAAAATCGAAAGGGTTTGTTGGAGCCATAGCATGTGGGAAGTCTTGTATAACCTGAAGAAATTACAATTTTATTCTGAAGGCAGAAGATTTTTGACATGGAAGGTCCATGTTGTATTTGAGAAAGGCCATTATCAGCAACGTGAAGGATCTTTTTGGGGAACAGATTAATTTTAAAGTCATAATGGGTAATTATCTTTTATGTAGAATTTGAATAAAGTCTAGGAAAATAAATAAATCCATTCGGATGTTTCTTGAAGTCAGGTGAAATAATCAGCTACTTTCTCATTTATTCCTTAGAATGGCTACATTTTATTTGATTGCTATTTTCAAAGGAGTCCTACATTATTCCTTTTCTGCTTATGAATGGACCTAAATCCTTTTTGGTTATAAATATCAGTGGTTATGTTTCTGAGTAATAAATGTCATGCTTTGCCTTTCTTGGTTTCAATGTTGTTAACATTATGAACATTATCTCTTAATGCTTGCATTTCTTCAATATTGATTCCATTAACATTCTCTAGCTCAGTCATTTTTGGCTTTAAGGATTCAATCTCCTTTAACCAAATGGATTGCTACTGAAAACCACTAGAATGAGTTGATCAACTTAACAATGTGTTGATCTGTAAGGATTGAAACCTCTGTAATTTTAGTATGCCAGTAATGCACAGTACAGCATATTTACCTATAAGAACATCAAACATTCATTGATTGCCATTCTATATGTTAGGCATTGTAAGTGTTTATATATATGTACTCATTTACTACTTGCAATACACTGAAATAAGACTGCCTGTGTTCAAGTTCTGGCTTCACCACCTACTATTCACCTTGTACTTTTGGTGTCTTCAACTATAAAATGAGGATAGGAATAGTGCCTATCCCATAGGATTTAATGAGAGAATCATATTTAAAGCCCTTTTGTAATGGCTGGGTCAGAAATGTGAGCACAGAAATATGTGCGCTATTACTATCTTTTAAGCTCTATTATAAAATACTATATATGGATAACATGAGAGCGAGTTTTAAATAAGCATCTGAACTTCCAAACATAAATGGGGTTGAACTTCAAAGTGGTCATTTTGGGAGATTATATATTAATTTCAGTGGTACCTTCATTTTTCAATGATTACACATTTTTCTACTTCATGATTAAATTTACAGCTAAGGGAATGCTTCTGTAGAAGAAAACAACCATATTTCATAGTTACATCTTTTTAATTTTTTAAACTAAAAATGTACTGCTTTGCTCAATCAACTGCAGTATTTATCAAACTTGACTATGACCAAGTTTTTTTTTTCCTTTTTCTTTTTAATTTGTATGCTATTTTCAAAGGTATACCAGAATTAGAGAGCAGGTTGTTATTTAAAATGTGAACTTTGTATAAATGTGTTCTGTATTTGCTGATTGCAAATGGTCCTTAAAGGTAGATAAAGTCTACTTGGTGGTAGGGTTTTGTTGGCAGTTAATTTGTTTTTATGTATTTCTGAGATTTTAGATGGAAATACTAAAAGCTTCCATAGTCTTTTATTTCCTAGTTTAAATTTCTTATATTTACTTATAACTCAACCTTTTATATTTTTGTTTAGTTTTTATTTGACACATATTAAACTCCTTCTACCATACAGGGAAATAAGTTTTATTTTTATAGGAATGTTTAATAGCCATTAGGTGTTTAGTTCTTTTTATCAGAGGATATTATACTATTCTCAGTTGTCTTTACAGTTTTCATGCTAGCAAAGGAGTTGGTTACTCTGCTCATTTTGTTGGCAACTGTTTTATAGTCACATCATCGAAGTCCAAAGGAAAATGTTTTCAGCATTGTGTGAAATATGATTTTCAACCACGTAAGGTAGGTAAAAGTAAATATTTTTATAACTCACTTGTTATGACAGAATTCTTAACTATCCTTTTATGACCTCTGTAGCATTCTCTTTCACTGGATTTCCTATGCTTTTAATGGTTTTCTCTTATCCTTGTTTGCATTTTCTTTTTACTTTTATGTCTAATTTTTGTCTTCTGTAAGGTCAGTGCTTTGATCTCTTGCGTGTATTTCTCTTACATTCTCTCATTATCTCAGTCTCATCTGTTCTATGGCATTCTTTCAATAGATACTTATTATTTACTGAGTATTGGACACCATTGTAGGCACTAGGGAGTTATAAATCTTTGCCTCTTTTTTAAAAAAGTTAAATGTTAAACCCCCAGATTAAGCAATGCACAGATAGTTTTCTTGGGGAGATTCACCTAATCCTAGTAGTTCTGAATCTTGTTTCCTAAGAGTGGAGGTTTTGTTAATTTCTGATGCTTTAATAATGCTGGCTTCAAGGAGTTGAATGTTGCTGTACTGTTAGTTTTGGCTCATAAAATATGTCTTTACTTAATATCCCAAATAATAGCAAAAACAAGGTCAAAACACATTTTAAAAACTGCTGTAAAGAGAAAATGCAGAGAAATGTGCAACTGTATAATTAGAATTATAAGAGATAATTCATTCATAATCGGGTGGCATTTTCTAGAGAGATTTTCCTGCCTGTGTACCGGACTCCATCTTTGTGTCAGAGTAACAAACCATCTGAAAGTCCAGATGAAAGAAAACAAGGACAGAGTGCATAGCAGTTCCCATCTCACATGTTTAAGGCTTTTTTGCCCTTCCAGGTTCAGGGTTCTTTCTTGGGTATATGACAGTGAGATTGTCAACGTTTTTTAGGGCACACTGCCTCCTCCTAACAGAAATATCGCCTTACCCTTTGTGATTAATGGTACAATCATAATAGATATGATGAATCCAAACGTGGTGAGGGGGAGGTCTTTATATCTTTTTCATATCTTTTTTGTTTGTTTTCTTGTAGCTTATGATCTGATGTGTGTCTTGTCATATACAGAAAAAAAAATATTTTGGGTGGTATTTTCAAAAATTTGTTTAGATTTTATATGATTCTAATTAAAATATTTGTTTTATATTTAATGTCAGTAATTGTGGTTTCTATTAAAGAATATCAATTTAACAATAATTCATCAATATATACTTAGAAAATAGTTTAAAAAGCAATGATCTGAATAAATATATTCGTTCGTTATAATGGTGTATTCTTTCTTTTTTAATACAAATTGATTACTTTAATACCAATCACATTGCCTTTGCTCTGGACATTCTGTTTTATTAAAACTAAGATAAGACCAAGATTGTTTGCTAAAATTGCCAAATTATTTTGAATTTCAGTGGAATTGATTAGAAGTACAGATTGTTGGTATTATAATTTTTCATGTTAGGATTGTGTGTTTTTAATGAATATTCTAGGTAACTTTCTCATCAGACAGTTTTAGGAAACAGTGGTTTAAAGAATATACATGCAAACAATTAGAGTGAAGTTATAACCAAATGAAATTGTCATTAGCCAATAAAAAGCACTTTAACCCATTTGTTCTCACGTTTTCTATTTTGTGTTTTCTTCACTGTTTACTTGTGGAAAACACATTCTCCTTTGTAAAGCTCTCAATATGCAATGATACTAAGGGTCTAGTTAGGAGCAGGGCCAGAGAATGATGTGGATTTTAAAAAGTCTTCTGTGAAGATTCTCAAAAACCTTGAAAAGTCATAAGTATTTGCTTTTATTGTGTTTCATTATTCAAAATAAATTTATTCTCTTATTTCTTCCTTTCTTTAATTTCCCACAGATGCCCTAGCTAAGTTGTTGTTATCCTTCCTAATAAGAGATTTACTGGCCTTTCAAAAAGAAATCTTTACATTAAAACTTTTGCTTTCCCAGCTGCACCGCTTACCAGCTGTTAGAACTTGTGAAAATGGGTATAAACCATTAGCATGTTACCTAATGGTAATATGTGCTCTAGACATATTAGCTATTATTGATATCATCTGTACTTTTTTGTCTTCAATTTATTTCCATATCTTCAACTTGTAATATATATCTTGTGGATTCTTAATATGGATCTTTTTTTTCCCTTATTCCTGGTTGTGTCCTTCTTCTATAAATTTCTTTTTGAGTCTCAAACTAAATGCAGACTTCACTATATATACATAATATCAGTATGCACAGCTAGTTTCCAAGTTTATTTTTATTTTCTTTAGTCCACATATATAAGGTCAAAAGTTAGGCTTTTTTTAACCATTGAAAAACTCACTTGTGTCTGTTATCTGTAGAGTACAGTTTGATGTACCAAGGAAAGAGAAAAGTTACTTTTGTTATAAATAAGTACTCTGGTCTTAACTGAGATCAGCTCATTAATTCACCAGTGCATTCACTTATTTATTCATTTAATTTTATCATATATCATTGTTACAACCAAAAGCAAACCTTGGTAAACTCCAAATCTGATTAATTTTTCTGTATTAATGATCTTAAGTTAATGGTACCCTTACCCCTCTAAGTGAAAATTGGAAGCCATCTTAGACTCCCCTGTTGTATGTTAACACTTCCTATCAGTTCTGTTAGTTAATTCCCATCCTCATTTTAAAATTACTAATGACTTTGTCTTAGTTCAGCGGCTTATGGTGTCTTACCTCAACCTTTGCAGTGGTTTTTCAGTTTTATCTTTGTCCACACTTGCCTACCTATCTCACCTCCACATTGCTGCCAGGTATTTTCCTTAACTATGAAGCTGATCGTTTAACTTTCCTGCTCAAAATTATTTAGTTATACCACATTATGCAAAAAACAAAGGCCAGTTTCCTAAAGGTCTGTTTATAATCTGGTCTTTGCCTGTTTTTGTTTTTGTTTTTGTTTTTCCTTCTAAACCTACACACTGAAGAAAGTTTTGTCAAGCATCTGTGCTGTATCATATTAAGATTCCACCTGGAATGTTTTTTTTACCCCTGTCTGCTGAACAATTCCTTTTCATCCTTCAAGCATAGTCTTGTGGTTCATTTTATGCTTTTAGTGAATACTTCTATGATAGTCTTTCTTCTCTATTTGTCTTTCCTTCCCTGTTACTTATAGTAATTACTTTTATTACTCTCATATCTGTATTTTAGATATTCTCTATTGTTCTCATAACTGTTTCTCTAGTGAAACTTCCTTTAGTGTGCGTATGTTGTCTGTCTTTATATATCCATGATCCAAGGTTGGGACAGGGTACTTGGCATAAAGTAGGCTCTTAGTACATTTTTTGAATGAATGAATGACTCTGAAAGGTAAATAATAATCAACTTTAGCATAAATGAACCTCATCATGAGGACATAGTAGATAAAATTAAAATAGTAGTTTAGTGAATGGTATGTTATTTATGGGTGCCAAATACATTGGGAACTTTTCTTCATAGTTTTCATACATTATCTGTTTATAATATTCACAAGGAATCCACAAAGTAGGCATTATTATTCCCCTTTTTCAGAGATGAAAATAGGTTCAGAGATGCTAAGTAATTTGCCAAAAGCCATAGAGCTAGTAATTTGGGAACCAATTCATGTCTTTAGGAAGTAAAATTTATCCTGCCCAGTACATTAAGTTATCTGAAGTAGTAAGAACTCAGTAAGTATTGTTTGAATGAGTACTTTTTTAATTGTAAGTACACCAATAAGTATGATAATACATCTAGTATTTATCTTAAAATTGTCTTTGGGCAGGAAATCTTTGCCTATATATAGGTATTTATTTGTGTCTCTTCTCTTTAGAAATGTAGGAAGAGAAACGAAGTGGAATAGGGCAACTTTACTACCAGGCTGCAGTTGGACAGCGCCTGTGTTCTTTTTTTTTTTTTTTTTTTTTTTATTATTATACTTTAAGTTTTAGGGTACATGTGCATGTTGTGCAGGTTAGCTCCATGCTAGACAAACATTTACAATTACAAGCTAAATATCTTTTAGTATGTTCAGAAGCCATTGTATTTCTTTTTCGTTGTAAATTTGCTGTTTAGGCCACCTGTTCATGTTTCTAATGAATAGCTTTCCTTTTCTTGTTGATTTATAAGAGTTCCTAATAATTAAGGCAGGTTAACTTTGTCTATTATAAAAGTGGCATATCTTTCTCTGAAAAAAAAAAAAGAAATGTAAAGTTTTCTTTACATTTTACTTTACATTTTACTCTAGAATATAAAGATTGTGTCTTCTGTGTTATTTAGATAGCATTCTGGTTGGATAGTTTCAAACTCAGTGAAGGTAATATGTGCAAACTTTAATTCTTATACATGTAAAATTCTATAAGATTTTCCTTAAATTTATTTGAAGCTCTTTTTTTATGGTTTCTTCTTGATAATTTTGTAATATTTAGAAACAATGGTTAAATGACTACTTTAAAGATTTTCTCTTCTAATTTTAATCAGGGCTAACATATATGTCAGTTTCGAATCAAGTAAAAGACTTAGTTTGCAATAAATTAACGATTACCTGGAATGAAAAACCTGAAAAAAGGGTGAGCATTTTAGACAGTTAAATGTCTGGACCTGACCTCCTTGCTTTTATAGAAGCACACTGTTGTTTTGTATTACTGACTTTTTTAACACACTATTTTTTTTTCTTTTTCTTTTTCCTTGTTTTTTTTTTTTTTTTTTTTTTTTTTTTTGAGACAGAGTCTTGCTCTGTCACCCAGGCTGGAGTGCAGTGGTGCAGTCTTGGCTCACTGCAACCTCTGCCTCCCAGGTTCAAGTGATTCTTGTGCCTCAGCCTCCCGAGTAGCTGGGATTACAGGCAGATGCCACCACGCCTGGCTAATTTTTGTATTTTTAGTAGAGACGGGATTTCACCATGTTGGCCAGGCTGGTCTCAAACTTCTGACATCAGTTGATCTGCACACCTTGGCCTCCCAAAGTGCTGGGATTACAGGCATGAGCCACCGTGCCCAGCCTATTTTTATTTTCTAAATTGAAATGGACAAAATTGAATTTTTCTCAAAGTATTTTAGATACCTTGAAATGACTAATATTTTAGTGATTAAGGATTATTATAACTTTTTATTTCTCAAAATATATATGAAATAATTGAATAGTGCATTCAAGTAATCTGTAGAACAAAGTTTGTATTTTATATTTTGGTGGGAGGGAGAAACCAGTTAATTTTCCCCTCTTAACTTCAGAAAGCATACTTGTTCAAATGTTTATAGATCATTTGTATTTTTCTATACTTTAGAAAAAAATAGTTCTATATTCTCTATTTTAGGGTATTAACTCTCAAGAGAATAAAGGTTGTTTCAGAAATCAAACCATCCATATTAAAACAGATACTTAAAATGCTATTTGACAGCAGTAACTATAAAATGGGCACTTAATATGAACTCATTCATTGATTCTTAAGAACAAAGACTCTAGGTAAGATATAGCATGCACATATATGAGTTAGTTTTAAATGTGCAGTACACCTGGCTAGGGAAATATATAAAGGTTCTGTTTAAATCACATTGGGAATTGTGAAGTCTCAAACTACTTGGAGCCGAAAGAGAATTACACATTATACTCAAAGTGTTTATAATTCTGAAGGAGTACTTGTCTTGTATGGAAGCTTGGTTTATTTATTGAACTCAATTTAAATAATTAATGTGAAGATTGTGTTATGGAAAGGAAAAACATTTAAAAAAGTCCCTCTTTGGCCTTTGTATTTTTGCATTGGTATTTCTCTTTTTATTTTTATGTCATATATATATATATATACGCACACACACACACACATATGTATATATATATATATAGAGAGAGAGAGAGAGGAAAGTTTGAATTTACCTATATTAAAAGATCTTTTTTTCTCAGTGACTTTAATAACCATAATAATATTGAAGAATAATAATGCTATTATTTTTATGTCAAGGTAACAATACTTGCTATCATATATTTTCCATATCATTTTTGTTTTTGTCTTACTAGCTCTAGAAATGAATTTGTGCCTGTCCAGCTACTTCTTCTTTCATGGGTCTTTTTGTTGGGTTTGCATCCTGGTTCTTCCATTGTTGATCTTGCATAGGAATATTTTTGTAATTCACATTTTTTATTAATATGCTGCCTGCTTTTCTTTCCTACTTCTTTGAGTTGTTTCATAAAATACTTGTAGTGTCTTTTTAAGCTCTAGTAGAATGATATTAAATACAGTGACAAGCAAACAAATGAAATATAAAAAGGTAGAATATCAAGAAAATACAAATCCAATATGATTGCTAATGTGAAATTTCAGAATTGATGGGAGCTTCCTGGCAACATCAAGAAAAAAGGCTGAATATAAGCAATTTTGTAATTCTATTCACAAAGAAGCAAACTGTGTCCTGAACAGTTTTGCAAACTCTGTAGTTGGTAGTATTCTTTTCACACGTCTTTCTTGTCGTTCTTTTTAACAACAGTCATCTTGTCATTCTTTTTAACCCGGTCATCATGTGTGCACAGCTCATGTGACATAGTATAGTATCCTTAGTATCCTAACACACAGTAGAGTACCTAAAGTCAGAACTTTTAAGAGAGATACCTGTAAATTTGGGCATTACATCAGATAGTATTTTATTAAGTTTTGAAAGTTCTCAGCTTACTGCACCCTTGTTGTAAGTGGGGATGGATGATAAATCCACAGGTACATGCATTTTCTCAATTTGTAAATATTGTAAGTACAATTGCACCATGACAGGCATCAGCAAATTTTTTTTATATTAAAAAGCTTTTTTTTTCTTTTTAGAAATTCAGAGAACATAGAGAAGGAGGAACGCAAATGATCAGACTGTGTTTTGACGGAAAAGCTGAGTAGTTCACACATTATAGTCACAATTATCTTGGTAAAGTCACTCTCTGTGAGAGAAGGGGTGGAGGGCTACAGTGGAATTTTTAAGGTGTAGATAATATAATAACTAATGGACATTTGGATAAATCACAAATGGAGTTTAAATTACGTAGTGTTGTATAATAACATAGTATTTATATTTATTGCCTTAAGTTATATGGAACTTTCTTTCATTGTAATGGTCAGACAAAATTTATGATTCTGAGCTTAGTGTGGATAGCATGTCAACATATGGGCTTCGAAGTTAATAAAATAAGTTAATTCTACCTTCAAATAATGTCATCAAACTAAATATTCAATAGAGTCTGTCACAAATGATTTTGACTTGTTGGTCACTGTAGTGCTAGGTAAATTTTTTTCTGTCGAATATTTGGTTTTGAGCATTGCATCTTATCAGTAAATATTCTGTACTTGGTTATTTTCTGGAAATGGTAAATAAGTTAGGGTATGACTTATTAACTAAATAAACCATTCAGTTTGGAAAATACAGAAATACAGAAAATATTTAAATACAGAAAATCTCACTGTAGATTTGTCTAGTATAGTAAAATTTACTACCAGATAAGTTTACTGTGGATCTCTATTTGGGGTTATTTAATGTCTTCAAGATTCTGTATGAGGTGGCCCTTTGACAAAAGCTTGCAAATCAGATTTTAACAAAGTTTTTATATTTTATAATTATTACTAGACATTTTCTCATTGTTCTCTTAATCCCGTGTAGCAAGCAGTTAGTCTTCATGGCCAGATATTTGAAAATTTAGCTTTGAGTTCTCTCTTTCATTTATGAATATGATAGCATAATGGTTTTTATAATTTGCTATATCATAATAAAGTTCTAACTGATAAGAGAAAAAGTATAACACAACCTCCAAAATTAAAAATCACTTCAGAGGATTTCCAATACTTGTGTGGAGGGGTGAGCTCCTAACAAACTGATCTTCTCACAAATAACCATTTGTAAACTCTGCACATAATATAGATAACATCTATCTGAGGGTTGTGGAGATTGAATAAAAGCAGGCAAGCTTTGGAGCGTAATCAAAATATGGAACAGTCAGTCTACATGGACTGATATCCCCATTTTTTGCTTTTATAGGAAATTTTCTGGCCAGAAAGTTTCTCCATAATATTGTACAGAGTTATAGTCACACTGTTTAGCATATAATCCAAAAGTACTTATTCTAAAAATGGTCAGGAAAATGTGACTTATTCTCAAGGGAAGAGAAAATCATCATATACCAACTCTAAGATAACCCACATGTTGGAAATATCACATGAGGTCTATTGTAACTAGCGAGGTAGAGAAAAGTTTACTTATAATGAATTAAAAGATAGGAAGTACCAGCCGTGAAATAAAACAAAATCAGATGGCAATTCTAGAGCTGAAAAATATATCAGAATTAAAAATAGGCTCTATGGGCTTATTAGCAGAATTAATATTATAGAGAAGTAAATGAACTTGATTATAGATTGATAGAAAATCTGAAGAGAGTTATGAAAGATTGGGGTGAAAAAATAGAACCATAGAGATGTATGGGGGCAGTTTTGAAAGGTCTAATAGGCACAGTATAAGAGAAAGAGCCAGAAAAAATATTTGACTAAATGATGACAGAAAACTTTTCAGATTTGGTAAAAGGATTACGTTTATAGATTGAAGAAACTCTGAAAATTCCAACCAAAATAAATGCAAAGAGAACCAAAGTAGGCATTTACAGTCAAAGTGTGGAAAACCGAAGATAAAGAGAAAATCTTGAAAGCAGGCAGAGGAAAACTAGATACTGATAAGGGAACAATAATTTGAATTTCTGTACACATCTCATCAGAAAGCAGGGAAGCCATAGAGGTGGAACAAAATCTTTAAAGTTCTGAAAGGAAGAAAAAAATCTGTCAACCTAGAATTTTTTATCCAGTGAAAATATTCTTTAAGTCTTTTGAAAGAAAATTTTAAAAATTTGTTGTTATTTGACTCTCATTACTGACTAAAGAAGAAAACCTGGATGATTCAGTGTATATACATGTAATACATATGATAACTCACAGAAAGATTTGGGGAGAGGCTATAAATGCACCTATGTAGTTGAAAAGTTATGTATTTTGCAATGTGTCTTGATAGAATGTTGACTACAATTCAATGGCTAAAACAAAATTATCAAAGTCAAAATTGCATGTCTTTTCTTGAATGATAGGTATGTATCTGGTATTTCATTTACCCACAGCATATGCTGTAGACCCCTCTTTCAAATTAAAGATAACAAAAGCCCAATTGAAAGGAAAACAAAATACATCAATGCTAACTAAATACAAATAATTAGCCTTCACTAATTCATCCATTCATTCTTTTATTAAACAGTTGGGCACTGTTCTAGATGCTAGGGACATAACAATCAAACAAAACCAACAAAAACCCCTTGCCTGTATTTTGGAGAAGTAGGGTTTGCAGTATCATGGGAGAAGACATAACAAAACAAAAGAAAAATATATAGTGTGTATATGGTGATAAGAGCTATGAGACACACAAAGCAGGTAAAAAAGATGGAAGTTGATGCTAGCCAAGTGGATATCTGGGGAAGAGCTTTAAGGGTAAATGCCAGAGCAAGAATGAAGGCCATTAGCAGAAGCTTACTTCACAGATTAAAGAACACTGTGACTATGTTTTCCTGTGACTGTCACAGAAGGAGCAAGGGGGAGAGTCAAAGAAGATTAATTCAGAGAACAACTATATGCTTTCAGAGGATTGTTATGACTTTATTTTTGCTCTTGAGTGAGAGGGACAGCAATTGAAAAGTTTTGGGTGTACTGGCCTGATACCAATTTGAAAGGGATCACTCTGGTTACTATGGTAAATAGGGAGAAAAGGTGGAAATAGGGAGACTAGTTAGGGGGCTGCTGCAGTTATTTAGTGAAAGAGCTCTGGAAAGTATTGAGACTTGATTAGATTTTTGATAAAGCATATCTAAAATATCTAAGACTCTAAAAGGTCAGCTTTTGGATATACTTTGGAGGTAGTGCCAGTAGGATTTTCTGTCACTGTGAACATGGGGTAAGGGAGCAAGAGAGGACTGACAGGAGCAAGTAACCCCATGAATTTCAGCCTGAACAACTGAGCTGATGGAGTTGTCATTTACTGAGATGGGAGGACTATGAAGAAATAAGTTTTGGCAGAGAAGATCAAATATTAGGTTGTGGACATAGGTTATGGGCATAGTTGTTTGAGATGCCCAATAAACATCTAAATGGAAAAATGAAGTAAGTCTGGAGTTTAGAGGTGACATCTAGGTTGGAGATAGAAATTTGGCATTGGCAGGATATGGACAGGATTTAAAGGTAAAGGACTGGATTTACGTGCCAATGAAGTGAGTTCAGAGAAAAAGATAACTGAGAAATGAGTCCTTGGGAAAGCCACTGTTTGTAGGTTGAGGAGATGCAGAGGAAGCAGCAAAGGAGAAAGAGGAGAGCAAGGGAATAAGGAGAAAAAGCAGGAGAGTGTGGTGTTTTAACTTGACCTACTTGAAGTTAAATCTCCTTTCTTCATTGAGGATACTGTCAAATACACACAGGATAATAGATTAGAAAATCCCATGATTATACATAAAGAACAGCCTCAGAATAATAATATCAATAATGCCCAATTGTTATAATTACTGAAAATACAGTTAATTTGTTTTTGCATGCGTTCTCTTCATTCTCCCTCTTGCCATTTTTAAAATAGTTGAGGTATGTTACAAGGTGAATTATGTTCCCCTAAAATTCATTGAAATTCTCACCCTCAGTAGCCTGAAATGTGACTGTTTTTGGAGACCGGTCTTTAAAGAGGTAATTAAGATTAAGTGAGGTCATTTTGGTTATTGGGTCCTAATCCAGTATAACTGTATCCTTATAAAGAGGAGGAAATTAGGACTCAGACACATGCAAAAGAAAGACCATGTGAAGACACAGGGAAGAAAAGGTAGTTAGGTTGTCTTCAAACCAAGGAGAGAGTCTTCAGAAGAAAACCCTGCTTACACGCATATGTTAGACTTACAGCCTCCAGAACTATGAGAAAATAAACAACTTTTATTTAAGCCATCCAGACTCCGGTACTTTGTCATAGCAGACCCAGCAAGCTCATACAAGGTCTTATCTACATTGTGAGCACACACAGTTATTACATACCATTCTCTCTTAACTCTTATTTAATCATAGTCCTATAAGTACCTGTGTGTTTAGGGCTCATATTATTTCCTTATATTGATGTGTTTTGGCTGTGTTTTAGCTCTTTCTGTAGTAGATTCCTCAGGAAGAGTTCATGGAAACAGTATTTCTTGAGAAATGCATTTTGATACTAGTTTGTAAGGTGCTTTATATTTTTTACTTGAAAGTCATTTTGCCTGGCTATAAAATCCTTGACTTTTCTTTCTCTCTTTGGATGTCTTAAATATGCTACTAATTTTTCCCTGGCATGAGGTATTAGTATTGAAAGTCTGTTGACAATGTAATATCTTCTCCATTACAAGACACTCAGTCTTGTTAGATGTTCAAAGGACTTTTTTTTCTTTTTCCTTAAATCTAATAATTTTGGTAGATATGTCTTGGTGTTGGTCGTTCTGAGTTAATTTCTCAGGTATATGGTGTGCACTTTCATATGTAGTTTGCATCTTTTCATATTTTAAGAAATTGTTCTTATACTATACTTTTACAATTTCTTCTGTTTCCTTGCTTTGGTTTTCTTCTCCAGAGACTTGACTATGCAAGTTTATTTACTTTGCTTATCTTTAATATTCCTCTTAAATCACTTATTTTATTTCACTTTCTCTTAAATCTTTATCTCCTTCTTTATTTCTCTCTCATTTTTAAATTTAAAAGTAAAATAAAAATTACAGAAAAGCTACAAGCACTATGCCAGTTTTTTCCCTGAACTATGAGAGTAACTACTGACATGATGCTCCATCATTCCTGAATGTTATGTTGCTACAAACAAGAACATTCTTTCACATAATTATTCTGTAACATAAAATCAAGAGATTAGCAATGATTTGTTACTACCATTTAATTCTCAGACCCCGTTAAAATTTTGCTATTTGTTGTATATTTTATAGTAAAAAGATCCAGTTTACTGCGTTTACATTATAATGCATCAAACAGCTTCTCAGTCTTTCCTTCATTTTCCATATGGATGCCCTCTTAACCTGAGGCAGGTGTTGGCTTCTTTTCCGGTTACCTTCCGTCATGGATGCCCTCTTAACCCTTCCTCAGTTCTAGCACAATACACTTAGCTAGGCTGTTGAGCTGATGCCTTCCCTATATCCTTCTGGAGCCCCGGGTTTCTTTACCTCCTGCTGGGCAGCCCTCTTATTCAGATGCTACCTTCTCTCTAGAACTCTTGACACCCCACCCTGGCTTACTCCTTTAGGCAATGTGCTCCCTGCCCTGCTGGTGTTGTGCCTTCCCTTGCCTGGTTGCTTCCCTTTGTGCATATTTCTCATCTTCCTCAGGTTACAACAAACTGAGCCAGGCAACCCTCTGTGAGGATGCCCTTCTCTGGCTGCCCAGGCTCCAACATGTCAAGCCACACACCAAATGAATGATTTTCAACCCCCACTCTAGGTCCAGCTGCCTCCGATCGTTTGCCCTCTCCTCCAGGCAGAAGCCTTCTCACCCTTTTCAGGCTCTGAATCTCTACACAGAGAAGCCTTTAGTGTACCTAACCTTCCTTACCTTGCACATACTCAGAAACTTTATGTCAAAGCACAACCCACTTGCCTCTTCCTTGTTGTTTCAGGTAGACGCCTTATCACTTTTTTGGAATTCTGACTTCACGAACTGGGCAGCTCTCCTACCTACCCTTCCTACCCTTCTTATGCTCTGACATCCTGCAACAAATTGCACTATGTTGTTGGCTGTAGGTTTTTTATAGATGCTTTTTTTTGGTAGTTAGAAGTTCCATTCTATTCCTAGTTTGTTCAATGCTTCTTATAAAAAGTGTTAGATTCTGTCAAAGACATTTTGTGTATCTGTTGAGATAATAATATTAATATGTTAATCAGTCTAGGTACAGGCTTGTTAGTAGTGTTGATCTTTTCAAAGAACTGGCTTTTGATTTTATTGTGTTTTCACAGTTGTTTTCTTATTGTCTATTTCATTAAGTTCTTCTATAATTCTTTTTATTTTTTTCTTTCTGCTTGTTTTACGTTTAGTTTGCTTTTTTGCTTCCAGGGTCATAAGGTGGGAGGTTTAGTTCTTGATTTGAAGTCCTCTTTTTAAATACAAACATTTACACGTATAAGTTTCTAAGTGCCTTAACTGCTTATATTTTGGTATTTGTGCCTTTGTTCATCTCAAAATATTTTGTAACTTCCCTTTTGATTATTTCTTCTTTGACACATCGGTTATTTAGGAATGTGTTTATTTCCACATATTTGTGAATTCCTCAAATTCCCATATACTATTGGTTTCTAACATTCCAGTTTGGACAGATCATATACTTTGTATTATATCTGTCTTCATACATTTATTGAGGTTTATTTTATGACCTGAGTTTGGTCCATCCAGGAGAATGTTTTGTGTGTACATATTTTTTGGAAACAGGGTCTCTCCTTCTGTCACCTAAGCTGGAGTGCAGTGGTGCAGTCCTAGCACACTGGAGCCTTAGACTCCTGGGCTCAAGTGATCCTCCTGCCTCAGCCTCCTGAGTATCTGGGACTATAGGCACAAGCTACTGTGTCTGACTAATTTTTCAGTTTTTTACAGAGACAGGGTCTTGCTAGCTCAGGCTAGTTTTGAACTCCTGGCCTCAAGTGATCCTCCTACCTCAGCCTCCCAAAGTGTTGGGATTACAGGCATAAGCCACTGAGCCCAGCTATGTGTACTTTAGAAGAATGTGTATTCTGCTGCTTTGGGATGGTGTGTTCTAGAGTTGTCTGTTAGTTCTGTTTGGTTTTTGTTCAAGTCTTCAGTTTCCTTCTTGATTTAATGAATGGAAAGTTGAGTATTGAAGTGCCCAACTATTATTGTTAACTTGTCTATTTCTCCCTTCATTTCTTCAGATGTTGCTTCATGTATTTTGACACTCTGCTGTTAGGTGCATATATGTTTACAATTGCTATATCCTCCTCATGATTGGCCCTTTTATCATTATCCAATGTCTTTTTAATATCTAGTAATATATCTTGTTTTAAAGTCTGTTTTGTCTGATATTAGCACAGCCATTCCAGCTTTCTTGTGATTTATTGATATTTTTCCCATTTAATTTACTTTAAATATGTTTTTATCTTTGAATATTCTATAAAGAGTATGTTATTGAATCTTACTTTATTATCCAGTCTGACAATCTCTGCCTTTTGATTGGATTGGTTATTTCATTGATCTTTAATGTGTTTATTGATAGGTTTCCATGTGTCATTTTACTTTTTGTTAGCTATGTGTCTCATGTTCTTTTTATTTCTTTATTTCTTCTTTACCACTTTCTTTGGATTATGTGCTTATTTTCTTATATAGCATTTTCAATTTTTAAATAATTTTTTTTCACTGAAAAAAACATTTCCTTAGTGATTGCACTAGGGCTTACCATATACATCTTAACTCACTGGAATCAGCCTCAGATTTATACTAATTTTATCCTAGTGAGTTATATAAATGTTACTTCTATATAGCTCTATTTGTTTTCTCCATTTTTTGTGACATTGTTACACATATAGTATCTGTATATGTTACGAACCCAACATGACATAATTATTACTTCCTATAATTGTGTATTTTAAAGAAGCTGAGAGAAGAAAGGCGATACAGTATATGTTTGTAGATTTTATTATATTGATCTTCTGATTTATCATTTATGAATCTCTTCATTTGTTTCTGCGGATTCAGTTACCACTTGGAGTCATTTCCTTAGCTCAGTATAACTTTGCTTCCATCCACCTTCTTTGTTATGCTGAAGTGGTCCGTATTGAAAAGCATGCATAATACTCTACTCATTTGAGTATAATTGGTACAAAATATATTCATACCTTCTTTTCTTCTTTTAAAATAATTATAACAGTTTTAATGAAGTGTAATTTACATGCCATACAACTCATTAAGTGTACAAGTCAATTATTTTTTATAAACTTACAAAGTTGTGCAGACATCACTACAATTTAATTTTAGAACATTTCTATCACCCCAGAAGGATCCTACCTACCTATTTGCAATCACTCCTCATTCTCATCCGTGTCCTATTCATACAGTTTTAGATAACAATTCTTCCTCTGAAAATCCTTTTGAAAGAAATAATACAATAAATATTGATATTTATATAAAGGCTTATATTTTTATGTAAAATTTTTTCTTTTTAAATGTTTTTTAAAGTCAGGGTCTCACTGTGTCACCCAGGGTGGAGTGCAGTGGTATGATCATGACTCATTGTGGCCTCAAAATCCTGGGCTCAGTGATCCTTCCACTTCACCTCCTGAAGAGCTGGGACTACAGGCATGTGACACCACACTCGGCTAATTTTTAATTTTTTGGTAGAGATGGGGTCTCTCTCTGTGTTGCCCAGGTTGATCTCAAACTCCTGGCCTCAAGTGGTCCCCCACCTTGGCCTCTCAAAGTGCTAAGATTACAGGTGTGTGCCATTGTGCATGTCTGCCTTTATATATAAACTTAAAGACATAGAAATAATCTAATACTACAAATAAGGGGAGATAAGAAAATTAGTTTTATTTAATGGATTCCATGTTTATATTTAAATTACATTATACACTTTTTTAACCTGAAAGTGTTAGATTTCATTACATAAACTTGTTTTCCTCCTACAAACCAAAATAGGGTATGTTATGTATCATGGACTCAGAAAAACTAAGACCAATGTATTTCCAAATAAGAATAGGTTTTATTAAACATCTTACATTTCCACAAAAGTATTTTAAATCTTTTAAGATAATATACTAAAACTTGTTAATTCCAGTGTAAGCAAGATGAACAAAATGAAAGCAGGAGTTTTGTTCTAGACAATGGGATGTACAAATGTTTCAGCATTTGTAAAATGCAGACACGGAAAGCTGATTTAGTGTTTAACAACATATCTTGTGTGTTTTAATTCAGTCATTGTTTTTTTGAATGCAGATATGCTGAGTTCTTAAGCATTCTAGTGATAACACTACCCTCCTCGTTCAAAAAAAAAGTATTATCAATGAAATACTTCAGACTACAGCATACACAAATTTTTAATTATTCATGTTGCTCTTGTCTTGGCACATGCCTAATAATTAATAGTTTGCATCCAGTTTTGTATTAGTCTCTACACACTAGTCCAGAAGTAAAAACTGACATGATTGGTCTTCACAGTGTTAAAATGTTTTAATTAAATTGTAAAATATAGTGCTTTTAGATAAAAATTCGGATTTCATGTTTCTCTTGAAAAATATGGAAGAACTAGCAACATTGAACAATTGACTTGAACTGAGGAGTAGGGGCCACTTTTAGGAAGGACAAACATTCTCTAGTTTGAGGAAGTCCCCATCTGGCCAAATTCGCTTACATGCATATCTGTGTGCCTCCTGTAAGAACTTGAGTTTGGGACATTTGATTTAACCCTATTATAACATTGAGTGAGAAAACTGGAGCCACATCAGCTAAATGACTTCCTAAGCTGAGAAAGATTAGTGGCAGAGTCAGGATTTTAAGATGATTTCACTAGTGATACATTGAATATGGACTATAAATCAAAAGACTTAGAATTACATGCTGGCCCCTTCCCTTCTAAATCTTAATTTCTTAACATTAAGCTTTCATAGTTGTAAGTTGAAAGTAATAGTAATATTGATATGTGATGACTGCAAAGGTTAAATATCATTTATCATTATTAGACTCATATCTGCAGAGCAATTTTAACCACGTCTAACAATACCTTTCTTGTTATAGATGGCATATGTTTAGTTGTCTTTCATAAAAAGTAATAACATGTTTTAACAAACTTATCTTCTGAGTTTAGTATGTATATTGTGATATTATTGTTGAGTAGCATTGGTATTTCATAGGTTGATTTGCTTTTTAGTAAAGATATGAATATTTTTGCATATTAACTTTTTATAGCCTCAAATGATAGTCTTTTTTGTAAGTAATTCACGTGTCAGGCACTGTTTATTTACATAAATACTTTTTAAAATATTAACAAGAAAAGTTAAACTTATGCTATGATGTAGTCAAGTACAATCCTATTATATATAAAATCAGGTTTGATATTTTTTTCTAATGAAATGATTTTGCCAGTAATCAAAAACTTTAAATTAGAAAATGAAGATCTGAGCATCTTTATTGGCATAATAAAACTTAACTCTCATTGAATTGAAGTGACTATAACGAAGTAAGTAACACCACTGAATAGTCCCTGACACATGAAAGGTACACAAGTACTTTCTTATTGCAAATGTTTCTCTGCTTTAAAACTTTGGCTTTTTAATTGTTGCTTTTAAAAACAGGGTTTACCTTAGTTTTATTTTTTCAGAGTACCTTCAAGTTTAAATCTAAGAGTGATATTCATTTGGCAGAACATCATAAACAGGTTTTATATGATGGGAAACTTGCAAGTAGCATTGCCTTTACATATAATTGCTAGGGCCACTGATACTCAACTCTGCCTGGAATCATCACCAAAAGAGGATGCATCAATTTTTGTGCATTCCCAACATGCTCTAATGCTTCCGGTGGGTGAATCATGGCTTTGTTTTCATGTTCTTGTCAGAATTTAACAATATTTTTATTTTATATATCAAACATTGCTCATCTATAAATCTGTGACTTTTTGTTTCTTTTTGGCTTTTGCAGATCTTTTAAGTGAAACTTTAAAGAATGTCTATCTTTTCTGTAGCAATATGCTCTACCCTGGCCTTGTCTCCTTAGTAGGAAATCTGTCATACCTATTATCTTATATATTATACAGCCTTTCAAATTAAATCAATTAACTGAATAAGTTAGTTGTTAGACATAAAAACATACTTTGCTTTAAGATTGTATTACTAATATTCTGTAACATTAAAATTACTTGTCTTTAAATCCATCAATAGTATTTCTGATTTTAAAATAACATTTGATTTTAACTTCATATTTTTAGTGTAAAAAAAAATCTTAGGTTGACCTAAGATTTGAAATTTAAAAGTGATTAGCAAAGGTACTCACTTTTTTGTCTTACATGTGTATAAAAATTATAATTGAGGGCTTAAAAAATTTCCAACTATGTTATTTAATTCCCTTATAAACGTATTTGGACCAAGGAAATAGTGATGAAAATCATTCTATAGAAGTTTAATAAACATTTTTGTTTTTAGACATAGGATGTGAAAGGGATAGTAACACATTCAATTCATAGTGCAATTCATTCAATTGGACAGATTCAAGTGCTTTTTCCACTGTTTCCCCAGTTGGATAATTGGCAGCTCAATGACAGTCAAGTGGAAACAACTGTCTGGTAAGTTTTCTTTACATGTACAATTGCTGGTATTTTATACACACTTAGACTATACATGATGTACTCAGTGCTGTGTAAATGTATTACAGTATTTGGGTTCTGCCCTTAAAGTGCTAATACATTTTTTAGAACTAATGCAGATAGATATTTATACAATAAATAAAGAAAACCCTGACATTTAGGTTGTTATACTATAAAGGAATGCCTTTTGTGACAATAAATAGAAAATCCTTAACAAAGATAGCATAGTGATTATAATATACTATGTTGAGGTAAAATATGAATCCTGACCTTATCATTTGCATATACTCATGGTTCGAATTGTCCATGAAACCCTGTCAGGTTGAAGAAAATTACTAGGGTAAAATTATTCAGAAGAATAATATTTATTAGCAATTACATAATTTATATCATAAAGACTGGTATTATTTTATGATGCTTTTGTCGTGGCATAAGTCTAGCATAATATTAATTGACATCAACCCTTATTTATATATAGTTTATGTTTGAGGACTCAAATCTAACTAGTGGCAAATCCAAGTTTATGTAAAAATTAAGTCTCTTCTAATGAGTGTAATTTCATGTGCATTTTTATAGCTTCTCTTTTATTTAAAAAAACCTTATGTGCCAGACTCTAATTTACTGTTATATCTTAGAATTATATATACAAGAATTTAAAAATGAACTCTAGTAGCTATTTTGACTATACACATTGCCATGCTTGGGGATTTTAATGGGCAAGTTATATAGATAAGCATTAATTTTTATTCCAAAAGTAACATAGTAGTGCTTCATCAGTATATATACATATACATGAGCTCCTTCATGGGTTATCTAATTTTGAATTGATGGTGAATCTAGTGAATGAAGGTATGGGAAAAATTTAAGGTACAATGAAGTGTAATACATGCTTTTTCTCATAATTATTATCTAAATTAGGTATTGATGAAATTCAATTTTAGTATTTCTAATAATATTATTTCTGTTTTGGGAACATCTTTATGTAAAGTATAAATCTAAATATAGATAAGGAATTTGTACATTTATAACATTACCTCCCGTCTACGGGTCTTGCCGCCGTTTATATCAATATAGTGTAAAGGTTGGAGTTTTGAAAGTAAAAAACTTTGATGTGAAAAGGAATCCTGAGGTTATGTCCTGCTGTGATACTATTTTGTTTGTGAGATCTCAAATAATCTAATTGGAAGGTAGCTCAGCTTAGTGGAAAAATCAAACTTAAAATTTCTTTCCTTTATTTAAATTCGAAATGTTTTGCTATTTATCATCTCAGTGAACTAAGACACATTATGATCAGTAATTTAAAATCTAGTCAGTACTATGAAAAGAAGTGGGAGATGAAGTAGCCACTAGAAAAATCCATGTATAATTTTTCTTATGAAATAATATGAAATACATATATTATCAAATCTTACTGCTAAAACCATATGTCATAGGTTATCTGGTTCATTAATACAAGATGCATGGTTACTTTTTACTGTCCTTCCTCAAAACTCATTTAATATGTATATCATATCTTGGTATTTAAATTGTATTTATTTCATCATGGAGATAAAAGAGAGTGTGAGGAGTCAGCATACTTATTTTCATTTTGATTTTAGTTCTTTTATATCATTCATCCTAATGTTTCCCTGTATTAACTAATTCCAACTTTTTCAGTGATGCCTATTACGTCTTTAGTTTCTTTCTTTATTTATTTAAGATGGACTCTTACTCTTTTGTCCAGGCTGGAGTGCAGTGCTGTGATCTCTTGACTCACTGCAACCTCGGTTTCCCAGACTCAAGCAATTCTCCTGACTCAGCCTCCCAAGTAGCTGGTGAGGCACCTGGGGCAGAGAAAAAAAAAAAACAAAACAAAAACCTCGGGTGCAGAGGAGTGGGGCCTGGGTCCCTCACAGACGAAAGTGCCTTCCCATCAGCCCCTTCGCTGGGCCCAGTGGACCCTGGCGTCCCTGGTTCCACCCCAGGATGCGCCTCAGGCCGCTAGGGGTACCTCAAGGCGGACAAAAGGCCCATGAGGGGAAGGTGAGGTTTGAGGGAGGATAGGTGAGGCACCTGTGGCAGGAAAAAAAAAAAAGCGCCACGGAGAAGGGGGGGCCTGTGTCCCCCATGCACGAAAATGCCTTCCCATCAGCCCCTGCGCTGGGCCCCGTGGACACTGGCAACACTGTTTCGAGCACAGTGTGTGCCTCGGGCCTGATAGGGGTACCCCAAGGAGGGCAGAAGGCCAATGAGGGGAAGGTGAGGGACCTGGGGCAGAGAGAAAAAAAAAAAACGCACCTTAGAGAAGCGGGGCCTGGGTACCCACGGACGAAGGTACCTTCCCATCAGCCCCTGCGCTGGGCCCCGGCGACCCTGGCGTCCATGGTTCGAGTCAAGGGAGCGCCTTGGGCCGCTAGGAATACCCCAAGTCGGACAGAAAGCCCATGATGGGAAGTTAACGTTTGAGAGAGGAGAGGTGAGGCATCTGTGGCAGAAAACAAAACAAAACAAAACAAAACAAAACAAAACAACAAAAAAAAGCCGCGCCTAGGAGAAGCTGGGCCTGGGTCCCCCACGGAGGAAAATGCCTTCCCATCAACCCCTGCGCTGGGCCCTGTGGACCCTGGTTCGAGCCCCGGGTGCGCCTTGGGCCCGCTAGGGGTACCCCAAGACGGGCAGAAATCCCATGAGGGGCAGTTGAGGTTTGAGGAAGGTGAGGTGAGGCACCCGGGGCAGAAAAAAAAAAAAAACCGCACCACGGAGAAGCGGAGCCTGGGTCCCCAACGGACGAAAGTGTCTTCCCATTAGCCCTTGCGCTGGGCCCAGGGGACCCTGGCGTTCCTGGTTCGAGACCAGGGTGCGCTTCAGGCCGCTAGGGGTACCGAAAAGCGGACAGAAGGCCCATGAGGGGAAGGTGACGCACCTGGGGCAGACAAAAAAACCAACAACCGCGCCGCAGATAAGCGGGGCCTGGGTCCCCTACAGAAGAAACTGTCTTCCCATCAGCGCTTGCGCTGCACCCCGGGGACCCTGGTATCCCTGGCTCGAGCCCAGGGTGCGCCTCGGCCTGCTAAGGGTACCCCAAGGCAGACGGAAGGCCCATGAGGGAAAGGTGAGACACCTGGGGCAGAGAAAAAAAATAAAAAACTGCGGCGCCCAGAAGTGGCGCCTGGGTCCCCCACGGACCAACGTCCCTACCCATCAGCCCTACACTGGGCCCCAGAGACCCTAGCGTCCCTGGCTCGAAACCAGGGTGCGCCTCTGGACCGCTAGGGGTATCTCAAGGCGGGCAGAAAGCCCATGAGGGAAAGGTGAGGCACCTGGGGAAAAGCAAAAAAAAAAAAAAACAACAAAAGAACAACAACAAAAAATCACCGCAGAGAAGCAGAGCCTGGGTCCCCAAGGAAGAAAGTGTCTTCCCATCAGCCCTTGCGCTGGGCCCCAGGGAACCTGGTGTCCCAGTTTCGAACCCAGGGTGTGCGTCTGGCCACTAGGGGTAACCCAAGTCTGACAGAACGCCCATGAGGGGAAGGTGAGGTTTGAGGGAGGAGAGGTGAAGCAACTGTGGCAGAAAAAAATAAAAAACACCACGCCGCGGAGAGGGCAGAGAAAAAAAAAAAAAAAAAAAACCCTGCCGCGGAGAAGCGGGGCCTGTGTCCCCCACGGACAAAAGTGTCTTCCCATCAGCCCCTGAGCTGGGCCCAGGGGACCCTGGCATCCCTGGTTCAAGACCAGGGTGCACTTCAGGCCTCTTGGGGTACCCCATGGTGGGCAGAAAGCCTATGAGGGGAAGGTGAGGTTTGAGGGAGGAGAGGTAAGGCACCTGTGGCAGAAAAAAAAAAAAACAAACCGCGCCACAGAGAAGCAGGGCCAGGGTCCCCCACGGACGAAAGTGCCTTCTCATCAGCCCCTGCGCTGGGCCCCGGGGACCCTGTCATCCCTGGCTCGAATCCAGGGTGCGCCTCTGGCCTGCTAGGGGTTACCCAAAGCGGGCAGAAGGCCCATGAGGGAAAGGTGAATCACCTGGGGCAGAAAAAAAACAAACAAAAAAAAAAACAAAAAAAAAACCGCGCTGCGGAGAAGCGGGACCTTGGTCCCCCACCAGTGAAAGTGTCTTCCCATCGACCCTTGCGCTGGGCCCCGGGGTCCCCGGCGACCCTTATTCGAGCCCAACACCTGCCTGGGGCCGCTAGGGGTACCCCAAAGCGGGCAGAAGGCCCATGAGGGGAAGGTGACCCACCTGGGGCAGAGGAAAAAAAAAACACGCCTCGGAGAAGCGGGGCCTGGGTCCCCCACGGAAGAAAGTGTCTCCCCATCAGCCCTTGCGCTGTGCCCCGGGGACCCTGGCATCCCTGTTTCGAGCCCAGGGTGTGCCTCGGGCCGCTAGGGGTACCCCAAGGTGGACAGAAGGCCCATGAGGGGAAGGTGAGGCACCTGGGGCAGAGGAAAAAAAAAAGAACTGCACCGCCGAGAACCGGGGACTGGGTCTCCCACGGACGAAAGTGTATTCCCATGAACCCTTGCGTTGAGCCCCAGGGACCCTGGCGTCCCTGTTTCGAGTCCAGTGTGCGCCTAGGGTGGCTAGGGATACCCCAAGTCGGACAGAAGGCCCATGAGGGGAAGTGAGGTTTCAGGGAGTAGAGGTGAGGCACCTGTGGCAGGTGTCCATCTGTAAACTGCTTATCCATGCGAGCCCTGATGTCCACCAGGGGCTGGATGTCCCCCTGGGGCTAGATGTTCGCCTGGAGCCTGGTGTCTACCTGGGGCCTGATATCCAGGAGAGGCTTAGTTATCCACCTATGGCCATCTGGAGCCAGATGCCCACCTGAGGTTTGGTGTAAACCTAAGGCCTGATCTCTACCTGGGGCTTGGGTGTTCATGTGGGGCCTGATGTCCACCTAAGACTATGTGTTCACCTGGAGCCTGGGTGACCATCTGGGTTATGACGTTCAGCTGGGGCCCAGAGTTCAGCTGGGGACTGGGTCAACCTTCTGCCTGATGCACACCTGGGGACTAGGTACCCACCTGGGCTCCCGTGTTCACTGCAGCCTGATGTCTTACCTGGGGCCATGTGTTTACCTAGGACCAATGCATCCACCTGGGGTCTGAGTGCCCTCATGGAGCCTGGAGTTTTCCTGGGGCCTGGGGTCTGCCTTAGGCTTAAGTGTACATCTGTGGCCTGATGTTCCCCTTGGGATGGATGTCCACCTGGGGACAGATATTCAGTAGGGGCCTGAGTGTCCACCTGGTTTGTGATGTCTACCTGGGGCCTGGTGTTCATCTGAGGTTTGATATCCACCTGGGGCCTGGACATTTGTCTGGAACCTGATGTACAGCTGGTGCCTGAAGTTCATGAATGCCTGGTGTCCCCCTGGGGCCAGGTAGTCAACACAGGGCCTGAAGACTTTCTAGAGTTCAGTGTTCACCTGGGGCCTGAAGTCCACCTAGGGCTTGGGTGTCCAAATAGGGCCTGGTGTCAGCTTGAGATTTGTGTATTTACCTAGGGACTGGTTTTCCACTTGGGGTTTTTTTTTACTTGGTTTTTGTGTTAATCTGGGGTCTAGTGTCCACCTGGGGCCTAGGTATCCACCTAGGGACTATTGTCCAGCTGGAGACTAATGACTACCTATGGCCTGGTAATCACCTAAGGCTTTGTTTCACTTAGGTACTTGGTGCCAAACTGTTGCCTGCTGTTCACCTGGGCTATGGTGTCCACCTGGGGTCTGGATGTCAGCCTGGGGCTTGTTGTATACCTGTATCTTAGATATCCAGATAGGGGTCTGTTTTCTACTTAGGTGCAGCAGTCCATCTGGTGCTTGAGTGTCGACCTAAGGCCTGATGTCTATGTTGGACCTAGGGTTCACCTGAGGCCTGATATCCACCTGGGGCCTCAATGTCCAAATGTGGCCTGATGCCCATCTGGGCGCTGGGTGTCCACCTGCAACATGGATGTCCACTGGTACTTTATGTCCACCAGGGGCCTAATGTCCACCTAAGACCTGGTGTTCACCTGGGGTCTAATGTTCAGCTGAAGACCGGATGTCCACCTGGAGCCGAGGAATCCACCCAGGGACTGGTGTTGAACTGGGGCCTGATGACTACCCGGGGACAAGGTACACACCAAGCTTGATGTCCACCTGTCACCAGATGTCCACCTGAGTCCTGATGTCCATCTTGATCCTGGGTGTCCACTTTAGGCCTGATGTCCAGCTGGGGCATAGGTTCCCACTGGGGGCTTCCTGTTAACCTGGGGACTGGTGTCATTCTGGGGCCTAATGACCACGTGGGTTGTGTTATTCACCTAGGGCCTGGTGTCCACTTGGGGCTTGAGTGTAACCCTGGACCTGGCACCCACATAGGACTTGGGTATCAAACTGGCCCCTTGGTGTCCAGTTAAGACATCATGTGAACCTGGTGCCTGAGTGTCCACTTGGGGCCAAATGACTACTGGGGGCCTGAATGTCAACCTAGAATCTGAGGTTTACTAGGGGCCTAGGTATCCACCTGGGGCCCAATGTCCACCTGAGCCTGGGTGTCAACCTGGGGCCTGGTGTAAACCTCTAGTTCAGTGTCCACCTTGGGCTTGATGTCAACCTGGAGCCTGATGTCCACCTGAGTACTGATGTCCATCTTGATCCTGGGTGTCCACTTTAGGCCTGATGTCCAGCTGGGGCATAGGTGCCCACTGGGGGCTTCCTGTTAACCTGGGGACTGGTGTCATTCTGGGGCCTAATAACCACATGGGTTGTGTTATTCACCTAGGGCCTGGTGTCCACTTGGGGCTTGAGTGTAACCCTGGACCTGGCATCCACATAGGACTTGGGTATCAAACTGGCCCCTTGGTGTCCAGTTAAGACATCATGTGAACCTGGCGCCTGAGTGTCCACTTGGGGCCAAATGACTACTGGGGGCCTGAATGTCAACCTAGAATCTGAGGTTTACTAGGGGCCTAGGTATCCACCTGGGGCCCAATGTCCACCTGAGCCTGGGTGTCAACCTGGGGCCTGGTGTAAACCTCTAGTTCAGTGTCCACCTTGGGCTTGATGTCAACCTGGAGCCTGATGTCCACCTGAGTACTGATGTTCACCTTTGACCTGATGTCCACCTGTGGACTGTTTATCCACCCATGGCCTGATGTTCACCTGGGGCTGAATGTCCAACTGTGACCTGTTGTGCACCTGGAACCTAGGCATCCACCTGCAGCCTGATGTTCAGCTGGGCTGGGACCCGGAGTTCACCTGAGGCATGATGTCCACCTGAAGCTTGATGTTCACCTGGGGGCTGGGTGTCCACTTGGGGCCCAATATCCACCTGGAGACTAGGTACCCACCTGGGATCTGGTGTTCCCTCAAGATTGGTGTTCAGCTGTGGCCTAATGACCACCTGGGTCATGGTGTCTACCTTGGACTGGGTGCTCACCTGGAGCCAGTGTTCACTGGGGGCCTAGTGTGCACCTGAGACTGGGGGATGCACCTGGGGTCTGATGTCTACCTGGTGCCTAGGTATCCATTTGGGGCCTAATGTTCATCTGGAATCTGATATCCACCTGGGGCCTTGTAATTACCTGGGGTCTGGGCATCCACCTAGGGCTTGAGTATCCTTCTGGGGCCTTGAGTTTTACTGGGGACTCGTGTCTGCCTTGGACCTGGGTGTACATCTGTTGCCTAATGTACACCTTGAGAGTGATGTCAACCTGGGGACAGTTGTCCTCTTGGGGTCTGAGTGTGTACCTGGTGCCTGATGTCTGCCTGGGGACTTGTGTTCACTTGAGACCTGATATCCACCTGGGGCCTGGGTGTCCACGAAGGGCTGATGTTCAGCTGGAGACTGGATATCCACCTGGGGCTTAGGGATCTATCCAGAAACTGATGTCAAACTGGGACCTGATGTCTACTACCTGGGGACTAGGTATCCATGTGAGGCTTGATGTTCATCCGCGGCCAGACGTCCATCTGATGCTTGATGTCCGCCTCAGTCCTGGGTGTCTACTGGAGACCTCATGTCCAACTAGAGCTTAGGAACCTACTGGGGGCCTCGTGTAAACCTGGGGACTGGTATGCAGCTGGGTCCTAATGATCCCCTGGGTCATATTATTCACCTAGGGCCTGGTGACACTTAGGGCTTGAGTGTCAACCTTAGGTCTTGTGTTCATCTTTGACCTGGTGTCCACCTGGGACTTGGGTATCGACCTGAGGACTTGGTGTCCAATTGAGGTGTCATGACCACCTGGGGACTGAATGTCAATCTGGGGTCTGATGTAAACCTCTAGTTCAGTATACACCTGGGCATGGTCTTCACTTGGGGCCTGCTGTCTACCTGGGCCTTGCTGTCAACCTGGGGCCCGATGTAAACCTCTAGTTCAGTATCCACCTGGGGCCAGATGTCTTCCTAGAGACTTATATTCACTTTTGACCTGATGTCCACCTGGGGACTTGCTATGCATCCATGGTCTGATATTCACCTGGGGACAGATGTTCAACTGTGGCCAGAAGTGCACCTGGGGTCTGGGCTTCCACCTAGAGCCTGATGTTTAGCAGGGGCTAGAGTTTACATGGAGAATGATGTCCACCTGAAGTTTGATGTTTACCCGGGACCTGATACCTGCTTGGTGCCCAAGTATTCTCATGTGCCTAATGTCCACTAGTTGGCCTGGTGTTCATCTGAGGGCTTGGTGTCAACCAGTGGCTTTACATACACCTGGATTCTAGTGTCCTCGTGGGGCCTTATGCCCACCAGGAGTCTGGTGTACCCCTGGGGTCTAGTATCCACCTGGAGTCTGGGTGTCCACCTGGAGCCTAATGTTGAGGTTAGACTGAGTGTCAGCCTGAGGCCTGATGTCTACTTAGGGCATAGGTATTCACCTGGGGCTTGTTGTTTACCTGGGGACTAATGTCAACCTTGAGCCTAGGTATCCACCTGGGGAATAGTATCCAGTTGCAGCCAGATGTCCACCTATGGCCTGAAGCATGGTTGTTATCCTAAGACCTTGTATTAGTCCATTTTCACACTGTTATAAAAAACTACCTGATATTGGGCAACCTATGAGGAAAAGAGGTTTAACTGACCCACAGTTCTTCAGGCTTAATAGGGAGCATGACTGGGCATGCTCGGGACACTTACAATCATGATGTAAAGCCAAGAGGAAGCAAGCCCTTTTTACCATGGGGGAGGAGGAGGGAGAGAGAAGGGGGATGTGCTACACACTTTCAAACAAACAGATCTCATAAGAACTCTATCACGAGAACAGCAAGTGGGAAGTCTGCCCCCATGATTCAATCACCTCTCACCAGGCCCCTTCTTCAACCCATGTGGATTACAATTCAACATGAGATTTGGGTGGAGACATAGAGCCAATATCAGGCCTGATGCCCACCTGGAGTCGTGTCTACCTGAGGCCTAATGTAGACATGAGGCCTGGGCATCCACCTAGGACCTCATGTTAAGATAGGGGCTGGAGTTCTTTTGGTGTCTAGTGTATACCTGGGGCCCAGATGTAAAACTAGAGCCTGATGTTTCGGATGGAAACCTGGGCCCCAGGTGCTCATCAGATCCTAGGTGAAAACTCAGGCTTCAGGTGCACGTCAGACTCCAAGTGGACACATAGGCCCCAGGTTGACACTAAGATTTCAGGTAGACTCTGGGTCCCAGAAAAACACCCCGCCCTAGGTGGACAGCTGAACCTGAGTAGACTTCAGGCCCCAGATTGACATCTGGCCCCAGGTAGATTCCTAGGCCCAAGGTGAATACTCAGTCTCCAGCCCTAGGGGAATTCAGTCTTAGGTGACTAAGGACTGGTGTTCCTCTGGGGCCTCATGTCTACCTGGGCCCTGGGAGTGCACATGGAGCCAGATGTCTATAAAGGGCCTGAGTGTCCACTAGGGCCTGAGGTTCACCAGAAGCATAGACACCCACCTAGGACCTCGTGTTCACCTAAAACCTGGTGTTCACCTGGGGCCTGGGTGACAACCTGGGATCTGATGTTCACCTGAGGCCCAGAGTTCAGCTGCTGCCTATGTCAGCCTGGCACCTGATGCACACGAGAGGACTAGGTGCCCACCTGAGGACTGGTGTTCTTGGGGAACTGGTGTTCAACTGTGGATTGATGACCAACTGGGTCCTGGTGTCCTCCTGGAACCTGATGTCCACCTGGGACTGCATGCTTACCTAGGGTCTGGTGTTCCTCTGGGACCTGGTGTACCCCTCAGACCTGGGGTCCACCTGGGCCTAGTATCCACTTGGGGCCTCATATCCATCTGGAACATCATGTCCATTTGAGGCCTTGTAGTTACCTAGGGACTGGGTGTCCTTCTGACCCTTGAGTGTCCTCCTGGGGCCTGGGGTTCTCCTGGGGCCTGGGTGTACATCTCTGGCCTGATGTCCACCTTGGGATGGATGTCCACCTGGGGACAGATGTTCACTTGTGGCCTGAGTGTCCATCTCGTGTCTAATGTCTACCTGGGGCCTGGTGTTTGCCTGAGGCCTGATATCCACCTGGGGCCTGGGCATCCATTTGAGGCCTGATGTCTACCTAAGACCCGGTGTTTAAGTGGGGCACAGACTTCTTCCTGGAGCCCGACATTCATCTGGAGCCTGAAGTTCACCTATGCCTGTTGTCTACCTGAGGCCTATGTGTCAACCTAGGGCCTGAAGACCACCCTGAGTTCAGTGTTCACCTGGGGCCTGACATCTGCCTAGAGTCTGGGTGTCCACATAGGGCCTGATGATGGCTTGGGACCAAAGTATTTACCTAGGACCTGGGTGTCTACTTAGAGCCTGACTTCTACATGGTTCATTGTGTCAACCTGGGACCTGATGTCCACTTAGGGCCTAGGTAAGCTCCTTATGACTAAAGCCCACATGGGGGCTGAAACCAGCTCACACCTTGTGTTAACCTAGGGCTTAGTGTCCACCTGAGGCCTGCCTGGGACCTAGTGACCCCCTGGGGTCAAGGTATCCACCTTGGGCCTGATGACCAATTGGGGCTTAAGGATCTACCTAGAGACTGGTGTCAACCTGGAACCTGATGTCCACTTGGGGTCTGGTGTACACCTTGGGCCTGATGCCCACCTGGGCATGGGTGTACACTTTGGGCCTAGTGTGCACCTGAAGCCTGGGTGTCAACCTGGGTCTTGATGCACACCTTTAGTCAGGTGTTTAATTGGGGCCTGATGAAATACTGGAGCCTGATTTACACCTGTGTACTGGGTCTCCACCTGGGGCCTGATGTCCACCTGCAGCCAGATATCCACCTGGCACCAGAGGTCTACCAGGAATCTGGGTGTCCACCTTGAAAATGATGTATTCCAAGAGACTAGGCATGCACATTGGGCCTGGGGTCCACCTGGGTCCTGATGTCTACCTGAGGCTGGTATTGAACTGGGGCCTGTGTGTTCACTTGGAGCCTGATGTTCATTTGGAACCTGGTGTTCACCTAGGACATGGGTATCCACCTGGATCCTGATTTTCAGGTGGGGAGTGGCTATAGACCTGGGACCTGATGGCCACCTATGCTATAAGTAACCCAACCACCTGGGGCCTGGTGTTCACCTGTGGCCTGATATCCACCTGGTACCTGTGTGTCAATCTAGTGCCTGGTGTTCACTTGAGGACTAGGTAGACCCCTGAGGCTTGGCGTTCACCAGAGACCTGGTGTTCATCTTGCACCCAGTGTCCACCTGGACCCTGTGTATCAACCTGTGGCCTAGGTGGCCACTTGGAGCTTTATGTGCACCTGGGGCCTGAGAGTTTCCTAGGATCTGATGACAACTGGGGCCCAGCGATCTACCTGGGACATCAGGCTCCAAGTGTACGCCCAGGCTCCATATGGGAACCAGGCCAGGAGAATGCCAGCCCTTATGTGAACATCAGGTCCTAGATGGATGCCCAGGTCCCATATGTACATCAGGTCCCAGGTATACACTGGACTCCAGGTGGACACCAGCACTCAGTTGGATACACACACTCAAGGTGGACACCAGGCCCCACGTGAATTCCTACACTCCAGGTGAACATCAGGTCCCAAGTGGATACCTGGACCCCAGGTGGATACCAGTCTCTAAATTAATACCAGGCCTCAGATGGTCCTTCGGAGCCATGTGGGCATTAGTCGTCAGGAAGTTACCTAGGCCCAAAGTGGACATCAGGCCCCATGTTGACACAAGATCCAGTTGGAAGTCAGGCCCCAGGTGGACACCCAGGCCCTAGGTAAATACTTAGGTTCCAAGTTGACAGCAGGCCCTATGTGAACACTCAGAACTCAGGTGGACATGAGGCCTCAGGTGGACATCTGAGTTCATCTGGAACCTCGTGTTACAGGCCCCATGTAAACACCGGGCCTTAGGTGGATACCCAATCTCTAGGTGGACATCAGAGCTCAGATTGACACAAAGACCCCAGTAGACATAATGTACCAATGAATATCCAGGCCCCTGGTAAATACCCAGGCCCCACATTGACACGAGGGTCTATGTGGACACACAGGCCCTGGGTAGAAAACAGTCCCAAGGCGGACACTGGACTGGACATCAGGTCCCAGGTTGACAACCATGCTTCAAGTTGACACCAGGCCCCAAGTGAACATCTGGCCCCAGCTGGACACTAGTCCTCTTGTGAATACCTAAGCTCAAGGTTGACATCAGGCCCCATGTGAACACTAGACCCCAGATAAACACTTATGCCCTAAGTGGACATCAGGCCTCAGGTGGTTACCCAGTCCCAAGGTGAACATCAGGACCGCGATGGGCACCAGTTATCAAGTGGATTCCCAGGCCCCAGGTGAATATCAAGCCCTAGGTGGATACCAGGCCCCAGGTGGATACCAGGATCCTGGTAGACATCAGGTCCCAAGAGGACCCTAGAACCCAGGAGTACATTAGGCCACATTAACACAAAGGTCCCAGATGAATACCAGGCCAATTGTGGACATCAGGCCTGAGAAGGGTCCTCAGGCTCCAGGTGGACATCAGGCGCCAGGTGAACATCCAGCACTCAGATGAACATTAAGCTTCAGGTAGACATCATGCCTCAGGTGAACTCCAGGCCCCAGCTAAACATCAGGCCCCAGGTGGATGCCCAGGTTCCGGGTGCACATCTGGCCACAGTTGGACATTCAACCCCAGGTGACCATCAGGCCATGGGTGAATACACGGTTTCCAGGTGGACATCAGATCAAAGGGGAACATCAGTCCTCCAGTGGACATCAGGCCCAAGGTGAACACTGAACTAGAGGTTTACATCAGGCCACACGTTGACACCTAGTCCCAGGTGGACATCAGGCCCCAGGTGGATACCTAGGCTCCCAGTGAATTTGACACCAGGTTGACATTCAGGCCCCCAGTGGTCATCTGGCCTCATGTGAACACTCAGACCCCAGGTGCACATGATGTCTCAACTGGACACCAAATCCCTAGTTTGATACCCAAGGCCCAGGTGGACACCAGGTCCAAGGCTGACACTCAAGCCCTAAATGAATACCAAATTCTAGGTGAATAATTCAACCCAGGTGTTCATTAGGACCGAGCTGGATACCAGTCCCCAGGTTAACACAAGGCCCCCGGTGGGCACCTAGGCACCAGCTGGACATCAGGTCCTATGTAAACACCCGGGTCTCAGGTGAAAACCATGTCCCAGGTGGACATCAGGCACTAGGTGGACACGGGGCCACAGGTGGACATCTAGCCATTGGGCGACATCCAGCCCCAGGTGGACATAACCGTTTCCATGGATAAACCATTCCCAGGTGGATATCAGGCCTCAAGAGGATGGCAGTCACCAGGTAGCCATCAGGACTCAGATAGACACCAAGGTCCCACATGTACAGCAGGCCCCAACTGAACCCCAGACTCATGTGGACATCAGGCCACAGGTAGACACCAAGCCTTAGGTAGATACCTAACTTCAGGTGGACATCAGACCCCAGGTGGACACCCAGTCCCCGGGTGGGCAATCAGGCCCCAGGCCCACATCAGGCCTTAAGTGGACACCCAGGCCCCAAGTTGATATCTGGCTCCCAGGTGATCACCAAGCCCCAGGTAGACACCAGCCCATAGGTGAGCAACAGGATGCGGTAGATCATCAGGCCACAGCTGGATACCAGTCCCCGGTGAACACAAGGCCCCAGTGGGACACAGATCTAAGGCAGACATCAGGCCCCAGGTGGACATACAGGCCTGAGGTGGAATTCACCCTGAGGGGGACATTCGGCCCCAGGTGCGCATCAGGCCTCAGGTGAATAACCAGTCCCCAGGTGGACATTAGCCTGCAGGTCAACCACAGTCCCCAGGTTGATACCTGATCTCCAAGTGGCTACCCAATCTGCAGGGTAACATTAGGCCCCTGTAGGATCCCAGGCTGCAAGTGGATTCCTAGGCCCCTGGTGAACATCAGGTGCAGTTGTCCAAGCAGGTCCTGGGTGGACATAACTGTGTACAGGTAAGGAGTTGACCTGTGGGGAGGGTGAGCAGTCAGCAGCCCACTGGGGTCCTGAGAAGGTTTTCTGGAAGGAGGAGGCCGAGGGGATGGAAACTTAAAGAAGCGACCTCACTTCCTTGCCAACAGACCCTAACAGAACTAAGAATTCTGGTAACCAGGCCAGGCACATTGGCTCACACCTGTAATCCCAGCACTTTGGGAGGCTGAGGCAGGAGGATCATGAAATCAGGAGATCAAGACCAGCCTGACCAACATGGTAAAACCACATGTCTGCTAAAAATACAAAAAACAAACAAGGTCAGCAAATCGAGACCATCCTGGCTAACACAGTGAAACCCCGTCTCTACTAAAAATACAAAAAGTATCCGGGCGTAGTGGTGGGTGCCAGTAGTCCCAGCTACTCGGGAGGCTGAGGCAGGAGAATGGCATGAACCCGGGACGCGGAGCTTGCAGTGAGCCAAGATCTCGCCACTGCACTCCATCCAGCCTGGGCGACAGAGCGAGACTCTGTCTCAGAAAAAAAAAAAACGAAAACAAACAAACACAAAAAAACTAGTCAGGTGTGGTGCTGTGTGTCTCATGTCTGTAATCCCAGCTACTCAGCAGACAGAGGCAGGAGAAGTGATTGAACCCAGTAGGCAGATGTTGCACTGAGCCGAGATCATGCCACTGCACTCCAGCCTGGCCAACAGAATGAGACTATGTCTCAAAAAAAAAAAAAAAAAAAAAAAAAAGAATTCCGATAACCAGGCACCCACATCCTAGAGTTAGCCCCGTAGCCAGCTCACTTGGTGGGAGACGCTCAAGAGAGCAAGATGTTCTTGTGCTGCATCCCCACATCTCCAGGCTCTGGCTTCAGGAATGGCAGGAGTGAGAGCCTTTCTTTGCTGATGACGCCCTTGTAGGCTCATCCCTCACCCCAGATGCCTCTGGCCATTTGGCAGAAGCCCCCCCCGACCCCCCCCACCAGGTACCACAGGACAGGAGTCACCAGGTAGACATCAGGCCCCAGATGGAGCTAGCAGGCCAGGCCTCACCAGTGATCCCACCAGGGCCACATCTGCACATTGTCCTTTTCCAGCCGGAGCCTCTGGAGCTCATTGAGACACAGGCACATGGTGAGGTCACCTGCAGTCTGGAAGTCTTTCCAGGGACTATGTTTTCAGGCTGAAATTCCTTTAAATTCAATGAGGTTGTTTTCATGTTTGTAAATTCCAGTGGAAAGCGAGTGATATTGGTGACCTCTCTCCTTTTTCAGCTCCTGCTTCAGGTGCAGAAATACAGCTATTTCCAGTGCCAGCTGTTGAGCCAGTGCCAGCACCAGGGGCAGATTCCCCTCCAGGGACAGCGCTGGAGCTAGAGGAAGCTCCAGAGCCCTCCTTCTGCTGCCCTGGGACTGCCCAGGACCAGCCCAGTGAGGAGCTGCCTGACTTCATGGCACCTCCTGTAGAGCCACGGGCCTCAGCCCTGGAGCTGAAAGTGTGGCTGGAGCTAGAGGTGGTAGAGAGGGGTGACCAGCACAGCTCCAGCCAGAAGCTCCCACACTGCTCCCAGTCCTGGGCACAGTGGAAGCTATGGAGGCAGAGACCAGGATGTGCAACCTGGGCTCCTCTGCCTCACTGAAGAGGGACTTCTCTCATTCAGCAGAGCAGCAGCCCTGCTGCTGAAGAGCCTGCTGCTACTGCTGCTGGGGGTATTTGCATGCCTGCAGGAGGTGCTGGAGAGCAAGAAAAGGAGCCTGTGAGCAGGGGTTCCAGCAGGTCCTCCTGCTCCCAGAGGCGACCTCCTCCTCCAGGCATGGAGGTTTGCCCTCAGCTAGGCATCTGGGCCATTTGCCTCTACTGTGCTGCCCAGGATGGCCTCTTCTTGACAGGCAGATAGGATGGCCTCTTCTTGACAGGTGGAGGGGGCCAGGGGCATCTCCAAAGGAAGCTTTTAAACTCAGCAGATTCACCCCAGAATCTCCATGCCTGCACCTGCCCAAGGATTTATTCATAGCTTAACTAAGAATTTCAAATTTCTCCCATTAACACTGAAATAAAGTTTGACTTTTTGAAACTTCCATGACTTCTTTCCCTCCCTAATATTGTAGATGGTGTTTTTGAGGCGATGTTGAAAACCTCTGATAGTTGCATGTTTTGTTGTGTTTTTTTTCTGTGATTAAATTGCCATCTGATCAAGTGATATTGAAAACCCTTCAGGTATGGCTTTTAGAAGACTTTGACCTATTTTTGCTTTTGTTGACTCTCCCTCCAGCTTTGCGGAAAGAGGGATCATGTAGGTTCATTTCTCAGGCAGATCAGTCACCTTTTGCCATCAAAGTTTTAGCATCCATTTCCAAAATTTGGTGTACAAGTTGGTATTTTGGTGTTTTTAGCTAATCTGGGGTCAAAACAGAATGCCATAGATGAGGAAGCTTGTAAACAAATTTCTTTCTCTCAGTTCTGGAGATGGCAAAATTCAAGATCAAGTGGTTAGCAGATTCCAAGTCTGGTGTGGGCTTGCTTTGTGATTCATAGACAGCCATGTTTCTACCATGTCCTCACATGACAGAAGGGATGAGGGAGCTCTCTATGGTGCCTTCAATAGGGGCTACTAATCCCACTCATGTGGTCCCTACCTTCATGATCTAATCATTCCCCAAGGCCCTACCTCCAAATATCATCACATAGGGAATTAGATTTCAACCCTTGAATTTGAGGGGGACAATAACATTTGGTCTATAGCATCAGGTTACCCAGAGCCTTATGCAATCAGAGGAAATCCAAAATCACCTATAAGTATTCGCTGCTCCCCTCTGGGCTTAGGGAAATCTTTAATTGCAGCTCTTGATTCAGCTTGGTCCAAGCTTAACTTCTACATTTGCCTGCATAACTTGTTCATGGGACAGAGGGAAGTATAGAGAAAACTGACCATTTGGAGTTTTAGGACAATTGATGGAAGAGGGCTTGGCATCTGGATGAGAAGTGGAGGGAGAATAGAACAAAGGCACAGAAGGAGAGAGCACAATGAGAAAGGGAAAGAGGGACATCTGGACATAAGGGCCAACTGGAGGGCAGGGAAGGTAATTTTCCTTACATTTTAAACTCAGACCACATATCACATCAGAATCACCTGAGGGAGACATTTTCAATGCATATTCCTGAGTTTCTTCTCTTGGAAATTTTTATTTCTTAAATCTTGAGTTGTGCTGATTTGTCCATATTTATCATAAGAATTTTAGATAATTCTTACTTTGGGAGGCCCAGGCAGTGGATCACTTGAGGTCAGGAATTCAAAACCAGCCTGGCCAATATGGTGAAACCTCATCTCTACTAAAAATACAAAAATTAGCCAGGCATGGTGGTGCACGCGTGTAGTCCCAGCTACTTGGGAGGCTGAGGCAGGAGAATCACTTGAGTCAGGGAGGCAGAGACGACAGTGAGCTGAAATCATGCCACTGCACTCCAGCCTGGGCAACAGTGAGACTCCGTCTCAAAAAAAAAATTGTGGATAATTCTGATGCAGTTAGAAAACAAAGCAGAGCTTGACAGCCACTGGGTTGGGACGTATATCAAGAAGACATTTGATTATGTAAAATAACTGCAAAACAAACTGAAGGGGAATTATTTTAAAATGCTTGAATATAATTATATAATTCAACTCTTCCTATGTACATAGTTTGACCACATATTTCATGTCTGCTATACTGAGATTGGAAATGTGTAGAGGTTTTTTTAAAAATCAGGTAGAAGCACAGAAAAAAGGAGTTGGAGAGAAAAGAAAACTAGCTATTGTCTGGTAACAAGAGAAGAGAAGGGAAACGAAGTAGCATATTTTTGTTCATTGTTTGATGGCATCTAAATTATGATCCCAAATATTTTTTTCTAAGAAATCCAATAATACAAGTATTCAGAGTGGAGTACCAACATTGATTTACTGGGAAAGAGAAGTGTACTCTGTTTTGCTGCATAATGTTGAGGGAGAAGGAAAGGAAAATTAGTTGAGTAAACAAGTAAGAGACTGGTTCTCAGGGAAGCTGTCTGCCTGAAAAATCACAACTACTGCACCTACAGGTAAGCCCTGCACAGATGAGCATGCAGGGTCCAGCACAGAAGCCTTCTGTTCTTTGTGTAATTGGCAAGCTCCCAGGAAAAATTTTCCTCTCTTTTTCAGGCATAAACATGGTGGCCTCTGTGGGAACATGCACAGGGAGGAGGGGAGCTTACCTAAAACAAACCCACAGTTATATAAACAAGAGAAGCCCACTTTGTGCTTGACTAGAGACATACCCACAGCTGGTTATATAAAGGGAATTGTGCAGACAGTTTTTTATACATAGCTGAGAGGAGTTTCTTATAAAAGCTTTTTGATTCAACTGTAAAAACGGCAATCCACTTGGACGCCCTTGTCTGCTGCAGAGAGCTTCCTCCTTTTGCTTATTAAACTTTCACTCCCACCTCACCCGTGTATCCCCGTTCCTTAATCATCTTGGTGGTGAGATGAAGAACTCCAGGTGATACCTCACAAGAGAGACTGCTACATTGTGTTGCCTTGGCGAGACTGCAACTTTAAGAAGTGTGACTTTTATTGCTGCTGAATTATTTTATCTCCTACCCAATTGAAAATAAAGGATATAAAGTGCTTAGGTTGAACCCAAAGTCCTCTGCTCTAGGTAACATCTTCAGCAGCCACATTAGTAGAGGGATGGGTGGTAATGGTGGAGTAGATGTCTCTTTGCTTCTGACAGGGTGTCTGCTTATGTGTTAAACAAAAGAGTATGGTATATATTTCATTAAGAAATCTGCTAAAAAATGAAGTAAAACAGGTTCATCTTCTTGAAAGGCACAGTATTTGCTATGGCAGCAAGACCAAAAGGCTTAAGTAGCAAAAATGCGCGTAGTAGTTACAAACATTTTCATATAAACAAAACAATGTGAGCATCTGTATATGACAATAACTCATGCAAAAAATATTTTTTAACTGAGACAGAAATCATTTTATACATAACAAAAGTTATCACTGTATTCTGAGGTAACATATTGTTTGTATATAGATGTTGTAAATAATAACTTATTTAAGTTATTCATCATTTATACAACAAATAATTCTTTGGAATCTACAAAATGCTGGTTTTGTTCTAGGCACTGAATGTACAAATTGATTTAAAATATGTGTTCTTAGAGTGCGGTAGATTAAAAAATACAAAATAGACTGAACACAGTGGCTCATGCCTGTAGTCCCAGCAGTTTGGGAGGCCGAGGCAGGTGGATCACTTGAGGTCAGGAGTTCGAGACCAGCCTGACCAACATGGTGAAACCCCGTCTCTACTAAAAATACACAATTAGCCGAGGGTGGTGGCACATGCCTGTAGTCCCAGCTACTCAGGAGACAGAGGCAGGACAATCGCTTGAACCCGGGAGGTGGAGGCGGCAGTGGGCCGAGATTCCACCATTGCACTCCAGCCTAGGCAACAAGAGCAAAACTCTGTCTAATATATATACATACATTTTGTATATATACATACGTGTGTGTATATATATACATATATGTATATATGTATATGTATTATATACATATATATCTGTCTAATATATATACACATATACATATATATGTATATGTGTATATATACATATACATATATAATATATGTATATGTGTATATATACATATATATACACACATATATATTAGAGGTTGTACTGCTGAAAACAAGAGCTATTAATAAAAAAATTTCAGGAAACTGTGATTATTTTCAATAGAAGTGGATATTTTAATACAGGTCTCTTGTTTTTTCTTGTGGAAATAAATGACAAGATGGAATTTCTGGGTGTTTGGTATCTGAATATTTAAGTATAGCAGGTATGGTCAGTTTTTCAAAGGCATTTTACCATCTTACTTGTCCATCAGCAACTCATAAGATATTATGTGGAACAACGTCCTCTCCAACAACCTCTAGTATCAGTCTTTGTAAAGTTTTTCAATTAAATGTGTGTTTTTTTGTTTTTGTTTTTGTTTTTTGAGACAGTCTCACCCTGTCACCCAGGCTGTAGTGCTGTGGTGTTATCTTGGCCCACTGCAGTCTCTGCCTTCCAGATTCAAGTGATTCTCCTGCCTTGGCCTCTCAAGTAGCTGGGACTACAGATGCCCCCCACCACACCCAGCTAATTTTTGTATTTTTAGTAAAGACAGGGTTTCACCATGTTGGCCAGGCTGCTCTCAATCCTGACCTCAGATGGTCCACCTGTCTCAGCCTCCCAAAGTGCTGCGATTACAGTCATGAGCCACCGCACTTGGCTGGGTTTTCATTTTCTTTCTTTTATATATATATATACACACACACACACACACACACACACACACACACACACATATGTATATATACACGTATATGTATGTATATATGTATATATACACGTATATGTATGTACATATGTATATATACGTATATATATATATACACACACACACATACTTTAAGTTCTGGGATAAATGTACAGAATGTGCAGGTTTGTTACACAGGTATACATGTGTCATGCTGGTTTGCTGCAAAATGGGTGTCAGTTTTGCAGGTAATTGTTATATTATTAAAAGATAACGGAATACCTAACTAAAAAAAATGCGAGGAGGCATTGATGGGCCCATGTTTACTGAGCACATCCTGACTCCAGAATTAGAAATCCAATTTATGCCTCTGCAGTCCAATAAAATTTTTCCTTAAGAATCCAAAGATCAGACTTTCATTTCAGCAAACACTCCAATATGGTTTCTCACCTACTCACTCCAACGAAGCTGCTCGTATCAAAACATAAGTGCTATCCATATTGTTAAATTATAAATTGAACCATAACTCCTCGGACTTCGTCTTAATTTATGTATCAGCAGCATTTCACATGGTTGATCTCTACCTCCCCTTTGTAAAACTTTTTTTATAGAATTCCAGAAAACTTAACCTACTTTCCCTCCACCATGTTTTTGATAATTACCCCTAGTCCTTTTTTGCAGGTTTCATCTTTAGTATTTTTTAAATGTTAGAGGATGATTAGGCTCACGACTTTGACTGCTTATCTTTCTTTGCTTTCTTACTGATTTTTGTGTCATTAATTTCCTGATATTTCATATTACACCAAAACACTGGACACTACACACAACACTCCCTGACTTATCCATGTGGATGTCAGTTAGGAATCTCAAAATTAATATGTCTATGTGGAGCCACTGAAACTCCCCAAATTTGCTCTTCCCCATTCTGTTTAATGGCAACTCCCATTGTATAGTTTCTCAGCTCAGTATTCTTGGTGCCCCCTTTTAATTCTGTCTCTGTAGCCCTGTCACTCTCTTTCTGTATCTGTCTGATTCTCTCCTTCTCTCTCCTCTCTCTCTGCTCGCTGTCATTCTTGCTCTCTCTCCCTGCTTCACACACACACAAACACACACAGACAGACACATGTACACACACACACACACACACACACACACACACACATATTTTCAGATCTGATGTGTATGGAATTCCTGCCAGCTTTACCTTTAAAGTGTAGTAATTCCAAATGTTGTTTCCAAATTCACCTTCCCACCCCCACCACTTGGTAACTATAGTGCTTCCCTCACAAGGCCAAGTGCAGAGTTTTCTTGGGGAAATAATGAGAACTATTATACATTCTTGTTTCAAGGACCCTTAAAATTATAAGATTACCATATTTGATACTAATTTAAGCTTCTGTCATTGCCCCTTTTTCAATCCAGTCTCCACACAGCTACCACAGTGTGCAAGTAGAAGTCTCAGCCATATCACCACACTCCTGCTTTAATGTCCCTACTCCATTGCTTCTTTTCTCCTTCAGAAGAGTTTAAGCTTAATGAAGCTGGGCAACTTCACATATTTTTCCACGAGCTGGAGATCACTTGGTTTAAGGTAAGCGATCAGTAAATATTTTTAAATAACAGAATCCAGGAATAATAGTTTTGTTTCTTTGAGAGTACATTTACTTTTAAAAATCAAGAAAATAGATTGGTCAAGAGAATTCTGCTTGTTTTGATTTTGTTATCACTCGATTAGATTAACTGTGTTAGTATAAATGTCAGTTTGGAAAGCTATAAGCATTTCCTAAACTTTAAAATGAAAGGCATGGAATTTAAATATCTGCTCCTTTTATTTGAGCAACCAAAAACACAACTTTTTAAATATATTTTATGTATGTATGAAATCTAAATTTATTTTTCTCTCTTTATCCCTGAATACGTTTTAAAGTTATTCATGTCCTCATTTTTTATAATCCACTTTAGTAACATTTTAAAATATTTTTTCAACTTCATCAAGAATATCTTTGTGTTCCACTGAATAGCTTGCCAAATAATAAAACATTAGCAGTATAATTTCCTCATAAACATTATTTAATTTGTTTGGTTAACCATAGATTTCCTACTCTCAACTCATAATTTCATTCAAGCATAATATATTCTACTTGAGCTTTGCGGGGTTTTCATACCATGTATTTGTCATTGAAATTGGTTTTTGATATTTGAACCACTAGTTTTGAACCAACTGTATTGTTGGTTAGTCTGGTCTGTAGAATCTTTCTTTGTTTTGATTCTGTGGTTTATTCAATACAGAGTAGCTGTGCTACTGTAAATTTTGAGGTCAAAAGCTGAAAACATTTTATGTATTTTAAAACAAAGTGGATGGCATTTAAATATCTATTCCTTAAAATTTGGAAGAAAGGTTAACACCATATAAACCCAGAGCCTGTATTTTTAGATTAGTAGCATGTAGACCTTTTCAATTTCTTCTAAAGTTGAAAAAAATAAACATTTTGTATTCATAGAATGCTTGATAACAGAAGGTAAATACTTAATTTTCACTTAAAAGAAATTTGGTTACATTGAAAGGAAATTTGGCTAATATAAGTAAGTTAGATACATTTCTAATTAAAACAGTAATTTAAGATAAATAATGCTCAAAGAACCGTGGTCGTTGCATTTATTCCAGAGAGAGGACATTGATCCTGATCTGGCTGTAATAACATAGTAGGTAGAACTGCTTGCATGGACACCCAAGCAAGGAAGGGAAGCTGGTGTCTCAAGGGGTCCCCGCTGAGATGGAAAGGGGTCAGGGCCCAGACTGTTGATGTCGCCTGGACCCAACCACCATGTCTCAGAAGAAGAAATGACCCTCCCGTCCTGGTGCCGCCCCAAACAAGGAGCTTAGCAGTGTTGCACACAGGATAGTCCTTGCAGGAGACATGTTTGACAAGCTGCTGAGGTGCCTGATGGGGCCAGGCTCTTGTCATGAAATGAGTTTGCATCCTGAGGAAGACTTTTTATTGGAAACCTGGCAGGGATCCAATTTCCCCTTTGTCTTAACCCCGTAGGATCACAGTAGACAGGGAGGAGGTCACCCAGCTGGCTGTTCCTGCTTGGCCCCCACTTCCCAGACCCTTCCAGGCAGGGAGAGCCGCTGAGCTCACTCCATGGGCTGCCCACATGGGGTCTGGACCCAGCCGCCCTCCTGTGCCTGGCAGGCAGCTCCTGGGCCATCAGAGGACCCATTGTGTGGTGATCAGTGGCCCATCGCCTGCCCTCGTGGTGGGTGCAGTTCACAGGTGCTGCCCCAGGCCTGGCACAGTGGCCTTTTCAGCCTGTCCCAGGATAGGGGACATGAATAATCCTTGCCTGTGCCCCTTCGGACTACGTGAGTTTGGACACTCACTGCAGAAGTCCCTCCAGGTCCCTTTTCAACTGAGTTGTGGGGGACTTGCTTAGTCCTCACGCCCAGGGTCAGGAGAGGGGTGCAGAGTCTGCACCCTAAATCCCCTAGGGCTAGAGGGAGCTCTCCCAGGTGACCTCTGTCCTGTTCAGTGACATGAGTCCTCCCAGATGGCCTCAGCCCTCTCAGGTGACATGCTTCCATGGTGACTCTGGCTCTTGCAGGAAGTGGGCTACCACAGGGACATGAGCTGCCTAACTGCCATCCTCCTCCTGTATCTGCCAGAGGAAGACACCTTCTGGGCACTGGATCAGCTGATGGCCGAGGAGAGGCACTCCCTGCAGGGTAGGCAGACAGCTTCCCCCAGGGCCTCACGCAGCCAGGCCATGGGACGGCCACCCTGGCTGGGCGATCCTGACTTCTGGGCAAGGCAGCTTCCTTGCTTTCCAGCTTGTTAGGAGCCTTCAAGACATCCCTGCTGAGGGTCCCACGGGAGCCCAGAGCTGAACAGGGACCCTTTCACTTCAAGGCAGACACCTTTCATCCCCAACAGCAGAGGGTGCTGCAGCCTCCCCCTGGCCACCCTGTGTGTCCCAGAGCCACAGCTCTCTAGCCCTGAGTTCATGCAGGTGACTGTCACTTCCCCAAGAGTCCTCCTACCTCCCAGCTGGCCACACTCCCAGCTGCTCCCCCAGCCCACAGATGGGCCAATGAAGTCAAGATGGCAGTGTCTGCCCATCCCATGTCCCCCAGCCGGACCCCATGTCCGGGAGATGGCCATGTAGCCCCTCGGCACCCACCCCGTTCCCTCCACTGGCCACTGCCTGCCGCAGCCCTGCCTCACAGCCTCAAAGGCAGGCCTGCCCTCCGGGCACCTCTACCCAGGATGCTGCTGTGCAGTGCCTCCAGCTAGGGCCCATCTCCCTAGAGCTGAGGCCACATGGTAGGGTCACCTGATGGAAGGGAGGAAGGCCTCAGGGTCCGGGGTCCCCTGCCACTGCCCAGCTCTTCCAGCTGACGGCTCCACATCTTGGGAGTGGGCTCTGATGCATGATGGGTCAGGGGCTTCTCAGTTTTCTACAGCCCAAATACTGCCCAGCTCCGGAGGCTCCTATCCCACCAGGAGCAGGTATAACACAAATCCTCCCCAAAGATCATGCGGTACCTGCTGAGTGGAAGACACCCTCAACTCTTTCCTAGAGGCCCAGGGTTCCATGGGGCAGGGAAACAGGGAAAGATGGAGCTACTGGAGGGTCTGACAAGAGGCTGAGTCCCAGCCAGGGCCTCGCCCAAGGTGAGGATTCTCCATGGGTTTGGGGTTGGGTTTTCTTTTCCTGCCCTGGAGGAGGAGGCAGAGGTACTAGGATGGGGGCTGAGCTCCAGCTGAGCAGGGTTAAAGGAAGTGTGTCCACCAGGCATCTGTGCATGGGGGAGTTGTTGGGGAAGCACTGGCCACTGCCAAGTGTTCTGCCCCCGGGCAGCTCAGGGGGCCCTGAGCACCTATGGTCCAGGAAGGGCCGTGCATTGAGGTTTATTGAGTTGGCTCCTCTGGTGCTTCGTTGATGGGGGTAAGGAGGCAAATGGAGACCCCAGACCAGGGACCCTCCTGTCCCACAGTGCCCAGTTCCCCCAGGAGGACCTGGCTCACCCCAAGCCCACAGGAAGCACAGGGAAGTTTCTGCATGCCACAGAAACCAGGCTCTCCCCAAGAGGGGGCATCACACAGCAGGGGCCAGGCCTCAGGCCCAGTGCTATTTTCACATTATTCATTTTATAAGGTGATATGGTTTGGCTGTGTTGCCACCCAAATGTCATCTTGAACTGTAATTTCCATAAGCCTCATGTGTCACGGGAGGGACCCAGTGAGAGGTAACTGAATCATGGCGGCAGTTTCCCCCATGCTGTTCTCATGATAGTCAGTGAGTTCTCATGTGATCTGATGGTTTTATAAGCATCTGGCATTTCCCTTTCTTGAGGTGATGAATGCCCCATTTATACCCTGATGTGATTATTACACATTGCATGCCTGTGTCAAACTATCTCATGTACCCCATAAATATATACACCTACTATGTACTCATAGAAATTAAAAATAAAAATAAATTTAAAATAAACAGTGGGAGCTTTTAAAGGTGAGGTTTGCCCTCCAGCACTGGTCCCTGACAGGTGTGACCTTCACGTCATCTTTCCACATGATCCAGGCCCCCATCTGCAGAGGCCAACAGTTCCCAGAGTGACCTTCCTCAGAAAACAGGGTCTTGGAGGAGACAGAGGAGGGGGCCTTGTCCTCCCCACTGCACAGCCCCTCGTGGGGATTGGAAAGTGAGGGTCTCTGCCCACAAGTTGGCAGCCACCCTAAGCTCTTTTGTGGGAGGAAGCATAGGGAATATAGGTCAGCGCTGGGACAGCATTTCCTGATCCTGACTTGGAGAAGGTGTTAAAATCTTGACATTCCCGACTCCTCCTTTGTGAGAGCCCCTGCTCTGCAGGTCTCACAGGGTTGTTGTGAGGGTCACCTGTGGTGATGGGTTTGGAAGTGCTTTGTGAATGACACAGTGGGCCTTCCCATTCCTGTCATTGGCCATTCGACCTTCAATACTAATTGCCTGGGGATCTCCAGGCCCCAAGGTCTAATCCTGGAAGGGTATGAGGTGTCCCTAGTGGAATATTCTACACCTCCTGGGAGGTCCCTCACTTCCACTTTCACCCAACATAACCCCTGCTCCTGTTCCCTCAGCCTGGAGAGCTTGCCCAGGAGCACAGGGTAGTACTGGACTGACCTCTTTGGAAAGGGTGATTACATCCTCATTTCAGCTCTCCCTCTTCCTAGCTTTCCACATAGAATTCCAGGGCTCCATGCAGCATTTGCTGGACATAAGAGGGAAAACTTTTAGGGCAGGGATCTGCCCTGGGTGGGGACAGAGGAGTATCGTGGAGTCTGGGTGTCAGGAGTGTGAGCCCTGCCCAGCTGGCCAGCCCCTGTCCCCATGCTGCTCCATGCATGATGTTTCCTGCACAAGCTTCCTTTAGAGGGAAGCTTCCAGAGTGACTGCAGTGAGGTCCATGCTGTTGGGGGTGACAGAGCAGCCCTGGAGGTGGCCAAAGAGAAGCAGGCAGAGGAAGCTTCTCCAAGCAGGCTTGGAAAGAAATTTCCGCATATCACTTACGTCACTCTTGCCACTAGAAGGACAATTTTTACGGTGGAGTGGAAGAAAATGAATATGCTGTGGGAGAGAATGGATCCATCCAGAAGAGCAAGGCGGGAGGGGAAATGAGCCCATTGCCAGAATTTTGCGTCTTTTGAAGACATTTGCCAGAATTCTACTTTTGAAGGCTGCCCCTTTTGACAGTCAGTTACTGAAGAAACTGTGGGACATTTTCAAAGCCTTTTATATTAAAAAAAGACACAACATACTGCTGTGGGTCTGTGTGCAGGGACCAGGAAGGGCACAGCTGCCACGGTTCTGTGTCGCAGATGCTGTGGGAAGTGCCTTAACACACACAGATGTGCTTCATGCAACCGGGTGAGGAACATCTCTAAAACAGTTTACAGTCAAGAAAATTCAGTGCCAAGTAGGTTGAATTCGTTATCCAAGAACACACATATGTCCTGACAGATTCGGGGTTCAATGAAGAATTATGTATCATGAATTATAGGGCTGTATTTTAATTTTGCATTTTAAATTCCTGCAGTTTTCTTCCATCACTTTTCACCATGCATTGTATACTTGGAATTGCTTTTTGTGGCTTCTTGATCTTCTTTACTTGTATGTTATTGATTTTCTACAAGTTTAAACATATATGATTAAAGAGTACTTCTTAATGTTTTAATAATTACCCTAGAATAAAATATATTTACTTTGATAGGTGTATGTGTTGGATATTACAGTGTATTGTGTACATTTTCAAACACATTGTGTTATACCGGAAGCATTATTCAACAGTGGTCTTTTTTTTTTTTTTTACCTGAACTATGTCCAGAAAATCTTTACACCACAGTACAAAAAGATCGATTTCATTTTGTTAACAGATGGATGTGCCATAGTGCAATTAACTGTTTAATTATCCTGTTATCCTGTTGTGGACATTTAAGTTCAAACAATGCAGTAATAAACATGCAAGAGTGCTTTCAGACATTAAAGAATATGGCTCTAATTTAGGGACCTAGTGCCTGTAATCCCAGCACTTTGGGAGGTCGAGGTGGGTGGATCACCTGAGGTCAGAAGTTTGAGACCAGCCTGGCCAACATGGCAAAACCCCGTTTCTACAAAAAATACAAAAATTAGCTGGGTATGGTGATGCGCACTTGTAGCCCCAGCTACTCGGGAGGCTGAGGTAGGGCAATTGCCTGAACCCACGAGGCGGAGGTTGCAGTGAGCTGAGATCATGTCACTGGACTCCAGTCTGGGGGACAGAGTGAGACTCTGTCCCAATAATAAATAAATAAATAAATAAATAAATAATCTAGAAGTACAATTGCTTAGCCAAATTGCTTATGCATTTTGAATGACGAGAGTTGCTGCCTAATTTCTGTTACAAAGGCTATGGTAATTTACACTCAAAACGCAGAATTGGTTGGTTGTTGTTACATACGGAGTCTTACTGTTGCTGAGACTGGAGTGCAGTGGTGTAATCCTAGATCGTTGTAGTCTCCAACGCCTAGGCTCAAGCAATCCTCCCACCTCAGCCTCCCTCCCAAGTAACTAGGATTACAGGTGCATGCCATCACACCCGGCTAATTTTATTTTTAGATATGGGATCTTGCTATGTTGCCCAGGTTGGTCTTGAAATCCTGGCCTCAGGGTGACCTCAGCCTCCAGTGTAGCTGACATTACAGGCATGAGACACTGTACCTGGCTGAAGAAGTGCCTCTATCCTGACACTTGTGTCCCCACGGGATCCTGCAGAATTCAGAACCCTGTCCACACAGGGGAAAACTCTCTGTTGCGGTCCTGATGACTGAGGAGGAAGCTTACCCATGGCTCTCCTGGTCATTCTTATTTAATAGTGAGCGCAGAACCTCACATCTTCTGGAATGTTCCCATATGATTTTGTGAGAGAAAAGAGAATAGAGACCCCAACCCCAAGCTCACTGTGTCAAAGGGAAAATTAAGCTTGGGAACTGAGTTATGCAATACTGCCTTCCTTGTTCTCAAACACATAGCTATAACTTCACAACCCTGTGTCATAGCCTCATCCATAAGCCAGGTTCCCACAGTGACAGAAGGCTGCATGTCTCCTCAGATGTCCTCCCTCACAATTTGCTGTGAGCCCCTAAATCTTTCAGAATGCACATCCCACCTATAAACTAGCCCTAAAAGTGAGTGGGCTCAATTTCACCCTGACGGTCTCAATTACCAGGTTATTTTCATAGTTCTGGGACAAGGTCAGGACCAGAAATCATCCCTCTGCCTGTCCTGAGATGAATGAATCATTGGCTTTTCCTCTACTCCACTCCCTCTATTCACATGCTTACTTTATCTTATGTAAAATGAAGATTTACTGAATGTGAGATGAACGCATAATTAACTGTTTCCTCTGCTCCCTCCTTTCCCATGTAAAATGTAGATATCCTGATGCTAATCAGAGCCACACAAGAATGCAAACATTTGCTTCACTGCCTACCTTCAGTCTCACGGGAGTTCTCTGGATTTCTTGTATCAGCTGGTGGAACTCTCTAGCAAGATTGAGGACACTTTCCTGAATTATATCCTCAAAAATGTTTTCCAAGTTGCTTACTTTCTCTTCTTCTCTGTTAGAAATGCCAATAAGTCAGCCAGGCACAGTGGCTCATGCCAGTCATCCCAGCACTTTGGGAGGCCAAGGTGGGAGTATCACCCGAGACCAGAAGTTTGAGACCTACCTGGCCAGCATGGCAAAACCTCATCTCTACTAAAAATACAAAAATTAGCCAGGCATGGTGGCATACGCCTGTAATCTCAGATACTTGGGAGGCTGAGGCACAAGAATTGCTTGAACCCAGGAGGTGGAGGTTTCAGTGAGCCAAGATCATGCCACTTCACTACAGACTGGGTAACAGTGTGAGATTCTGTCTCAAAAAAAAATGCCAATAGTAAGTCATAGATTTTGTTCCTTTACATAATCCTATATTTCTCAAAAGTGTGGTTCATTATTTTTAAATTCCTTTTTTATTTTTGTCTGACTGGGTTGATTCAAAGGTCTGGTCTTTGAGCTCTTAAATTAGTTCTTCTATTTGGCCTAGTCTGTTGCTAAGGCTGCCAACTCTTTTTGAAATTCCTATAGTAAATTTTTCAATTCAAGAAGCTCTGCTTGGTTCTTTTTCAATATAGCTATCTTGTCATTCAAATCCAGGATCGTTGTTATGGGGTTGTTGTTGGATTCCAACTTTCTGTTGGATTTTGGTGAATTTTTTTGCCACTTATATCTTGAATACTATACATGTCATTTCAGACATTTCATTCTGGTTAGGACTCATTGCTAGTTTGCTGGTGTAATCCTTTGAAGGTGATGGAAAATTCTGGCTTTTTGTATTGCCAGAGTGCTTGTGCTGGTTTCTTCTCATCTGAGAGACTTGATGCTTCTTTTGTTGAATTTGATATCATTTGGAAGGAGTTTTTTTTTTTTTTAATTTTTCATTTTGTCTTTCTCTTAAGGGTATGACTGTGGTGTATGTTGTATAGGATCAGTTTGCTTCATTTCTGCGTACTTTCAGAGGACCAAGGCTCTGTACAAGTTCCTTGGTTGCAGATAGGCTCCTGTGGTGGCTTGGTGTGGTGATGTATCTTTGTTTGGTGGTGTAATTCAGGCTTCAGTCCAGTAGACAGTGCTTAAGAGTAACAGCTGGCTGCAGGGTCTTCTCCTCTGTGTACTTGTCCTCGACAGGTGCAGAAGTGACGAAGTGCCAAAAGCACCCTGTCCCCATGTGTACTAGTCTTCAGCAGGGGCAGAGCTGCTGGAGAAACCTAAGAAGCAGCCTCTTTCAGCCCACGTTCCTTGGGCCCCAACAGGATGACCACTGCTGGGTCTGCAGCAGTGCACTAGGAAGGTGACAGAGGGCAAGAGATGACCACCTCTCTAAATCTGTTCCCAGGCTTTGGTGTGCCCCTTTCAGCAGCTGATGTCATGATCATGTTTCCTTTGACTCAAGGGCTGTGTTCGGCAAGCTGTATTCCTCCTTCCCTTAGGACTGGTCCTCACCAAAGTTTAGGTCTCCTGGGGAAACGGGTTCACCTCCCTCCTGTTTCTTGGAGCTGATGAGGTACTCTCTCAACTGACCAAGGGAGCAGGCTGGGACACCCAGCAATGACACACACAGACCAGTCCCAGGTTGCAAAACTGTTCTTGGCTGCAAGTCTCACCATCCCTGAGAAACCTCTGCTTTAGCAACTCTCTTCCCACTACAGTCCTGCAAGAGGAGAGAGCCTAATTCCAACACCTACTGCTGGGGCACTTTCCACACTCAACACTCAATTCTGGCTGTGGAGGCTGCTCCCCTGCTCCAGAGCAAGCACTTCAATTCCTAGCCCAAGATTAAAGTGTCTGCAGTGGCCACCATTGCCAGGCACCAAAGAATGATTGACTTTGTACGAGCCCAGATTAAAAATGGCATCCTTCTCTCAGTCCCAGGTCTGCGGAAATGCCTGCAGCTTTTCTGAGTGTCTTTCCTCTTTCCCCATCTCTCAGCCACTTTTGTGCCAGCTCTAAGCACATAAGTGCTTTCGTGGGAGAAACAGACTGCTCTCCCTTAATCTGGGTTGCACAGATCCCCAGTGGAAAGGTGAGTCACAGAGGGAGACTGGATGTTCTTCTCTCGTACTGCAGTTTCACTCCCTTTTATGAACAAAATGCTATCGCAGAGGCTGCTTTCCCACCTCCCCCTCCACAGGGTCTGGAGTGTTCTTCTCTATTCCTGTGAATTCCTATTTTTCTTCTTGAATTGAAGCTCACAAAGTTTATCTTTATGCTTATTTTTCTACTTCCAAGTGGCTGAGGCACACCGAAAGCCCCTAATCCATCATTCTAGGAAAAAAGGATGGTTTGAATAAAAGAATGCTCATATAAAATATATATTAATTAACCCAAACATATTTTGTTTGACATGAGTTAGGCGAATCTTTGATACATTAATTAAGTTTAAATTTGTTAAATAAAATTAGAAATATCTTCGAATTTGCCAAGGTATGTTTCTCTCCTGGGATTACTGGTCAGTTTTATTTTTTTCCTCGGATAGATGTTTTAAGCCATAAATCTTGACATAGACCTGATGTAGACCTCCATACCTTTCCCAGATGTGGGACGGAGCAACTGGGACAGGTCCATCCTAGCACTAAGGGATGATTAAGCCTAACTTGTAGTCGTTGTACAACTATAAACATGGTTGATGCTTTAAGAGAAAGATCTTGATGGAAAGGGGTAAATGTAAAAATTGATCATATGAATTGGGTCATTCTTGTCACACCAAATAAAACCATCAAGAAGCCAGGGGGAGGAGGCATTCAGGGCAAAAACACCACTCCAAGCACGTAATTCTCTGCATGCCTGGCTGCTGAAATTACCTGCTTTAAGCTGAAACCAGTTTTATCGAATGGTTACTGAAACAACCTCTTGCAACACTAAGACTAGTTTTACCCACCACTGTCCCTCACCTATCAGAGCCTGCCAGCTCTCAAAAACCTTACTGGTGCCAGTGAACTTTCTCAAAGAGAAATACATACCATTTTTCTCTCTGTCTCCCTTTTTATAAAACCTCTAACTTTCTCTTTATGTTTCGGACATACTAAAGACACCCATTCTGCATGTATGTGTCAAATTGTAATACTTGTATCTCAAATAAAACATTTTAATTTCAGATGTCTGTCTCTACATTTATTTGGCTTTGACAATCTGATATTATGTAGCATTATTTCCAGTCTCCCAAATAATGTCAAAATTTTGTTATGTTAGATAAGAATATCTTGTTATTCAACTTGAAGGTAAACTGCTTGATCAATGCATGTAATTCCTTGACAGATTGTCAGCACCTCTAAGACAACATGTAGATATTGCTCATTATTAACTCATTTCATCTTTTCATGATAAATTACATAAATCTAATTTTCATTTTTAAAATGCAAGCCATTATGCCTTGTATTATGACATTCTTGCATTACTATAGAGGAATACCTAAGCACTACATAATTTATACAGAAAAGAAAGGTTGACTTGGCTCACAGTTCTGCAGGCTGTACAGGAAGCTTTGCATTGGCAGTTGCTTGGCTTCAAGAAGGGTCCTCAGGGAGGTTTTACACATGGCAGAAGGTGAAGCAAAAGAAGGTATGTCACATGGCCAGAGCAGGAGCAAGCAGGGAGAGGTGCCACACACTTTTAAACAGCCAGATGTCATGAGAACTCACTCACTCTTGCAAGGACAGTGCCAAGAGGATGGTACTAAACATGAGAAATCAGCCCTCATGACCCCATCACCTCCCACCAGACCCCAACTCCAACACTGGGAATTACAATTCAACATGCGACTTAAAGGGTACAACATCCAAACTATTTCATTCCATCCCTGGCCCTTCAAATCTCATGTCCTTCTCACATTGCAAAATACAATCATCCCTTCTCAATAGTCCCCCAAAAGTCTCAACCTGTTTCGGCATCACTCGAAAGTGCAGTTTCTTCTGAGACAAGGCAAGTCCCTTCCACTGATGCGCCTGTAAAATCAAAACAAGTTATTTACTTCTAAGATAAAATTTGGGTACAGGCATTGGGTAAACATTCCCACTACAAAAGAGAGAAATTGGCCAAAAGAAAGGGGCTACAGGCCCCACACAACTTCAAATCCCAGCAAGGCAGTCATTAAATCTCGAAGTTCCAAAATAATCTCCTTTGAAAGCATGTCCCACATCCTGGGAACATAGAGCATTCCCAGGATGCACAGGGTGGGCTCCCAAGGCCTTGGGCAGCTCTGCTCCCACAGCTTTTCTACACTGAAGACATGAGCTGCTGGTGGCTCTATCATTCTGGGATCTGGAGGGCAGCAGCCCCCCTCCCACAGCTCCACTAGGCAGCCCCCGCCCCCCCAGTCAGGACCCCGTGTGGGGCCTCCAACCCCACATTTCCACTTGGCACTGTCCTAGAAGAGGTCCTCTTTGAGGGCTCCAGCCGGGCATAGGCTTCTCCCTGGGCATCCAGCCTTTCTCATACATCCTCTGAAATTTAGGCAGAGAATGACAAGCCTCCTTCACTCTTGCACTTTGCTCACCTGCAAGCTTAACACCACATGGAAGCCACCAAGGCTTATAGTTTGCACCCTCTGAGGCCATGGCCTGAGCTCATCTGGAGCCCTTTGAACCAAGGCTGGAGCTAGAAGGGCCAGGATGCAAGGAACACCCTCCTGGGGGTGGTACAGGGCAGTGGTGCCCTGGCCCTGGTCCAAGCGGAACAGGAATTAAAAGAAATTAAAGAATGTGTAAGCAGAAACTCAGTTGTATGTAAGAAAACCCAAATCCCCCCTGAGAAAGAGAAAGAGCTGGAGCCCTTTAAAAATTAACTGCCTGTTTTTCTGTGGCTAGTGAGCCTCATCTCTCTTCCTTTCCCAGGTATTGTGAAGACTCTATTTCTCTAGCTGTGCAGCTGCAAGGTCACTAGACTGATAAACTCAAGTCGTAAAACATGTTTTTCCTTGAAAAGTAAGAAATGATATAATGCACGTCTCAATTAATTGAATAACTGTCTTTGTTTCTCGCTTCTGTAATATGCTTCCCCCTGCACAGATCTCCCCACTCCCCACCACCCCACAAAATGCTTAAAAGGTAACTTAAGTCTTTGTTCAGGACTCAGTCCTTTGGATGTTAATCTGACTGGGCTGGTGCACCTAAATAATAAATACCCTCCTCAACCCCATCGGTCTCTCTGATTCCTTAAAAAATCCCGCTACAGCCTGGGCATGGTTGCTCACGCCTCTAATCCCAGCACTTTGGGAGGTCAAGGCGGGCAGATCACAAGGTCAGGAGACTGAGACCATCCTAGCTAAGACAGTGAAAACCCGTCTCTACTAAAAATACAAAAAATTAGCCAGGCATGGTGGCAGGCGCCTGTAGTCCCAACTACTTGGGGGGCTGAGGCAGGAGAATGGCATGAACCTGGGAGGCAGAGCTTGCAGTGAGCTGAGATTGTGCCACTGCACTCCAGCCTGGGTGACAGAGTGAGACTCCATCTCAGAATAAATAAGTAAATAAATTAATTAATTTTTAAAATCCCACTACACAGGAAACCATTCTTTCATCCTGGACCTCTAGGTCTCTGCTGGGATGAGCTGCTGCAAAGATTTCTGAAATGCCTTCAAGGCCTTTTTTTAATTGTCTTGGCTATCAGCACCTAGCTTTTTTTCAGTTATGCAAATGTCTCTAATAAGTGGTTGCCTGTTTAGTGCCACAGCCTGTTTAGATTCTTCCCCTGAAAATGCTTTACCTTCCTTTGCCAAATGGGCAGGCTGCAAATTTTCTATACTTGTATGGTCTGCTCTTCCCATTTAATTGTAAATTCCAACTTTAAGTCATTTTTTGCTCCTGCATCTGAGTGTTCAAACTTCTTCAGATCCCTAGTACATGAACAGACTGCAGCCAAGTTCTTTGCAAAGGCATAACAGGCATGACCTTTTTTCGAAGTCCCAGTAAGTTCCTCATTTCCATCTGAGACCGCATCAGCCTATCCTTCACTGTCCATATCACTATCAGCATTTTGGTCACAACCATTTAACTAGTCTCTAAGACATTCAGAACTTTCCTTCATCTTCCTGTATTCTGAGCCTTACAAACTCTTCCAACTCCTGCCCGTTGCCTAGTTCCAAAGTCACTTCCACATTTTCAAGTATCTTTATAGCAATGCCCCATGTCTCAGTACCAATTTTCTTGCATTGCTATAAAGAAATACCTGAGACTGGGTAATTTATAAAGAAAAGAGGTTTGAAAAGAAGTTTGTATAGCTGCAGGCTGTACAAGCATGGTTCTGGCATCTGCCTAGCTTCTGGTGAGGCCTCAGGAGGCTTTTATTCATGGCAGAAGATGAAGAAGGAGCAGGCAGGCACATCACCTGGCAAGGCAGGGGAAACACCACACACTTTTAAACAAATAGATCTTGCAAGAATTCACTCACCATCACAAGGACAGCACCAGGGAGATGATGCTAGACCATTCCTGAGAAATCCATCCCCATGATCCAATCACCTGCCTCCAGACCTACCACCAACATTGGGGATAACACAATGCAACATGAGATTTAGAGGGAACAACATCTGAGGTATCTCATGCCTCATGTTGTGACTTTTATATGACTTCCGTAAGATTACACTGACTTTACACATCATATTGCAGTTTTTGCTAGCTCTCCTGTAATAAGAAAATGGGATTCATCAGCAATGCCTTCTAAGTCTGGCTCTGTTTTCCCATGCAGACTTTTCCCTGAGCTCTGCTTGTAAGTCTTGCTAGAACCCCACCCTAGGCAGCAACCCCCAGTCTGAGATTGCCCTTGACAGTGGCTGAGGTTTGCATTGTTGGGATTAGAAAAAACAAAGGGAAGATAGACCAAAACAGATTTAAATGCAGATCCCATTTGTTGAAGTTTTAAGTAATTTTCAATGTTTATTTTCACCAGCTGCCCACTCCCTTTGTACTCTCCTCACCCAAAAAAGGTGACTTGATATTCTAGTAAAAAGCCAAACTGTGCTTTAGAGAAACCCACTTGTTACTTCTTCAAATCCATATAATTCTGCCAAAGTGAATTTTTCTTAATATGCTCTGGCAGGATCAGAAAACTAATTATTTACACTAGAGTCACTTAACCTTTCCTCTTGGTCATTTGCATGTAAATTATTTTTATATGTATAAAATTTGCTTACTCATGAAAGCTCTTAACTATGTATATTTTTTGTTTTTGTGGTATCTTAACATATTCTCGTCTTGTCTTGAATTCCTTAAGACTTTGGGGTAAAGAACTCTATTGCAACAAGTTTCCAAATCAAAGTGGGAAAGAGGAACATTAGGTTAAGCATTAGGTCGTCAGGTACGTAGGACAGCTAATACCATTATCAGAATGGTAGTGATAGCCAGTTTGCATTTTGCATATTAGTTGTAACAAAAATATTCAGCATATTAGTGACAAAACCAAAGTTATTGTGAATCAGTTTGTAATTTATTTTTTGAGATAGGGTCTTACTCTGTCACCCAAGCTCAAGTGCAGAGGCATGATCTTGGCTCACTGCAGCCTCAACCACCTAGGCTCAGGAGATCCTCCCAGCCCAGCCTCCTTAGTACAGGTGAGTGCCACCACACCCAGCTATTTTTTCTCTAGTTTTTGTAGAGATTGGGTCTCACTTTGTTGCCCAGGCTGTTCTCAAACTCCTGGGCTCAAGCAATCCTTCTGCCTCAACCTCCCAAATGGTGCTGGGATTACAGGTTTGAGCCACCGCACCTGGCCAGTTTATAATGTTCATAATGGCTTTTGGAACAGGAACCAGTGGGTGCTGCTTCTTGTCTGCAAGATGAGGAGCCTCCTCTCCCCAGAAGTGAGGCATCTTTTACCACAAGGGAGGCTTTGCCCAAACAGTCACCGAAAGGCTGAGATTGGGGAGAGAAGAAAACAGGAGTGAATATTTCCCTGGAACCTAACTGCTCCCCAGTTCAATTCTACTGCAGACATTCAGAATGAAGGGGACATTCAGCTGAGGAACAGGAGTGCACTGGCTGTTAAAATCTCAGATTGTAACAACAATTTTGCTTCATTTTCCCTAAATAACTTTTAAACAATTGTTCTTAGGTGGTTTTCTAAACTTCGGGTAATATCTGTGAATTAGTAAATATTCTTTAAAAGATGAGATAATATTTTTATTTTGTTTAATTATATGTGTTCTTAAACTAATTTTGTGGGAAAAATAATTTCTTTCCTTCCCTGTTATACCAAATACAGTCTTTAGCTCAAGACACAAGTAATTCCAGGAAAACTGGAATTTAAGTTCAATATGTTACACTAAGTACATTTGAAAGTGCATGCATTTTTATTTTAATTTAAAAAATAAATTTGCTTTATGCCTAGAAAAATCAGCAGACCAGACCTCCCTGGATACGCGTTCTGCTGCACTCATCCTCTTGAATGCCCAGCTCCAGGGAGGTCCATCCCCAGGCCTGATGGCTATCCCCATCTCTTCATCTCTGATAACATTTTGGCTTGATTTGCAGCTCATACAGTGAAGGCTTTGTAGCCCTGGGAAATTTCTACTAAACAGAAAAGTGGTTTTGTGAAGGTCAAGTTTTTTCAGTTGTGGTGATGAAAAAACCAAATTCTGCCAAAGTATTTAGATAGCTTTATTCTAAGCCAATATGAGTGACCATGGCCTAGGGTTACACAGTCTTAAGAGCTTCTGAGAGAGTGAGCCCAAGGTGGTCAGCTTACAGTTTGATTTTGTACATTTCATGGAGACACAAGTTGCAAATTAAATTGTAAATCAATAAGTGGAAGGTATACATTGGTTCATCCTGAAAAGGCAAGACATCTCAACGAGGGGTCTTACAAGTCATAGGTGAGTTTTAGGAATTCTTTAGTTGACAGTTGGTCAAGGGAGTTAAACCATTGTGTAAAGACATGAAGTCAGTAGAAAGGAACACTTGAGTTAAGATAAGGGGGTCTGCCATGTGTTATGTGATGCTATCACAGGGTCAGCTTGGAAAATAAGCCACATTATACCAGGTTAATTGAAAAAAAAATCACGAGATTTTATGGCTTGAGGAGTGTGAATCTCCAGGCCCCTTAGACAGGATTTTTGGCAAGAGAATAAAAGGTCAGAGTTGAGGCCTCAGTCCCCACTATTGGCCAAAGATCATTTTATGGAATGTATGTGAAGGCCAACAACCAGCAGGAAGTCCCACAATGCTAGGAAATCTCATTCCCAGGGTTGTTTATTTGGTCATCTGTCATTGGTGATGATAGTTTCAATATTAGTGAGTTCAGATCACAGAAGAAGGACACAATCTGACCTGATTTAATAGCCAATTGTTTAAGTGGTGAGAGGGAGTAAGGCCTAGGGTTCAATCTGAAAAGCCAACTGGATCAGATCTATCCTACAATTTATGATGATTTGTGGGTCTTTGATTGCATCCTTTTCTTTTCCTACAATAGGCATGGCATTGACAAGAGACATACAATGATAAAATAGCAATACATGTATAAAAATAGTGAAGATTGGGCATACAAGAAAGTTATAGATAGAATCAGAGGACAGTAAACAACACAACCAGCCAAAAAAGTCCCCACATGCATCATCATATTCTTTAGTGAAACTTGCAACATGCATAGCTTCCTTGTCAATAGACTTTTGAAGTTTATGATCAATCTTATTTGAGGATTGTAGGACCAACACCAAATCAGAGTGCAGTAAACTTAATTTCTCTTCTGGCCAACTGGTCTCAATAAGGATAACATCCTGCGGGGGTGGAATAGGCCATCCTTGCCCTGCTATAAAGAAACTCCATGAGATTGGGTAATGTATAAGAAAAGAGGCTGTAATCCCAGCACTTTGGGAGGCCAAAGCCGGTGAATCATGAGGTCAGGAGTTCAAGACTAGCCTGGCTAACATGGTGAAACCCCATCTCTATTAAAAATACAAAAAATTAGCTGGGTGCAGTGGCAGCTGCCTGTAATCCCAAGCTACTTGGGAGGTGGAGGCAGGAGAATCACTTAAACCCGGGAGGCGGAGGTTTCAGTGAGCCAATATCGTACCACTTACTGCACTCCAGCCCAGGCAACAGAGTGAGACTCCATCAAAAAAGAAGAAGGAAAGATGAAAGAAAACAAAAAGAAAGAAAGAAAGAAAGAAAGAAAGAAAGAAAGAAAGAAAGAAAGAAAGAAAGAAAGAAGAAAGAAAGAAAGAAAGAAAGAAAGAAAGAAAGAAAGAAAGAAAGAAAGAAAGAGAAAAAGAAAAAGAAAAAGAAAAAGAAAAAGAAAAAAGAGAGTTAATTGGCTCATGGTTCTGCAGGCTGTATAGGAAGCATAATGCTGGCATCCATTTCTGGGGAGGTCTCAGAAAGTTCACAATTCTGGCAGAAGGCAAAGCAGGAGCAGGCATGTCACATGGTGAAAGCAGGAGCAAGTTTACTTTTTTGGCAGGGGCGGGGGTGCCACACACCTGTAAATGTCCAGATCTCATGAGAACTCAGAGCAAGAGCTCACTCATCACCAAGGGGATGTCCCAGGCCATTCATGAAGATTCACCCCCATGATCGAAACACCTCCCACTAGGCCCCACCTTCAAAACTAGAGATCACATTTCAACATGATATTTGGGCAGGGACAGATATTCAAACTCTATCGGGATGGTATGTGTTAGGCCAATCTTGCCTTGCTACAAAGAAATACCTTCAACTGGGTAAATATAAAGAAAATATGTTTAATGGGTTCACAAGCTTTAATGCAAGCTGTACAAGCATGGTGCTATCATCCATTCAGCTTCTGGGGAGGCCCCAGGGAGCCTTTACTCTTGGCAAAAGTTAAAAAGTGGGAGCTTCCACATCACATGGCAAAGCAGAAGCAAGAGAGAGAGTTGTGGGGGAGGTGCAACATCCTTAAACAGCAAGATCTCATGAGTACTCACTCACTATTGCAAGGATAGCACCAAGCCATGAGGTATCTGTCCCCCTGGCCCAAATGCCTCCCATTAGGTCCCACCACCAGCAACGGGAATTAAAATTGCATGAGATTTGGCAGGGACAAACATCCAAACTATATCATTCCACCCCAGGACAAGCCCCAAATCTCATGTTTTTCTCACATTGCAAAATACCATCATGCCTTCCCAATAGTCCTCCAAAGCCTTAACTCATTTCAGCATTAACTCAAAAGTCCCAAGTCCAAGTTCTCATCTGAGGCAAGGCAAGTCTTTTCCACCTATGAGCCTGTAAAATCAAAAACAAGTTATTTACTTCAAGACACAATTGGGGTACAGGCATTGTGGTACAGGCATTCCCATCCCCAAAGGGGTAACTTGGCCAAAAGAAAGAGGTTACATGCCCCACATGAGTTTGAAATCTACCAGGGCAGTCGTTAAATCTTAAACCTCAAAAATAATCCCCTTTGACTATGTGTCCCACATCCAGGGTACACTGGTGCAGGGGGTAGGCTCCCAAGGTCTTGGGCAAACTCTGTCCCTGCATCTCTGCAGGGTACAGCCCCCACAGCTGCTTTCAGGGGTTGGGGTTAAGTGCCTACAATTTTCCCAGGCACAGAGTGCAAGATGCCAGTGGATCCACTATTCTGGAATCTGGAAGATGATGGTTCCTTCTTACAGCTCCTCTAGAAAGTACCCCATTGAAGACTGTGTGGGGGTCCAACCCCACATTTCCACTTGGCACTGCCCTAGGAGAGGTTCTCTGTGATGGCTCCACCCCTGCAGCAGGCTTCTGCCTAAACACCCAGGCTTTCTCATACGTCCTCTGAAATATAGGCAGAGAATGCCAAGCCATCACTCTTGCACTCTGCATGCCCATAGGCTTAACACCACATGGAAGTTTCCGAGGCTTATAGCTTGCACCCTCTGAAGCAGTAGCCTGAGCTGTATCGGGGGTCTTCTGAGTTGAGACTGCTGCTGAAGTGGCCAGGATGTGGGGAGCAGTGTCCCCGGGCTGTGTGGAGCAGTAAAGTCCTGGCCCTCAAAAGCATTCTTCTCTCTTAGGCCTCAAGGTCTGTGATGTGATGGACTGCCATGGAGATCTCTGGAATGCATGTAAGGCCTTTTCCCCATTGTCTTGGCTATCAGCATCTGGCTTTCATTTTAATTATGCAACTCTCTAGCAAGTGTTTGCTCCACAGCCTGCTCAAATTCTTCTCCTGGAAAAAGCTTTTTTCTTTCTTTGTCACATGGCCAGACTGCAAATTTTCCAAATTTTTCTGGTCTGCTTCCTGTTTAAACATAAATTCCAGCTTTAAGTCATTTCTTTGCTCCTGGATCTGAGTATAGAAGCAGTGAGGCCACACCTTGAATGCTTTCCTGCTTAAAAATGTCTTCCATCAGACACCCTAAATCATCATTCTTAAGTTTGAACTTCCACAAATTCCTAGGGCATGAACAGAATGCAGCCATTTAACCAGTCTCTAAGAAATTTCAAACTTTTCCTCATCTTTCTGTCTTCTTCTGAGCCCCCCAAACTCTTCCAACCTCTGCCTGTTACTCACTTCCAAAGTCACTTCCACATTTTCATGTATCTTTATAGCAAAACACCACTCTTCAGTACCAATTTTCTGTGTTAGGCCATTCTTTCATTGCTATAAAGAAATACCTGAGGCTGGGTAATTTATAAAGAAAAAATGTTTAATTGGTTCACAATTCTACAGGCTGTACAAATGTGGTGCTGGTATCTGCTCGGCTTTTGGGGAGGCCTCAGGGAGCTTTTACTCATAACAGAAGGTGAGGCAGAAGCTTGCACATCACAAGGCAAAAGTGGGAGCAAAAGAGAGTGGGAGGGAGGTGCCACACCCTTAAACAACCAGATCTCACAAGTACTCATTCACTATTGCAAGGACAGGACCGATTCATGAGAGATCTGCCCCCATGACCAAAGCACCTCCCACCAGACCCCACCTCCAACACTGAGGATTATATTTCAACATGAGATTTGGACAAGGTCATTAAGTGCCTCTTTGCCACTGGGGAAATGCTGATCAAAATCAGTGCTGAGCAGTGGAGCTGACAAGTCCCCCTCGCAGACATTCTCGCTGCACTGGGTACGCATCTGCCCAGGAGTGGGGAACACAGGGGCTGGACACAGGTCCTCCTTCTGACACTGTGTATTCCTTTATGTAAAATGGGAGAAAGATACTTAGACCAGGACAGCTTCTCACGTCCCTTCCACTCCAAACTCCCTGACCTATGACCCGGTTTCCTGCATGAGGCCTGGTGTGTAAAAGGCTCCCCTCTGCTGTACCCATGTGGCTCTTTGTTTGCATAGAGGAGGAACAAAGGAGTGATTCTGGTTTCATAAAATAACTTATACACTTGGCCTCCCTTAAGTTGTGCGTGTCACTGGCAGCTGTTTATTGAGCACTGATGGGATGCCAGGCCCTGTTTCAGGCAGGATTGTCTTAGGTCCCCGTGTGCCAAAATCTACATTTTACAGGGCTTAACTACAGATTTCTACACCCTCCTGGTGATGTGATACCATTTCACCACTAATCTGAAAAGGGAGCTCCCTCTGTAGTCTGTGTTTGCCCACCTAGGACTTCAGGGGGCCCAGGGCTGCTTCCCCCCATGCTGCTCTGCTCCTCCAGGAGGCCCAGCCTCCCTCTAGGTGATTGGGAGAGAAAAGATTCCCTTGTGGTGACTCAGGTGAGAGGGCTCAGAGCCCTGCAGCCTGGTGCTGAACCCGGGTGTTAGTTCAGAAATCAAAGCCTGTGCTTTGAGTTCTTTGAGATTAAGCTCACGCAGGGTTACACAGCAAGGAGGGAGACTGGGTTCAAGACCCAGTCCTGCCTTTTTGCTGCTCACAGGCTGGTGGGAAGAGACCATTACTGTTCCCCGCAGGAGCCCAGTAGCAAAGTGCCAGGACCCTGGACCTGTGTGGGGCCCTGGGACGCCCCCCCTCTCAGCAGGGAAAGCGGGCCTCAGTGGTGTGTGGTTTGCTCCCTACAGCAGCACCCCTGCAGAATCCTGGGGTGCAGTGTGCTTTCCTTGAGGGGAGGAGTGTTGAGGATTGCCTGGCTGCCTGGAGAAGAGGGTGAGAGGGGCAGCAAGAAAGGCAGGGTCTCCAGTGGACCTTATTCCTCAGGCACTGGGAGCCCTTGTAGGTTCTTGACAAGAGGAAGAGCCATGTGAGGCAAGTGGACTTACCTGTGGGGTGTCTGGGTGATTTCTGCTCATAGTCGACTCTGAAGAAATGGTCAGAGATGAAAAGATAAGGTGTTTGGACAGCTGCCTGAACCCTGATGTGAAGAGTAGGATTCAAATATGACTCTGAAAAGGCAAGTGCCTGCAGGTCAGAGGGGAGGTGGGCAGGTCTGGCCAGCAACAGCCTTTGGAGCTGGGCCACCTGGACCCTCAGTCCAGCAGTCCCCAGGGAGAGAAAAGCTGGGGTGGATGGCACTTGCTGACTGCTTCCTTTGGCCCTGCCCCATGGGACACGCAAAGACTATGGGCTGATTCCAGCACAGCCCTTCAGGATGCGCCCACTCTGCCAGTCCCCCTGAGGCAAATGCACTGACCCCTGACACCTGGGGCTGGTGCTGGCCACTCTGGACACAGTGCAGTGGGAGTGGGAGAAGGAGGCCCCCAGCAGCTCATTGGTTAGCAACTGACCTTGGTGTAAGAAGGGGCGCTCACAGACCGGGATGGCAGAGGCCATGTTTGCCACTGTCCTAAAGCCTAAAGCAGCCTGTGGAATGTGGGTGGGGTGAACTGGCTGAGTGGCTGTATCATAGGGCCTGTTGGAGAGAGTCCTTTGCTGAGGAGCAGAGGAAGGAGGCCATGGCAGTCACCCAGGCAAGGGAAGCTGGATCAAGTGGGTGGAGCAGTGGGGCAGCCAGGGGCGGAGCATGAGGAGGTAAATCCAGGTGCCTGATCTGAGGACCAGGCAGAGTAGCAGTGGACAAAGACACCAGGCCCTGAGTTGGCCACTTGCCCTCCAAGGGTCTGAGCTGGGCTTTACAGCTTCCAGGGGTGTGGGAATTGCAGGGAGGGGTCTTCTACCCAGGGCCCTCACCCATGGCCAGGCCCTCTGGAAGAAGTGGGCAGCCCCTCTGCAGCCCAGGAGTCCACCCTCCCCAGGGAGCCAGCAGAGGCTGGCTGTAGAGAGGAGCTCTGGAAGTGAGGGAATGATGGACTTTCTGGGCTAACCCTATGTTCCCTCCCTCCTTCTGTGTCCTCTGTGCAAGCCACAGCCCAGGAAGCCAAGGCCCTCCTGGATGCAGGGCATCCTGGGAAGGGCACTGGGCTACTGACTACTGGCCATCCTGGCTGGTGGCAACAGTGCCTGTCACCTGCATCTGCTGGCTGCCTGATCAAACTGCATGAGTTTGGAGGCTTTGGGGGCCTGGACAATGTGCTCTAGGAAGGTTCAGGGGATGACAACCTCCCAAGATGGATAGAGACTTCTGCAATTGGGGTTGCCTGCTGCTGAGCCTGAAGGACAAGGTGAGGGCAAAGAGGCCTTTGCCCAGGCCCTTAAGCTGGGGCTCACTTTGGCCGAGAATAGCCTGTGCCGGGCCCCAACAGTACAGGTGTTTCTGTGTCATGGACAATGCTGCCTGGAGGAGCAGTGCTACACAGAGGCTTGGATGACAGCCGAGATCTTTCTCCTGGTGGACCCCGATCACCATGGCCTGAAGAGGCTGAAGGCCAGGGTCCAAAGAGAGGCATCGTCAGATTGCCAGCTCCACTGATGGGAGACAAACAACCTCTCAGGCCTAATCATAGGCCCACCCTAACATTTTCATCCAATGCCCAGGCTCAGGAATACACCTGGCTCCCTCAAACTGGGAATGTGCCAACCTGCCCTCCCAGCCTTTCCAGCCCCAGGGTGGGTCGGTGCTGGACAACCAGCCTCATACCTTTTTGTCTTGGGAAGCAAAGGGGCAGCTTCCTGCTTACATGGAGGGAATGTCCTGGGAGACTTACAGTTTCTTCTACCATGAATAACCTCACCCTTGAAGTTGGAGCCCTCTTGACCCATACCTGGGGTTCAGACCCAGAAGCAGCATCCCCGGGCCTTGTTCCTGACCTGGGATCCCGCAGGATGGAATTTAGGCCCCACCCTGTGGCCCTGGAGGAGGTAGTCCCATGCCCTCCTTGGGCATGAAGCTGACTTTGATTTTGATCCTGGCCTGAGCCTAGGGCCAGCGTGCAACAGAGCCTAGGAAAGCATCCTTCCCCAAAGATAGAACTCCCAAATGGGCCCAGCCAGCTGAGACCCATGGAGCTGACCTTTCAAAGTGCATTCATGGGGTCCTCCATGGAGAATCCAGTGCCTGAGCCATCACCTACAGCCCCGGCGGTTGATCTTACAGTCCTCTGCAGCCCGGCTTCCAAGCAGAGACCACCAAGGGTTCCCCTAATGAGCAGGGTTCCCTGGTTTTCACTGGTCTCATCTCCCCACAAAACTGTCAGAATGTAAATTGGTGCTTCCAAAGAGCATGAGAACAACGTGTTCTTTGTGGATTCGCCATCCTGTGCAGTCTCACTTGCTGCAAGTGCTTGGGAAACCTCTCTTGCATAGGGCAGAGGATGTCAGCCCCATTACTGTGGGTTTCACAGATGTGAGGGCCAAGCTGGAGGGTTTTCTCTCATGTCCATGAGGAGAGATGTGCTGGGTAGGCAGGCTTGGCATGAATCCTGTCTCTGAGCTCCTTCCTGGGTCTGCCTGCAGGGACAGGGCCACAGCCACCTGTCCTGGCTTCTCTCTCCTTCTGCCAGCCACTGTAATTTGCCTCCTCACTTGTTGGCCTCCTTCTCTACCCCTTCCTTCCATGGTCTTGAACCCAGGAACAAACCCCCTGCCCTTACCTCCAACTCAGCTCTAGAATCATCTGACAGACCCCTGAGCCAGTCCATGGGCTCAGGCAGTGAGATGGCCCTGGTCCTCGACCTGCAACATGCCTCACCCCATGCCTCTGGTACCTGCCTACTCCAGGCAGCAGGTTAGGGGCCAGGTAGGGTTGGTGGCCCTCTTCCTCCTGAGGCCCCACCCACTATACATCATCCCTTCATGGTGAGGGAGACTTCAGCCCTCAATGCCACCTTCATCTTGGCTGGTGCCACCTGGGACCTGCTGGGCTGTAGCCACAAGAGGCTGAGCAAAAGGTGAGTGCCTCCCACAAGGACGACCAAGGGGATGTGGACACCACAGAGTGGGAGAAGGCTCTGAGGGAGGCCCTTCAGCCCTGCTTCACCTCCTCACTTTCCCCACTTGGAATTTTCAAACAGTTTCTGCTCTTCTGTGATTTCCTAATGCACATTCCTCACCAAGTTACTCCTTTGTCTGGCCACCCACCATCTCTCCATCTGTCCTTCTGTCTGTGTTTCCATCCATGCACTCGTTGGCCCAACAAACACCTGCTGACAACCCAGGAGCCAGGTGTAGGACCAGGTGCAGGGGTACAGGCAAGTCCCTTTTGTCAGCTGGGTGTCCTGGAACCAAGGGAATGAGGCCAGGGCTGGTACAGAGGGGCTGAGTTGCAGCAGAAGACCCAGTCCCTGAGCTGCAGCACAGAGTGGAGGTAGTGGGGAGCTGTCACCTGGGTATGCCACCCTTTCCCCTGTGCCATCACTCCTGCCATCCTCCTCAGCTGGGGTGTCCTGCCCAATCCGTCCATGCAAGGCCATGTCAGAGCTCATCACGCTAATTGCACACATGGCCAGCCAAACCAAAACTCCTTCAGAGCCTTCTGGGCCTCTCCCAGCCCCTGGTGTTTCTCCCTCACCAGGGAGCAGCACCTTTTGCCAGTGACTCATCTGGCAGGTATCTCAAGTCAGCCCTTGCCTGGCCTGGCACCTTGCTGTGGTCTGAATGGGCTCAACTGGCTGAAAGTATTATCAATAGAAAGGAATGTTCAGGTTCTTCAATTTTAGAGTGCCCTGGCCTAGAAGAAAGCCCATTCAGATGGTTCAGGGACCTTAGAATTTAATTTTTTGTTTACAGGCTGATGTATTTTCTCCCTAAAATATATAGAAGCAAGCTGTATCCTGACCACCTTGGGCACATGCTGTCAGGACCTCCTGAGGCAGTGTCATGGGCATGTCCTTAAACTAGGCAGAACAAACTTTCTTAATTAACTGAGACCTGTCTCAGATGTTTTTGGAAGTGGAGGTCAGATATGCCTCATTTTATGTCTCCACAGAACTTAAGTCTGATAAGAACTATTTACAACCTGTTATCTTGGAAGCCTGCTACCTGAAGGCTTCATCTGCATGACAGAAACTTGGTCTCCACAAGCTCTTGTCACAATGCAGACATTCCTTTCTATTGACAACTCTTTCAACCAATTGTCAATCAGAAAAATTTTAAATCTACTTATAACCTGGAAACCCCTGCTTTGAGTGGTTCTGGCTTTCTGGACAAAACCAATGTATTTTTTAAAAATGTATTTGACTGAAGTCTCATATCTCCCTAAAATGTACAAAACTAAGATGCACTGTGACCACCTTGGGCACATGTTCTCAGGGTCTTCTGAGGGCTGTGTCATGGACCATGGTCATTCATATTTGGCTCAGAACAAATCTCTTCACATACTGTACAGATTTTGACAGTTTGTTTGTTTGTTTGTTTGTTTGTTTGTTTGTTTGTTTTTTGAGATAGAGTCTTGCTCTGTTGCCCAGGCTGGAGTGCAATGGCAAAATCTCAGGTCACTGCAACCTCCACCTCCTGGGTTCAAGCGATTCTCCTGCCTCAGTCTCTGCAGTAGCTAAGATTACAGGTGCCCACCACCAAGCTGGGCTAATTTTTGTATTTTAGTAGGGACGGGGTTTCACCATGTTGGCCAGGCTGTTGTCGAACTCCTGACCTCAGGTGATCTACCCGCCTCAGCCTCCCAAAGTGCTGGGATTACAGGCATGAGCCACTGTGCCTGACTGGCTTTGACTGTTTTCATTGACAAATCAATACATATAAGATTTGCACTGGTTTGATCTCAGGGTGCAAAGTGGGGGCTTCCAGGTCATAGGTAGATTTAAACATACCCTGATTGGCAATTGGTTGAAAGAGTTATTATCAATAGAAAGGAATGTCTGGGGTAAGATAAGGGGTTGTGGAGACTAAAGTTTTATTATGCAGATGAAGCCTCCAGGTAGCAGGGTTCAGAGAGAATAGATCGGAAAGAAACCTAAGATCTGAAAATCTGTGTTGATGTTAATGCTGGTTGGCTTTTCCTGAATTCTGAAAGGGAAGAGGGCATAATGAGGCATATCCAAACCTCCCTTCCCATCATGGCCCAAACCAATTTTCAGGTTAACTTTGGAATGCCCTGGTCCAGAGGAAGGGTCCATTCAGATGATCAGGACATCTTCAGAATTTTATTTTTGGTTTACATAACTTAGGAATGAGGATTAAACTCTGACCTTTTTTTCTTCTCTTGCCCAGATTTCTATCTAATGTGTCCGGGGAATCATGCTCTATAAACCATAAAATCTTGTTAGACAGTTTTTTGTTTTTTTAGGTTAACGCTGTATAATGTGGCTTACTTTCCAACCTGACTCTGGTATGGCATCATACGACAGCAGACTCTGAAGGAAAATGAAAGTATTTTACTCCAAAATATATTTTTTGACATATTTTGAAATGGCTGTCACAGGGCCAACACATTAAAATGGCCCTGCAAGGATTTCTTTTGTGGAGGAAATTTTGCACATGGAGAGAATCTCCATTAATGCAGTCAGGCCTTCCTTTTCTAGGCCTTTCCTGGATCTAGGAGAGATTAACTGAGAGTCTGACACCTTTAATGTCTGAAAAGAGACATTCACCATCTATTCTCTTGGAGGGCTACCACCTAAGAGCCTTCATCCCCATAACAAGGGCCTTGGCCCCCACAAGTCACTAGACATTCCTTTCTAGTGATTTCAGGTTTTACAAATAGCTGAAATGTGCCCCTGGGTGACAAGGGGCCAATTGGGAGTGTCTGGGGGTGACTCCCCATGACGTGCAGTGGCCCTAGAGGAAATCCCTTAACAAAATTAATTAAAAGAAGGCTCATCCAGGAAACACATATAAAAGAGCTGTTTACTCAGTGTTTTATGCCCTCTTGGAGATAATAGACCGCTGAAGAGAGACACGTAAGGGGGCGGAAATAACTCAATGGTGAAATGCTATGGAGTCCTGACCACAATCGGCACACTCTGTTCTGACACAGTAAACCCTAGGGCACAGTTTGTTCTTCCTTTTTAAGAAAAATGGGAAATAAATCCTCTAAAAAGGAGGAAAAGCAAGGAGAGTGGCCCCCTTTGGGCATCTCAGTTGGCTTTATGTTTGGTAATTATGGCACTACTACTTGCAAGTATTTATATAAATGGGAAGATCTTACTAAGGATGACCTAGGTCTAAGGTTTCCAAAACAGTTGATATTTCCAAATTGGTTTTCTTGCATACTAAATTAAAGAAATTAGGCTCCCAAATCAAGGAAAATGAATGATAGCTGTATTTTAGCTGGTACTTAGAATCATCCAAAAGAGAGAATGATAAGCCTCCCTCCAGGAAGTTAATAAGAAAATAATTGAGACTGTCTTGGAATTAAAGAAATTAGCAGAAACCGGCCTGCGACCCTTTAGTTTCTTGCTACTGGGAACCCACGTGCATGTCACAAAAAATCAATAAACTTTTAAAGGTGAATGTTGTCCAGATTGCATGACCGTCCCCATACCAGTCCCGAGAGGAGGCACTTAGGCCCACTGCAATGTTCCTGAAGGAGGAAGTGACTTGGCCAAGGTCGCACAGCTCTTCTGAAGTCCTGGGACTTATCAGATCTCTTTCCAGAGGCTGCATGGCAACAGCTTGGGAACCCGCCACAAGTGAGATTTCTCGAACGTGCTGCGTGGGCTGCCAGGAGATTGGCCTTCTGGACCAAGACCCCAGACGGAGAGGACTTGAATATCATGTTCCCCTCAGCCGCTGGCATGTCTGCCTTCGAGGTGCCCAGACCCGCTCTGCTTGGTGAATTGTGAATTATTACAAGTAAGCACTGTACCAACTATGTCAGAAAAAAAGATCACTGTGTGTGCTCCAGTACTCCAGTAGTTGAAACCAGCCTTGTGCTCCAGATTCCCACCCATCAGGAGGGTCCACTGATGAGCAAACCTAGAATATGTGGAACGCTTTTTAGGGGATGGAGACAAGCTAATTCACTGAGCACCTGCTTTGTGCCCAGTCCGACACCATGACTGGAGTGAGATGTGGAGCCAAGCTAGGCTGAAGGGTGCTTATCATCTGGCTGGAGGCATCTACAAAGGAGAATAGTAAAGGATATTTTCCTGGGAAGTAATGCACACATTCTGAAATCTACCCCTGGGCTTTTATGGTTCTGAATGTCTCCTTTTTGCTACATCCAGAAAAGACCTTGCAGATCATTGATTCTAACTCTTGAATTTATAAAGAAGAAAAAACTAGTGCCCAACTAAGGGAAGGATCTTGCCAAAAGTCACACAGTAGGTAAGTGGCAAAGCTCATACTGCCTCACCTACTGAGAAGGTTCGGCCTTTAGGACAGAGCTGCTGTGCACCCAATGAGAGAAAATTGTATCCAGTGGTCCAGGGTGGGTACGTTTGAGGGTGTGGGTTAAAAGGAACATTCCATAGCCCCAGATATTTTCTTCCTAAGAAATGTGATGAGAGGGGCTCAAAAATGTCCACTGGAAAGATTTTTATTTTATTTTTTTCAATAATAACTTTCATATTAGAAAAGCTGCCGGACATGCCTGTAATCTCAGTGTTCTGGGAGGCTGAGGCGGGAGGATTGCTTGAGCTCAGGAGTTCCAGATGAGCCTGGGCAACCTAGTGGGACCTCATCTCTACAAAAGATTTTAAAAATTAGCCAAGCATGGTGACACGTACCTGTGGTCCCAACTACTTGGGGGGCTGAGGTGGGAAGATAGCTTGAGCTTGGGTGGTTGAAACTGCAGTGAGGCGGGATGGCACCACTGCACCCCAGCTGAGGTGACAGAGCAAGATTCTGTCTTAAAAAAAAAGCAATAAGTATTTGTTGCTAGACTGGGCAAAGGTACAATAATGTAAAGTATGCCCAACTCAAACTGTACTTGATTTTTACATCATGTTTGAAAAAACATTCAAATATTTAGGGACCCTTCTGAAAACTTTGAGCATGGTGGAAGTGATGCGTTACTAAATTCTAGATTTGCACAAGGCTTAGATGATGAGTTAGTGACTTCAATAAAGTGAAATAATGTGGCTGGGGCTTCTTTGCCCACTAGTCATCAAGTCCCCACAGCTGACCAGTTGTCACAAATGATCACCGAGAAGGAAAAGGAAACATCCTTTAAGGTCATGAGTTCACAGCAAAAACAACTTAGTAACAAAGTAGGAAAGTTGTAAGTGTTCCGTTTTCTGTTCCTCACAGAGATCGCAAAAAGACAAAAAAAGCAATGTGCCACTATTGCAAGAAGAAAGGACATCTTAGAAAGGATTGCATGAAACACAAACAGGTGCTTGCACAACGGGAGAAGACTCCAGAGTAAGGCACCAAAATAACTGAAAAATTAGAATGAAGATGCTCTGAGGGAATAGAGAGGGTTTTCCCTCTACTTTTAACAAACAAGGAGAAGTAGAAATATCCACAAATAGGGAGAATACTAGAGCCCTTATAGACAACGGCAGCTACACTGTCAGTCCTCAACCCTATCTTGTTTAAAAACCCTCTCCCTTGGGGTCACATAAAAGTGCAAATGGCAGAGATTTTGAACTCCCAAGTTATAGCTTTTCCATCTAATCTTCTTCTTTTTCAACTAGAACTAATGGGGCATCTTTTTTTGTAGTAGAGAGTGTGCCCATATACCTGCTGGCACAGGATTTCCCAGATACCCAAAATGCCCACATGTCATTTTCGCAGAAGGGACATATGATTCTCAACTTGGAAAACACAGAAGACTTACAAAAGCTCATGTGTGATATTATGCTTGCCAAAGTCAATAAAGAATTTGAACAGGGGTAATTAGAGTCTTATCCAATTTACCAGATTCTTTATGGGCAATTTCTTCCATGGATATCAGGAGAATTAAGTCAGCAGTACCCATAGAGATAACCACAGATAAACTTAAACCTCTGCCAAACATTAAGCAATATCCCCTTAGACCTGAAGCCTTACTGGGAATCAAACCATTCATGTAGGACTATTTAGACAAAGGACTTGAAGCAGTCCTGGCAGTACACCAATCCTCCCAGTTAAAAAGCCAAATGGAAAAAGCTGGAGATTCGTTCAGGAGTTAAGAGCTATACACTAATAATACACTAATAATTCCTAGAAATCCTGTTGTTCCTAACCCCCACACCTTGCGGTCTAATGTTCCTATCACTGCCAGCCACTTCTCTGCCACTGGCATATGTGATGCTTTCTCCAGCTTACCTGTAGAGCAGAACAGCCAATATCTTTTTGCCTTTGCTTGAGAAAATCACCAGTACACATGGACAATCTTGCTTCAGGATATTCCAAGTGTCCTACTTACTTTTCTCAAATATTAAAGACATTTACATGATATCAAATTTTCTAGCAGAACTATCCTGGTCAATATGTGGATGATTTGTCACTTTCATCCTCCTTGACAACATGCAGAGAAGACATTGTCCACTTGTCACAACAGCTTGCTTTAAGGGACAAAGATTGTCCAGAGATAAATTGCAATTTTCTCTCTCTCAAGTTAAATATTTGGGACATGTGATTTCCAGTAGTGGGCTACTAGTAAGCCCTGATGGAGCCTCTGTTGTTATGACATTTCCTGTGCCCAAAACAAAAAGACAATCAAGAGGGTTCTTAGAGTTAACAACCCATTATGGAAGCTGGATTTGGGATTACTCATTCATGACTCAGCCCTTTCATAAAAAATGAAAACAGACCCACTGGACCAAATCTGCTGGGAAGAAAGGGGAACACAACACATAGAGGATCTAAGGAAGGCTCCCACCTGAGTGCCAGCATTAAGCTTCCCAGGCTTCTGTTTTCTATTTCTATTTCTGTACACACAATTAATAGAAATGTATTTCTATTTCTGTACACACAATTAATGGAAATGCTCTAGGAGTATTTTTTTTATTATTATTATACTTTAAGTTTTAGGGTACATGTGCACAATGTGCAGGTTAGTTACATATGTATACATGTGCCATGCTGGTGCGTTGCACCCACTAACTCATCATCTAGCATTAGGTATATTTTCCAATGCTATCCCTCCCCCCTCCCCCCACCCCACAACAGTCCCCAGAGTGTGATGTTCCCCTTCCTGTGTCCATGTGTTCTCATTGTTCATTTCCCACCTATGAGTGAGAATATGTGGTGTTTGGTTTTTTGTTCTTGCGATAGTTTACTGAGAATGATGATTTCCAATTTCATCCATGTCCCTACAAAGGACATGAACTCATCATTTTTTATGGCTGCATAGTATTCCATGGTGTATATGTGCCACGTTTTCTTAATCCAGTCTATCATTGTTGGACATTTGGGTTGGTTCCAAGTCTTTGCTATTGTGAATAATGCCACAATAAACATACATGTGCATGTGTCTTTATAGCAGCATGATTTATAGTCCTTTGGGTATATACCCAGTAATGGGATGGCTGGGTCAAATGGTATTTCTAGTTCTAGATCCCTGAGGAATCGCCACACTGACTTCCACAATGGTTGAACTAGTTTACAGTCCCACCAACGGTGTAAAAGTGTTCCTATTTCTCCACATCCTCTCCAGCACCTGTTGTTTCCTGACTTTTTAATGATTGCCGTTCTAACTGGTGTGAGATGATATCTCATTGTGGTTTTGATTTGCATTTCTCTGATGGCCAGTGATGATGAGCATTTTTTCATGTGTTTTTTGGCTGCATAAATGTCTTCTTTTGAGAAGTGTCTGTTCATGTCCTTCGCCCACTTTTTGATGGGGTTTTTTGTTTTTTTCTTGTAAATTTGTTTGAGTTCATTGTAGATTCTGGATATTAGCCCTTAGTCAGATGAGTAGGTTGTGAAAATTTTCTCCCATTTTGTGGGTTGCCTGTTCACTCTGATGGTAGTTTCTTTTGCTGTGCAGAAGCTCTTTAGTTTAATTAGATCCCATTTGTCAATTTTGGCTTTTGTTGCCATTGCTTTTGATGTTTTAGACATGAAGTCCTTGCCCATGCTTATGTCCTGAATGGTAATGCTTAGGTGTTCTTCTAGGGTTTTTATGGTTTTAGGTCTAACGTTTAAGTCTTTAATCCATCTTGAATTAATTTTTGTATAAGGTGTAAGGAAGGGATCCAGTTTCAGCTTTCTACATATGGCTAGCCAGTTTTCCCAGCACCATTTATTAAATAGGGAATCCTTTCCCCATTGCTTGTTTTTCTCAGGTTTGTCAAAGATCAGATAGTTGTAGATATGTGGCGTTATTTCTGAGGGCTCTGTTCTGTTCCATTGATCTATATCTCTGTTTTGGTACCAGTACCATGCTGTTTTGGTTACTGTAGCCTTGTAGTATAGTTTGAAGTCAGGTAGTGTGATGCCTCCAGCTTTGTTCTTTTGGCTTAGGATTGACTTGGTGATGCGGGCTCTTTTTTGGTTCCATATGAACTTTAAAGTATTTTTTTCCAATTCTGTGAAGAAAGTCATTGGTAGCTTGATGGGGATGGCATTGAATCTATAAATTACCTTGGGCAGTATGGCCATTTTCACGATATTGATTCTTCCTACCCATGAGCATGGAATGTTCTTCCATTAGTTTGTATCCTCTTTTATTTCCTTGAGCAGTGGTTTGTAGTTCTCCTTGAAGAGGTCCTTCACATCCCTTGTAAGTTGGATTCCTAGGTATTTTATTCTCTTTGAATCAATTGTGAATGGGAGTTCACTCATGATTTGGCTCTCTGTTTGTCTATTGTTGGTGTATAAGAATGCTTGTGATTTTTGTACATTGATTTTGTATCCTGAGACTTTGCTGAAGTTGCTTATCAGCTTAAGGAGATTTTGGGCTGAGACAATGGGGTTTTCTAGATGTACAATCATGTCGTCTGCAAACAGGGACAATTTGACTTCTTCTTTTCCTAATTGAATACCCTTTATTTCCTTCTCCTGCCTGATTGCCCTGGCCAGAACTTCCAACACTCTGTTGAATAGGAGTGGTGAGAGAGGGCATCCCTCTCTTGTGCCAGCTTTCAAAGGGAATGCTTCCAGTTTTTGCCCATTCAGTATGATATTGGCTGTAGGTTTGTCATAGATAGCTCTTATTATTTTGAAATACGTCCCATCAATACCTACTTTATTGAGTTTTTAGCATGAAGGGTTGTTGAATTTTGTCAAAGGCTTTTTCTGCATCTATTGAGATAATCATGTGGTTTTTGTCTTCGGTTCTGTTTATATGCTGGATTACATTTATTGATTTGCGTATATTGAACCAGCCTTGCATCCCAGGGATGAAGCCCACTTGATCATGGTGGATAAGCTTTTTGATGTGCTGCTGGATTTGTTTTGCCAATATTTTATTGAGGATTTTTGCATTAATGTTCATCAAGGATATTGGTCTAAAATTCTCTTTTTTCTTGTGTCTTTGCCCAGCTTTGGTATCAGGATGATGCTGGCCTCATAAAATGAGTTAGGGAGGATTCCCTCTTTTTCTATTGATTGGAATAGTTTCACAAGGAATGGTACCAGTTCCTCCTTGTACCTCTGGTAGAATTCGGCTGTGAATCCATCTGGTCCTGGACTCTTTTTGGTTGGTAAGCTATTGATTATTGCCACAATTTCAGATCCTGTTATTGGTCTATTCAGAGATTCAACTTTTTCCTGGTTTAGTCTTGGGAGAGTGTATGTGTCGAGGAATTTATCCATTTCTTCTAGATTTTCTAGTTTATTTGCGTAGAGGTGTTTGTAGTGTTCTCCGATGGTAGTTTGTATTTCTGTGGGATCAGTGGTGATATCCCCTTTATCATTTTTTATTGCATCTATTTGATTCTTCTCTCTTTTCTTCTCCACAACACAAACATCTCTTTCTCAAATGCCAAATATCATGTCCCATCAGGGTGGATATTAGGAGCCAAATATGGGAGAAATTGGGATTCCAAGTGGTTTGAATCATAACCATTCTCATTTTCTATTCTCACAAACTGAGCAGTAAATAGGACATCATATGTTTTTCTTAACCAAAGCAGCCCACCAGGTTCCCATAGGAGTATCCTTATATTATTTACAATGTTCCCAATGCCTGCCTTATCCAACTTTGAGGCCTGTTCTTTAAGAATAGTGGTCTGAGGTCACATTTACCATCTGAAACTCATATAAATTTTTGGGACCATATACCTTCCATCAGTGTTTGAACGGTGCCTCGGCCAGGAGAACTGCAAGCCTTCGCTTTATAGCCACCTCAAATTCTATTTGTAATAACATGGATGTGAAACCTTGTTGGGTGAGAGCACACACCCATTCCCAACTTTGGGTTTGGAGGTATGTTGTCATGATTTGTCTGGTTTCTTCTATCCATTTGATGATTGCTGCATCACCTTTCAGGGCAGCTTCCCATCTCTTTCCCTCTTCTTGGGAAAACATTCCCTTCATGTGGCCTATTTTTGAAAGGGAATTTTTCTCAAAGTAATGCCTCCCTTCATTAGCCACAAATTCAGCTTGTCCAAGTATACTTAGCCCAGCTCCAATTCATTCAATGATGTCACGTTTTGGCCTTTTGGATGGCCAAGTTTGAGGTATCCACCAGGAATTTTGTTGCTATTGTATCCTGATGGCATCAGTGTAATTTGAATAAATGAAGTCAACCCAGAATCATAGGGTATCCCAAATGATTGTCAGGAGAGTGGAGATTACATCTAAGCATGCCCTTATCTGGGTAATTACCAGAGGTGCCTACCAGAGGTGCCCTGGCATTTAGGGTAGAATTTGTACTGTCAGAGACTTCTAACCACCAACTGACTCCCATAATAGTACTTTAAGAGCAGTGTCACTGTGTCTGGTGCTAGATAGGGCATCCAGCCACAGGCACAGGGCTGGTGGTCATTTGGTCAGGCTATGCTGCAGCAGTTCACACAGAAGGCAGCTAGGTTTCTTCCATCATACCCAGGCAATTGTCTAAGCTTGTCATCACCAATATCTGTTGTTATATGATGTTCTATCTTTGTTAAGTAAATATTCCTGCAGGGCATTATATTTGGTAAGAACCTTATAATAGAGACACCCTGAAAAGGGAGGGCCCTCAGGGAATGTTTAGGGTTGAACTGTTCCATTTAGCAGCCTTTCTTTCATCCTGATATATGCCATACAAAAAAAAATGTGAGCTCTGTCTGCAGGAAAATTGGTGAGGTTTGCAGGGAACTGGGAGAAGTCTTTAGGTTTGAAGAGAAAAGGAGTGTGAGATAGGCAGATAAAAGAGATTATGGGAATGAGAGTGATCAGGTAAAACATTATTTTCTGCTTTTTAACAGGGGAATTCATAACCACACCCATTTAGAAAGATATACCAAGGGAGATTCTATAGATCTCAAATAACCTCTCAGGGGTCTTGGTTAAAACATTCGGGGTTTTCAACAAAATATTCTATAGCAAGGAAAGCAAGCATGAGAGTTACTGCAGGGTTCATGAGGACAGGCATGAATTCTCTGGAAAAATGTCTGCTTTGGTTGTTGCTCTGGAGAACGGCTGAACCTCAGCTGTTTTCTAAAATCACAAGTGGGTGTCAGAGGCCGGTTCAGAAGTCCAGGTGTAGTCAGAAATATGATTGGATGCCCATGATAGGTGTGAGATGTAAATCCAAGAAGCAACTCCCGTTAGTTTTTCAGCACAAGAGTAAGTTGCAAACACCTGGTAAGGTCCTTTCCAGCGAGGCTATAGGAAGCCTTTCAGTTGTTGTCTTTCCAGTACACAAAGTCAACTGGGTGTGATCTGAGATCCTTGGAGTCCTTGGCTCCCAGGAGCTCATAGTGGAAAGGTTCTGTTACCAACTTTGTGTTTTTTTAAGTTTTAAGAAATCCTTGGCTATAATGCAGTATTTTTTCCCTTGGGTAAAACTGGCTCATGTAAGCCCTTGTCCAGCCTCATAGGTCTTCCTGTTATTATTGCATAAGGTGATAAACAATGTTTTCCAAATGGAGTGGATCTAAGTTTAAGCAAGATCAGTGGGAGGACTTTTGGCCAAGGGAGCTTAAAAGCCTCTGTTAACTTAGCTAATTGAGTTTTTATTGTGCCATTTGTCCCTTCTGCCAACCCACAGAATTGGGGATGATAGGCACAAAGGAAATCTTGTATTATGGGCTAGATTTTGCGAATGGATTGAACAACTTGTCCAGTACAATGAGTCCCATGATCACTGTGTAGTTCAGAAGGGATTTTCCAAACCAGAATTATTCTCTCTGGTGGTATTTTGCCTACTGTTAAGGCAACAGCCCTCCAACTAGGAAATGCTTCTACCCGGTGAGGAAACATACAAACCAAGACCAGCACACATTGATAACTTGGAGATGGTGGCATCTGGATGAAATCCAATTGCTGTAATTCAAAGGCTCTTGTTGGCAAAAGACAGTGACCTTGGGAGCCATGTAAGGGCTTTCTAGGGTTATGCTTTCAGCATATATTACCCATATATAGAACATACATTTTGGGCCACAATGGGGTATGATTTCCAGAAGTATTTCCCCATAATGTCATTTTCTCAGGGCCCAGTGAATCTTTTCATGAAAAAAATTGAAGGAGGGGGAATTGTACACCTTTGGGAACCATGTGGTTTTTGTTAGGGCCTAGCCACAATTCTCTGCTTCTGTTAAACATGCCTCCCTTTTGCTGCCAGATTTGTTTCTCCTGAGGAATTGATGCCCACTGGTATTGTAAAAGAATGTTAGTGAGGGTACTAGCAGGATGGAGGGTGCATGCTTATGTAAGACAGGCCATCATCCCTAGGACAGCATTCTTTGCTGCAGCATCAGCTAGATTATTTCTTTTTGTTTCTTCAGTATTATTTGTTTTGGTGTCCAGGGATTTTTACCACTGTGAGCTGCTTTGGCGTTTGAACTGTTTCTAATAGTTCCAAGACTCAGTACATGTTTATGTAGGTTACCCCGGTGAAGTGAGAAAGACTTCTGTTTCCATAGCATGTAGAAATCATGGGCTACTCCAAAAGCATATGGGCTATCAGTGTATATATTTGCCACCCTTCCTTCAACCAATTGGTAAGCTCCAGTTAATACTATTAATTCAGCCATCTGGACTGATTTTACTCCTTGGAGTTAGTGCTTTTGATTATGTCTACTGTGAAAGTGATGGAATATCCTGCTAACTTATGCCTCTGATTGTCTTAATTTAAAAATCTGCGAACCAAATTAATTCCGTATTCTCCACAGAAGTGTCACGTAAATCTTCCCTAGGGGAGAGTAAGATATTTGTTTTGGAGAGTAGCTGTGCTCTTATTGTTGTTCACCTGAAAAAATGGAGCAGGTTAATAGTGTTATAGCGCTTCAAAGTGATGTTAGGGACAGAAAGCAGGAATGCCTCATAAGAGGCGAGGTGGCTGACCAAACAATGTTCAATGTGGTGAGAGCTTAGGAGAGATTCCACAGTTGTAGGGGGTGCAGAAGATTAGTGGGGACCGTAGAACAAATTCTTCAGCATCCTTGGATAAGAAGCCTGCAGCTGGCTTGACCTTCATGCAAGGGGGCATCCTCTTGATACCAGACCTAATTGTTGGCTGAAATAAGCAATTGGCCTATGATTGTTCCCATGTTTTAGAGTTAATACTCCTAGAGCATTTAAAGTTAAAATTGTTATGTGTGAATTTGATCCTGTCATTATGATGTTAGCTGGTTATTTTGCTCGTTAGTTGATACAGTTTCTTCCTAGTCTCGATGGTCTTTACATTTTGGCATGATTTTGCAGCAGCTGGTACCGGTTGTTCCTTTCCATGTTTAACACTTCCTTCAGGAGCTCTTTTAGGGCAGGCCTGGTGGTGACAAAATCTCTCAGCATTTGCTTGTCTGTAAAGGATTTTATTTCTCCTTCACTTATGAAGCTTAATTTGGCTGGATATGAAATTCTGGGTTGAAAATTCTTTTCTTTAAGAATGTTGAATATTGGCCCCCACTCTCTTCTGGCTTATAGAATTTCTGCCAAGAGATCCGCTGTTAGTCTGATGAGCTTCCCTTTGTGGGTAACCCGACCTTTCTCTCTGGCTGCCCTTAACATTTTCTCCTTCATTTCAACCTTGGTGAATCTGACAATTATGTGTCTTGGAGTTTCTCTTCTCGAGGAGTGTCTTTGTGGCATTCTCTGTATTTCCTGAATCTGAATGTTGGCCTGCATTTCTAGATTGGGGAAGTTCTCCTGGATAATATCCTGTAGAGTGTTTTCCAACTTGGTTCCCCGTCACTTTCAGGTACACCAATTAGACGTAGATTTGGTCTTTTCACATAGTCCCATATTTCTTGGAGGCTTTGTTTGTTTCTTTTTATTCTTTTTTTCTCTAAACTTCCCTTCTCGCTTCATTTCATTCATTTCATCTTCCATCACTGATACTCTTTCTTCCAGTTGCTCGCATAAGCTCCTCAGGCTTCTGCATTCTTCACGTAGTTCTCGAGCCTTGGTTTTCAGCTCCATCAGCTCCTTTAAGCACTTCTCTGTATTGGTTATTCTAGTTATACATTCCTCTAAATTTTTTTCTAAGTTTTCAACTTCTTTGCTATTGGTTTGAATGTCCTCCCATAGCTCAGAGTAATTTGATCATCTGAAACCTTCTTCTCTCAGCTCGTCAAAGTCATTTTCCATCCAGCTTTGTTCCATTTCTGGTGAGGAACTGCATTCCTTTGGAGGAGGACAGATGCTCTGCTTTTTAGAGTTTCCAGTTTTTCTGCTCTGTTTTTTTCCCATCTTTGTGGTTTTATCTACTTTGGTCTTTGATGATGGTGAGGTACAAATGGGTTTTTGGTGTGGATGTCCTTTCTGTTTGTTAGTTTTCTTTCTCACAGACAGGACCCTCAGCTGCAGGTCTGTTGGAGTACCCGGCCATGTGAGGTGTCAGTCTGCCCCTGATGGGGGTGCCTCCCAGTTAGGCTGCTTGGGAATTAAAAGACACAGACTGGCAAGTTGGATAAAGAGTCAAGACCCATCAGTGTGCTGTATTCAGGAAACCATCTCACCTGCAGAGACACATATAGGCTCAAAATAAAAGGATGGAGGAAGATCTCCCAAGCAAATGGAAAACAAAAAAAGGCAGGGGTTGCAATCCTAGTCTCTGATAAAACAGACTTTAAACCAACAAAGATCAAAAGAGACAAAGAAGGCCATTACATAATGATAAAGGGATCAATTCAACAAGAAGAGCTAACTATCCTAAATATATATGCACCCAACACAGGAGCACAGAGATTCATAAAGCAAGTCCTGAGTGACCAACAAAGAGACTTAGACTCCCACATATTAAAAATGGGAGACTTTAACACCCCACTGTCAACATTAGACAGATCAACGAGACAGAAAGTCAATAAGAATACCCAGGAATTGAGCTCAGCTCTGCACCAAGCGGACCTAAAAGACATCTACAGAACTCTCTACCCCAAATCAACAGATTATACAATTTTTTCAGCACTACACCACACTATTCCAAAATTGACCACATAGTTGGAAGTAAAGCACTCCTCAGCAAATTTACAATAACAGAAATTATAACAAACTATCTCTCAGACCACAGTGCAATCAAACTAGAACTCAGGATTAAGAAACTCACTCAAAACCGCTCAACTACATGGAAACTGAACAACCTGCTCCTGAATGACTACTGGGTACATAACGAAATGAAGGCAGAAATAAAGATGCTTTTTGAAACCAATGAGAACAAAGACACAACATACCAGAATCTCTGGGATGCATTCAAAGCAGTGTGTAGAGGGAAATTTATAGCACTAAATGCTCACAAGACAAAGCAGGAAAGATCCAAAATTGACACCCTAACATCACAATTTAAAGAACTAGGAAAGCAAGAGCAAACACATTCAAAAGTTAGCAGAAGGCAAGAAATAACTAAAATCAGAGCAGAACTGAAGGAACTAGAGACACAAAAAACCCTTCAAAAAATTAATGAATCCAGGAGCTGGTTTTTTGAAAGGATCAACAAAATTGATAGACCGTTAGCAAGATTAATAAAGAAAAAAAGAGAGAAGAATCAAATAGATACAATAAAAAATGATAAAGGGGATATCAAACCTGCTCTATCAAATGGAATGTTCAACTCGGTAACTTGAAAGCAATCATTACAAGGAAGTTACTGAGAATCTTTCTGTGTAGATTTTATATGAAGATATTCCCGTTTCCAAGGAAATCGTGAAAGCTATCCAAATATCCACTTGCAGGTTCTTCAAAAAGAGTGTTTCAAAACAGCTCTATCAAAAGAAAGGCTCAACTCTGTTAGTTGAGTACACACATCACAAACTAGTTTCTGAGTATTCTTCTGTCTAGTTTTCATGGGAAAATATTTCCATTTTCACCATAGGCCTCAAAGCGCTCCAAATGTCCACTTCCAGAAACTACAAAAAGTGTATTTCAAACCTTCTGTATGAAATGTAATGTTCAACTCTGTGACTTGAATGCAAACAGCAGTAGGAAGTTTCTGAGAATCCTTCTGTGTAGATTTTATGTGAAGATATTCCCGTTTCTAACGAAATCGTTAAAGCTATCCAAATATGCACTTGCAGGTTCTACAGAAAGAGTGTTTCAAAACAGTTCTATCAAAAGAAAGGTTCAACTCTGTTAGTTGAGTTCACATATCCGAAACGAGTTTCTGAGAATTCTTCTGTCTAGTTAATTTGGGAAGATATTACCATTTTCACTGAAGGTCTCAAAGCACTCCAAATATCCTCTTCCAGATACCACAGAAAGAGTGTTTCAAACCAGCTCTAAGAAATGGAATGTTCAACTCTGTGACTTGAATGAAAACATCACTAAGAAGTTTCTGAGAATGCTTCTGTCTAGATTTTACAAGATAATCCCGTTTCCAACGAAATGCTCAAAGCTATCCAAATATCCACTTGCAGATTCTACAAAAAGAGTGTTTCAGAACTGCACAATGAAAAGAAAAGTTCAACTCTGTTAGTTGAGTACACACATCACAAACTAGTTTCTGAGAATTCTTCTCTGTAGTTTTGAGGGGAAGATATTTCCATTTGCACCGTAGGACTCAAAGCGCTGCAAATGTCCAGTTCCAGAAACTTCAAAAAGAGTGTTTCAAACCTGCTCTATGAAATGGAATGTTCAGCTGTGTGACTTCAATGCAAACATCACTAAGAGGTTTCTGAGAATGTTTCGGTCTAGATTTTATCTGAAGATATTCCCGTTTCCAACGAAATCGGTAGAGGTATCCAAATATCCACTTGCAGATTCTGCAAAAAGAGTGTTTCAGAACAGCTCTATCAAAAGAAAGGTTCAACTTTGTTAGTTGAGTACACACATCACAAACAAGTTTCTGAGAATTCTTCTGTGTAGTTTTTAGGGGAAGATATTTCCATTTTCACCATAGGCCTCAAAGTGCTCCAAATGTCCACTTCCAGATATCACAGAAAGAGTGTTTCAAACCTGCTCTATCAAATGGAATGTTCAACTCTGTAACTTGAAAGCAGTCATTACAAGGAAGTTACTGAGAATCTTTCTGTGTAGATTTTATATGAAGATATTCCCGTTTCCAAGGAAATCGTGAAAGCTATCCAAATATCCACTTGCAGGTTCTTCAAAAAGAGTGTTTCAAAACAGCTCTACCAAAAGAAAGGCTCAACTCTGTTAGTTGAGTACACACATCACAAACTAGTTTCTGAGTATTCTTCTGTCTAGTTTTTATGGGAAGATATTTCCATTTTCACCATAGGCCTCAAAGCGCTCCAAATGTCCAGTTCCAGAAACTACAAAAAGTGTGTTTCAAACCTTCTGTATGAAATGTAATGTCCAACTCTGTGACTTGAATGCAAACAGCAGTAGGAAGTTTCTGAGAGTCCTTCTGTGTAGATTTTATGTGAAGATATTCCCGTTTCTAACGAAATCCTTAAAGCTATCCAAATATGCACTTGCAGGTTCTACAGAAAGAGTGTTTCAAAACAGTTCTATCAAAAGAAAGGTTCAACACTGTTAGTTGAGTTCACACATCCGAAACTAGTTTCTGAGAATTCTTCTGTCTAGTTAGTTTGGGAAGATATTTCCATTTTCACCGAAGGTCTCAAAGCGCACCAAATGTCCTCTTCCAGATACCACAGAAAGAGTGTTTCAAACCAACTCTATGAAATGGAATGTTCAACTCTGTGACTTGAATGAAAACATCACTAAGAAGTTTCTGAGAATGCTTCTGTCTAGATTTTACAAGATAATCCCATTTCCAACGAAATGCTCAAAGCTATCCAAATATCCACTTGCAGATTCTACAAAAAGAGTGTTTCAGAACTGCACAATGAAAAGAAAAGTTCAACTCTGTTAGTTGAGTACACACATCACAAACTAGTTTCTGAGAATTCTTCTCTGTAGTTTTGAGGGGAAGATATTTCCATTTGCACCGTAGGACTCAAAGCGCTGCAAATGTCCAGTTCCAGAAACTACAAAAAGAGTGTTTCAAACCTGCTCTATGAAATGGAATGTTCAGCTGTGTGACTTCAATGCAATCATCACTAAGAGGTTTCTGAGAATGTTTCTGTCTAGATTTTATCTGAAGATATTCCGGTTTCCAACGAAATCGGTAGAGGTATCCAAATATGCACTTGCAGATTCTGCAAAAAGAGTGTTTCAGAACAGCTCTATCAAAAGAAAGGTTCAACTTTGTTAGTTGAGTACACACATCACAAACAAGTTTCTGAGAACTCTTCTGTGTAGTTTTTAGGGGAAGATATTTCCATTTTCACCATAGGCCTCAAAGTGCTCCAAATGTCCACTTCCAGATATCACAGAAAGAGTGTTTCAAACCTGCTCTATCAAATGGAATGTTCAACTCTGTAACTTGAAAGCAGTCATTACAAGGAAGTTACTGAGAATCTTTCTGTGTAGATTTTATATGAAGATATTCCCGTTTCCAAGGAAATCGTGAAAGCTATCCAAATATCCACTTGCAGGTTCTTCAAAAAGAGTGTTTCAAAACAGCTCTACCAAAAGAAAGGCTCAACTCTGTTAGTTGAGTACACACATCACAAACTAGTTTCTGAGTATTCTTCTGTCTAGTTTTTATGGGAAGATATTTCCATTTTCACCATAGGCCTCAAAGCGCTCCAAATGTCCAGTTCCAGAAACTACAAAAAGAGTGTTTCAAACTTTCTGTATGAAATGTAATGTCCAACTCTGTGACTTGAATGCAAACAGCAGTAGGAAGTTTCTGAGAGTCCTTCTGTGTAGATTTTATGTGAAGATATTCCCGTTTCTAACGAAATCCTTAAAGCTATCCAAATATGCACTTGCAGGTTTTAGAGAAAGAGTGTTTCAAAACAGTTCTATCAAAAGAAAGGTTCAACTCTGTTAGTTGAGTTCACACATCAGAAACTAGTTTCTGAGAATTCTTCTGTCTAGTTAATTTGGGAGGATATTCCAATTTTCACCAAAGGTCTCAAACCGCTCCAAATGTCCACTTCCAGATACCAAAGAAAGAGTGTTTCAAACCAGCTCTATGAAACGGAAAGTTCAACTCTGTGACTTGAATGAAAACATCACTAAGAAGTTTCTGAGAATGCTTCTGTCTAGATTTTACAAGATAATCCCGTTTCCAACGAAATGCTCAAAGCTATCCAAATATCCACTTGCAGATTCTACAAAAAGAGTGTTTCAGAACTGCACAATGAAAAGAAAAGTTCAACTCTGTTAGTTGAGTACACACATCACAAACTAGTTTCTGAGAATTCTTCTCTGTAGTTTTGAGGGGAAGATATTTCCATTTGCACTGTAGGACTCAAAGCGCTGCAAATGTCCAGTTCCAGAAACTTCAAAAAGAGTGTTTCAAACCTGCTCTATGAAATGGAATGTTCAGCTGTGTGACTTCAATGCAATCATCACTAAGAGGTTTCTGAGAATGTTTCTGTCTAGATTTTATCTGAAGATATTCCGGTTTCCAACGAAATCGGTAGAGGTATCCAAATATGCACTTGCAGATTCTGCAAAAAGAGTGTTTCAGAACAGCTCTATCAAAAGAAAGGTTCAACTTTGTTAGTTGAGTACACACATCACAAACAAGTTTCTGAGAACTCTTCTGTGTAGTTTTTAGGGGAAGATATTTCCATTTTCACCATAGGCCTCAAAGTGCTCCAAATGTCCACTTCCAGATATCACAGAAAGAGTGTTTCAAACCTGCTCTATCAAATGGAATGTTCAACTCTGTAACTTGAAAGCAGTCATTACAAGGAAGTTACTGAGAATCTTTCTGTGTAGATTTTATATGAAGATATTCCCGTTTCCAAGGAAATCGTGAAAGCTATCCAAATATCCACTTGCAGGTTCTTCAAAAAGAGTGTTTCAAAACAGCTCTACCAAAAGAAAGGCTCAACTCTGTTAGTTGAGTACACACATCACAAACTAGTTTCTGAGTATTCTTCTGTCTAGATTTTATGGGAAGATATTTCCATTTTCACCATAGGCCTCAAAGCGCTCCAAATGTCCAGTTCCAGAAACTACAAAAAGTGTGTTTCAAACCTTCTGTATGAAATGTAATGTACAACTCTGTGACTTGAATGAAAACAGCAGTAGGAAGTTTCTGAGAATCCTTCTGTGTAGATTTTATGTGAAGATATTCCCGCTTCTAACGAAATCCTTAAAGCTATCCAAATATGCAGTTGCAGGTTCTACAGAAAGAGTGTTTCAAAACAGTTCTATCAAAAGAAAGGTTCAATTCTGTTGGTTGAGTTCACACATCAGAAACTAGTTTCTGAGAATTCTTCTGTCTAGTTAATTTGGGAGGATATTCCAATTTTCACCGAAGGTCTCAAACCGCTCCAAATGTCCACTTCCAGATACCAAAGAAAGAGTGTTTCAAACCAGCTCTATGAAATGGAATGTTCAACTCTGTGACTTGAAGGAAAACATCACTAAGAAGTTTCTGAGAATGCTTCTGTGTAGATTTTACAAGATAATCCCGTTTCCAACGAAATGCTCAAAGCTATCCAAATATCCACTTGCAGATTCTACAAAAAGAGTGTTTCACAACTGCACAATCAAAAGAAAATTTCAACTGTGTTAGTTGAGTACACACATCACAAACCAGTTTCTGAGAATTCTTCTGTGTAGTTTTGAGGGGAAGATATTTCCATTGGCACCGTAGGCCTCAAAGCGCTGCAAATGTCCAGTTCCAGAAACTGCAAAAAGAGTGTTTCAAATCTGCTGTATGAAATGGAATGTTCAGCTGTGTGACTTCAATGCAAACATCACTAAGAGGTTTCTGAGAATGTTTCTGTCTAGATTTTAGCTGAAGATATTCCCGTTTCCAAAGAAATCGGTAGAGGTATCCAAATATCCACTTGCAGATTCTACAAAAAGAGTGTTTCAGAACAGCTCTATCAAAAGAAAGATTCAACTGTGTTAGTTGAGTACACACATCACAAACAAGTTTCTGAGAATTCTACTGTGTAGTTTTTAGGGGAAGATATTTCCATTTTCACCATAGGCCTCAAAGTGCTCCAAATGTCCACTTCCAGATACCACAGAAAGAGTGTTTCAAACCTGCTCTAACAAATGGAATGTTCAACTTTGTAACTTGAAAACAGTCATTACAAGGAAGTTACTGAGAATCTTTCTGTGTAGATTTTATATGAAGATATTCCCGTTTCCAAGGAAATCGTGAAAGCTATCCAAATATCCACTTGCAGGTTCTTCAAAAAGAGTGTTTCAAAACAGCTCTATCAAAAGAAAGGCTCAACTCTGTTAGTTGAGTACACACATCACAAACTAGTTTCTGAGTATTCTTCTGTCTAGTTTTCATGGGAAAATATTTCCAATTTCACCATAGGCCTCAAAGCGCTCCAAATGTCCACTTCCAGAAACTACAAAAAGTGTGTTTCAAACATTCTGTATGAAATGTAATGTTCAACTCTGTGACTTGAATGCAAACAGCAGTAGGAAGTTTCTGAGAATCCTTCTGTGTAGATTTTATGTGAAGATATTCCCGTTTCTAACGAAATCGTTAAAGCTATCCACATATGCACTTGCAGGTTCTACAGAAAGAGTGTTTCGAAACAGTTCTATCAAAAGAAAGGTTCAACTCTGTTAGTTGAGTTCACACATCCGAAACTAGTTTCTGAGAATTCTTCTGTCTAGTTAATTTGGGAAGATATTTCCATTTTCACCGAAGGTCTCAAAGCACTCCATATATCCTTTTCCAGATACCACAGAAAGAGTGTTTCAAACCAGCTCTATGAAATGGAATGTTCAACTCTGTGACTTGAATGAAAACATCACTAAGAAGTTTCTGAGAATGCTTCTGTCTAGATTTTACAAGATAATCCCGTTTCCAACGAAATGCTCAAAGCTATCCAAATATCCACTTGCAGATTCTACAAAAAGAGTGTTTCAGAACTGCACAATGAAAAGAAAAGTTCAACTCTGTTAGTTGAGTACACACATCACAAACTAGTTTCTGAGAATTCTTCTCTGTAGTTTTGAGGGGAAGATATTTCCATTTGCACCGTAGGACTCAAAGCGCTGCAAATGTCCAGTTCCAGAAACTTCAAAAAGAGTGTTTCAAACCTGCTCTATGAAATGGAATGTTCAGCTGTGTGACTTCAATGCAATCATCACTAAGAGGTTTCTGAGAATGTTTCTGTCTAGATTTTATCTGAAGATATTCCGGTTTCCAACGAAATCGGTAGAGGTATCCAAATATGCACTTGCAGATTCTGCAAAAAGAGTGTTTCAGAGCAGCTCTATCAAAAGAAAGGTTCAACTTTGTTAGTTGAGTACACACATCACAAACAAGTTTCTGAGAACTCTTCTGTGTAGTTTTTAGGGGAAGATATTTCCATTTTCACCATAGGCCTCAAAGTGCTCCAAATGTCCACTTCCAGATATCACAGAAAGAGTGTTTCAAACCTGCTCTATCAAATGGAATGTTCAACTCTGTAACTTGAAAGCAGTCATTACAAGGAAGTTACTGAGAATCTTTCTGTGTAGATTTTATATGAAGATATTCCCGTTTCCAAGGAAATCGTGAAAGCTATCCAAATATCCACTTGCAGGTTCTTCAAAAAGAGTGTTTCAAAACAGCTCTACCAAAAGAAAGGCTCAACTCTGTTAGTTGAGTACACACATCACAAACTAGTTTCTGAGTATTCTTCTGTCTAGATTTTATGGGAAGATATTTCCATTTTCACCATAGGCCTCAAAGCGCTCCAAATGTCCAGTTCCAGAAACTACAAAAAGAGTGTTTCAAACTTTCTGTATGAAATGTAATGTCCAACTCTGTGACTTGAATGCAAACAGCAGTAGGAAGTTTCTGAGAGTCCTTCTGTGTAGATTTTATGTGAAGATATTCCCGTTTCTAACGAAATCCTTAAAGCTATCCAAATATGCACTTGCAGGTTTTACAGAAAGAGTGTTTCAAAACAGTTCTATCAAAAGAAAGGTTCAACTCTGTTAGTTGAGTTCACACATCAGAAACTAGTTTCTGAGAATTCTTCTGTCTAGTTAATTTGGGAGGATATTCCAATTTTCACCAAAGGTCTCAAACCGCTCCAAATGTCCACTTCCAGATACCAAAGAAAGAGTGTTTCAAACCAGCTCTATGAAACGGAAAGTTCAACTCTGTGACTTGAATGAAAACATCACTAAGAAGATTCTGAGAATGCTTCTGTCTAGATTTTACAAGATAATCCCATTTCCAGCGAAATGCTCAAAGCTATCCAAATATCCACTTGCAGATTCTACAAAAAGAGTGTTTCCGACCTGCACAATCAAAAGAAAAGTTCAACTGTGTTAGTTGAGTACACACATCACAAACTAGTTTCTGAGAATTTTTCTGTGTAGTTTTGAGGGGAAGATATTTCCATTTGCACCGTAGGTCTCAAAGCGCTGCAAATGTCCAGTTCCAGAAACTGCGAAAAGATTGTTTCATATCTGCTGTATGAAATGGAATGTTCAGCTGTGTGACTTTAATGCAAACATCACTAAGAGGTTTATGAGAATGTTTCTCTCTAGATTTTATCTGAAGATATTTCCGTTTCCAATGAAATCGGTAAAGGTATCCAAATATCCACTTAAAGATTCAACAAAAAGAGTGTTTCAGAACAGCTCTATCAAAAGAAAGGTTCAACTGTGTTAGTTGAGTACACACATCACAAACAAGTTTCTGAGAATTCTTCTGTGTAGTTTTTAGGGGAAGATATTTCCATTTCCACCATAGGCCTCAAAGTGCTCCAAATGTCCACTTCCAGATACCACAGAAAGAGTGTTTCAAACCTGCTCTATCAAAAGGAATGTTCAACTCTGTAACTTGAAAGCAATCATTACAGGGAAGTTACTGAGAATCTTTCTGTGTAGATTTTATGTGAAGATATTCCCGTTTCCAAGGAAATCGTGAAAGCTATCCAAATAACCACTTGCAGGTTCTTCAAAAAGAGTGTTTCAAAACAGCTCTACCAAAATAAAAGCTCAACTCTGTTAGTTGAGTACACACATCACAAACTAGTTTCTGAGTATTCTTCTGTCTAGTTTTTATGGGAAGATATTTCCATTTTCACCATAGGCCTCAAAGCGCTCCAAAAGTCCAGTTCCAGAAACTACAAAAAGTGTGTTTCAAACCTTCTGTATGAAATGTAATGTATAACTCTGTGACTTGAATGCAAACAGCAGTAGGAAGTTTCTGAGAATCCTTCTGTGTAGATTTTATGTGAAGATATTCCCGCTTCTAAGGAAATCCTTAAAGCTATCCAAATATGCAGTTGCAGGTTCTACAGAAAGAGTGTTTCAAAACAGTTCTATCAAAAGAAAGGTTCAACTCTGTTGGTTGAGTTCACACATCCGAAACTAGTTTCTGAGAATTCTTCTGTCTAGTTAATTTGGGAGGATATTCCAATTTTCACCGAAGGTCTCAAACCGCTCCAAATGTCCACTTCCAGATACCAAAGAAAGAGTGTTTCAAACCAGCTCTATGAAACGGAATGGTCAACTCTGTGACTTGAATGAAAACATCACTAAGAAGTTTCTGAGAATGCTTCTGTGTAGATTTTACAAGATAATCCCGTTTCCAACGAAATGCTCAAAGCTATCCAAATATCCACTTGCAGATTCTACAAAAAGAGTGTTTCACAACTGCACAATCAAAAGAAAAGTTCAACTGTGTTAGTTGAGTACGCACATCACAAACTAGTTTCTGAGAATACTTCTGTGTGTTTTTGAGGGGAAGATATTTCCATTGGCACCGTAGGCCTCAAAGCGCTGCAAATGTCCAGTTCCAGAAACTGCAAAAAGAGTGTTTCAAATCTGCTGTATGAAATGGAATGTTCAGCTGTGTGACTTCAATGCAAACATCACTAAGAAGTTTCTGAGAATGTTTCTGTCTAGATTTTAGCTGAAGATATTCCCGTTTCCAAAGAAATCGGTAGAGGTATCCAAATATCCACTTGCAGATTCTACAAAAAGAGTGTTTCAGAACAGCTCTATCAAAAGAAAGATTCAAATGTGTTAGTTGAGTACACACATCACAAACAAGTTTCTGAGAATTCTACTGTGTAGTTTTTAGGGGAAGATATTTCCATTTTCACCATAGGCCTCAAAGTGCTCCAAATGTCCACTTCCAGATACCACAGAAAGAGTGTTTCAAACATGCTCTATCAAATGGAATGTTCAACTTTGTAACTTGAAAACAGTCATTACAAGGAAGTTACTGAGAATCTTTCTGTGTAGATTTTATATGAAGATATTCCCGTTTCCAAGGAAATCGTGAAAGCTATCCAAATATCCACTTGCAGGTTCTTCAAAAAGAGTGTTTCAAAACAGCTCTATCAAAAGAAAGGCTCAACTCTGTTAGTTGAGTACACACATCACAAACTAGTTTCTGAGTATTCTTCTGTCTAGTTTTCATGGGAAAATATTTCCATTTTCACCATAGGCCTCAAAGCGCTCCAAATGTCCACTTCCAGAAACTACAAAAAGTGTGTTTCAAACATTCTGTATGAAATGTAATGTTCAACTCTGTGACTTGAATGCAAACAGCAGTAGGAAGTTTCTGAGAATCCTTCTGTGTAGATTTTATGTGAAGATATTCCCGTTTCAAACGAAATCGTTAAAGCTATCCACATATGCACTTGCAGGTTATACAGAAAGAGTGTTTCAAAACAGTTCTATCAAACGAAAGGTTCAACTCTGTTAGTTGAGTTCACACATCCGAAACTAGTTTCTGAGAATTCTTCTGTCTAGTTAATTTGGGAAGATATTTCCATTTTCACCGAAGGTCTCAAAGCACTCCAAATATCCTCTTCCAGATACCACAGAAAGAGTGTTTCAAACCAGCTCTATGAAATGGAATGTTCAACTCTGTGACTTGAATGAAAACATCACTAAGAAGTTTCTGAGAATGCTTCTGTCTAGATTTTACAAGATAATCCCGTTTCCAACGAAATGCTCAAAGCTATCCAAATATCCACTTGCAGATTCTTCAAAAAGAGTGTTTCAGAACTGCACAATGAAAAGAAAAGTTCAACTCTGTTAGTTGAGTACACACATCACAAACTAGTTTCTGAGAATTCTTCTCTGTAGTTTTGAGGGGAAGATATTTCCATTTGCACCGTAGGACTCAAAGCGCTGCAAATGTCCAGTTCGAGAAAATTCAAAAAGAGTGTTTCAAACCTGCTCTATGAAATGGAATGTTCAGCTGTGTGACTTCAATGCAAACATCACTAAGAGGTTTCTGAGAATGTTTCGGTCTAGATTTTATCTGAAGATATTCCCGTTTCCAACGAAATCGGTAGAGGTATCCAAATATCCACTTGCAGATTCTGCAAAAAGAGTGTTTCAGAACAGCTCTATCAAAAGAAAGGTTCAACTTTGTTAGTTGAGTACACACATCACAAACAAGTTTCTGAGAATTCTTCTGTGTAGTTTTTAGGGGAAGATATTTCCATTTTCACCATAGGCCTCAAAGTGCTCCAAATGTCCACTTCCAGATATCACAGAAAGAGTGTTTCAAACCTGCTCTATCAAATGGAATGTTCAACTCTGTAACTTGAAAGCAGTCATTACAAGGAAGTTACTGAGAATCTTTCTGTGTAGATTTTATATGAAGATATTCCCGTTTCCAAGGAAATCGTGAAAGCTATCCAAATATCCACTTGCAGGTTCTTCAAAAAGAGTGTTTCAAAACAGCTCTACCAAAAGAAAGGCTCAACTCTGTTAGTTGAGTACACACATCACAAACTAGTTTCTGAGTATTCTTCTGTCTAGTTTTTATGGGAAGATATTTCCATTTTCACCATAGACCTCAAAGCGCTCCAAAAGTCCAGTTCCAGAAACTACAAAAAGTGTGTTTCAAACCTTCTGTATGAAATGTAATGTCCAACTCTGTGACTTGAATGCAAACAGCAGTAGGAAGTTTCTGAGAGTCCTTCTGTGTAGATTTTATGTGAAGATATTCCCGTTTCTAACGAAATCCTTAAAGCTATCCAAATATGCACTTGCAGGTTCTACAGAAAGAGTGTTTCAAGACAGTTCTATCAAAAGAAAGGTTCAACTCTGTTAGTTGAGTTCACACATCCGAAACTAGTTTCTGAGAATTCTTCTGTCTAGTTAATTTGGGAAGATATTTCCATTTTCACCGAAGGTCTCAAAACACTCCAAATGTCCTCTTCCAGATACCACAGAAAGAGTGTTTCAAACCAGCTCTATGAAATGGAATGTTCAAATCTGTGACTTGAATGAAAACATCACTAAGAAGTTTCTGAGAATGCTTCTGTCTAGATTTTACAAGATAATCCCATTTCCAACGAAATGCTCAAAGCTATCCAAATATCCACTTGCAGATTCTACAAAAAGAGTGTTTCAGAACTGCACAATCAAAAGAAAAGTTCAACTCTGTTAGTTGAGTACACACATCACAAACTAGTTTCTGAGAATTCTTCTGTGTAGTTTTGAGGGGAAGATATTTCCATTTGCACCGTAGGACTCAAAGCGCTGCAAATGTCCAGTTCCAGAAACTACAAAAAGAGTGTTTCAAACCTGCTCTATGAAATGGAATGTTCAGCTGTGTGACTTCAATGCAATCATCACTAAGAGGTTTCTGAGAATGTTTCTGTCTAGATTTTATCTGAAGATATTTCGGTTTCCAACGAAATCGGTAGAGGTATCCAAATATGCACTTGCAGATTCTGCAAAAAGAGTGTTTCAGAACAGCTCTATCAAAAGAAAGGTTCAACTGTGTTAGTTGAGTACACACATCACAAACAAGTTTCTGAGAATTCTTCTGTGTAGTTTTTAGGGGAAGATATTTCCATTTTCACCATAGGCCTCAAAGTGCTCCAAATGTCCACTTCCAGATACCACAGAAAGAGTGTTTCAAACCTGCTCTATCAAAAGGAATGTTCAACTCTGTAACTTGAAAGCAATCATTACAAGGAAGTTACTGAGAATCTTTCTGTGTAGATTTTATATGAAGATATTCCCGTTTCCAAGGAAATCGTGAAAGCTATCCAAATAACCACTTGCAGGTTCTTCAAAAAGAGTGTTTCAAAACAGCTCTACCAAAAGAAATGCTCAACTCTGTTAGTTGTGCACACACATCACAAACTAGTTTCTGAGTATTCTTCTGTCTAGCTTTTATGGGAAGATATTTCCATTTTCACCATAGGCCTCAAAGCGCTCCAAATGTCCACTTCCTGATACCACAGAAAGAGTATTTCAAACTAGCTCTATGAAAAGGAAATTTCATCTCTGTTCGTTGAATGAAAACATCAATAAGTAGTTTCTGAGAATGCCTCTGTCTAGATTTTATAAGATAATCCAGTTTCCAACGAAATCCTCAAAGCTATTCAAATATCCACTTGCAGATTCTACAAACAGAGTGTTTCGAAACTGCTCACTCAAAAGAAAGACTCAACTGTGTTAGTTGAGTGCACACATCACAAGCAAGTTTCTGAGAATTCTTCTGTCTAGCTTTTATGGGAAGATATTTCCATTTTCACCATAGGCCTCAAAGCGCTCCAAATGTCCAGTTCCAGAAACTACAAAAAGTGTGTTTGAAACCTTCTGTATGAAATGTAATGTTGAACTCTGTGACTTGAATACAAACATCAGTAGGAGGTTTCTGAAAATCCTTCTGTGTAGATTTTATGTCAAGATATTCCCGTTTCTAATGAAATCGTTAAAGCTATCCAAATATGCACTTGCAGGTTCTATACAAAGAGTTCTCAAAACAGTTCTATCAAAGGAAAGTTTCAACTCTGTTAGTTGAGTTCACACATCAGAAACTAGTTTCTGAGAATTCTTCTGTCTAGTTAATTTGGGAAGATATTTCCTTTTTCACCAAAGGTCTCAAATCCTTCCAAATGTCCACTTCCAGATACCACAGAAAGAGTGTTTCAAACCAGCTGTATGAAATGGAATGTTCAACTCCGTGACTTGAATGAAAACATCACTAAGAAGTTTCTGAGAATGCTTCTGTCTAGATTTTACAAGATAATCCCGTTTCCAACGAAATGCTCAAAGCTATCCAAATATCCACTTGCAGATTCTACAAAAAGACTGTTTCAGAACTGCACAATCAAAAGAAAAGTTCAACTGTGTGAGTTGAGCGCACCCATAACAAACAAGTTTCTGAGAATTCTTCTGTCTAGTTTTTAGGGGAAGATATTTCCATTTTCACCATAGGCCTCAAAGCGCTCCAAATGTCCAGTTCCAGAAACTACAAAAAGTGTGTTTCAAACCTTCTGTATGAAATGTAATGTTCAACTCTGTGACTTGAATGCAGACATCACTAGGAAGTTTCGGAGAATCCTTCTGTGTAGATTTTATGTGAAGATATTCCCGTTTCTAATGAAATCGTGAAATCTATCCCAATATACACTTGCAGGGTCTACACAGAAAGAGTGTTTCCAAACAGTTCTATCAAAGAAATGTTCAACTCCGTTAGTTGAGTTCACACATCAGAAACTAATTTCTGAGAATTCTTCTGTCTAGTTATTTTGGGAATATATTTCCATATTCACCGAAGGACTCAAAGAGCTCCAAATGTCCCCTTCCAGATACCACAGAAAGAGTGTTTCAAACCAGCTCCATGAAATGGAATTTTCACCTCTGTGAGTTGAATGAAAACATCAATAAGAAGTTTCTGAGAATGCCTCTGTCTAGATTTTATAAGATAATAATGTTTCTAACGAAATGCTCAAAGCTATCCAAATATCCACTTGCAGATTCTACCAAAAGAGTGTTTCAGAACTGCACAATCCAAAGAAAAGTTCAACTGTGTTAGTTGAGTACACACATCACAAACTAGTTTCTGAGAACTTTTCTGTGCAGTTTTGAGGGGAATATATTTTCATTTGCACCATAGGCCTCAAAGCGCTGCAAAGTCCACTTCCAGAAACTACAAAAAGAGTCTTTCAAACCTGCTTTGTGAAATGGAATGATCAGCTGTGTGACTCCAATGCAAACATCACTAAGTGTTTTCTGAGAATGCTTCTGTCTAGATTTTATATGAAGACATTCCCGATTCCAACGAAATCGTTAAAGGTATCCAAATATCCACTTGCAGATTCTACAAAAAGAGTGTTTCAAAACACCTCTATCAAAAGAAAGGTTGAACTCTGTGAGTTGAGTACACACATCCAAGCATGTTTCTGAGAATTCTTCTGTGTAGTTTTTAGGGGAAGATATTTCCATTTTCACCATAGGCCTCAAGAGCTCCAAATGTCCACTTCCAGATACCACAGAAAGAGTGTTTCAAACCTGCTCTATGAATTGCAACGTTCAACTCTTTGGCTTGAATGCAAACTTCACTAGGAAGTTTCTGAGAATCCTTCTGTGTAGATTTTATGTGAAGATATTCCCGTTTCCAGTCAAACCATGAAAGCTATCAAATTATGCACTTGCAAGTTCTACAAAAAGGGTGTTTCAAAACAGCTCTCTCAAAAGATAGGCTCAACTCTTTTAGTTGAGTACACACATCACAAACTAGTTTCTGAGAATTCTTCTGTGTAGTTTTTAGGGGAAGATATATCCATTTTCACCATAGGTCTCAAAGCCCTCCAAATGTCCACTTCCAGATACCACAGAAAGTGTGTATCAAACCTGCTCTATCAAATGGAATGTTCAACTCTGTGACTTGAATGCAATCATTTCAAGGAAGTTACTGAGAATCTTTCTGTATAGAGTTTCTATGAAGATGTTCCCGTTTCCAACGAAATCATGAAAGCTATCCAAATATCCAATGGCAAATTCCAAAAAAAGTGTCTTTCAAATCTGCTCTATCAAGAGAAAGGTTCAACTGTGTTAGTTGAGTACACACATCACAAACTAGATTCTGAGAACTCTTCTGCCTACTTTTAAAGGGAAGATATTTCCTATTTCAACATAGGCCTGAAAGTGCTCCAAATGTCCAATTCCTGATGCTACAAAAAGAGTGTTTCAAACCTGCTCTATGAAAAGGAATGTTGAACTCTGTGACAGGAATGCAAACGTCACAAACATGTTTCTCAGAATGCTTCTGTCTAGATTTCATATGAAGATATTCCCGTTTCCAACGAAATCCTCAAAGCTATCCAAATATCCACTTGCAGATTCTCCAAAAATCGTGTTTCAAAACAGTTCTATGAAAAGAAAGGTTCAACTCTGTGAGTTGAGTACACACATCACAAACTAGCTTCTGAGAATGCTTCTTTCTAGTATTTATGGGAAGAGATTCCCTTTTTCACCATATTCCTCAAAGCGCTCCAAATGTCCACTTCCAGATACTAGAAAAAGAGTGTTTCAAACGTGCTCTATGAAAGGGAATGTTCAACTCTGTGAGTTGAATGGAGACGTCACAAAGAAGTTTCTCACAATGCTTCTGTCTAGATTTTATATGAAGATAATCCTGATTCCAATGAAATCGTCAAATCTATCCAAATATCCACTTTCAGATTCTACAAAAGGACGGTTTCAAACCAGCTCTATGAAATGGAATGTTGAACTCTGTGACTTGAATGCAAACATCACTAAGAAGCTTCTAAGAATGCTTCCGTCTAGATTTTATATGAAGATATTCCCATTTCCAACGAAATCCTCAAAGCTATCCAAATATCCACTTGCAGATTCTACAAAAAGCGTGTTTCGAAACTGCTCTATCAAAAGAAATGTTCAACTCTGTTAGTTGAGTACACACATTACAAACTAGTTTCTGAGAATTCTTCTGTCTAGTTTTTATGGGAAGATATTTCCATTTTCACCATAAGCCTCAACTCGCTCTAAATGTCCACTTCCAGATACTACAAAAAAAGGGTTTCAAACCTGCTCTATGAAAGGGAATGTTCAACCGTGTGACTTGAATGTGAACATCGCAAAGATGTTTCTCACAATGCTTCTGTCTAGATTTTCTATGAAGATATTCCCGTTTCCAACGGTATCATCAAAGCTATCCAAATATCCACTTGCAGATTCTACAAAAAGACTGTTTCAAACCTGCTCTAAGAAATGGAAAGTTCAACCCTGTGACTTGAATGCAAACATCACTTAGAAGTTTCTGAGAATGCTTCTTTCTAGATTTTATATGAAGACATTCCCGTTTCCAATGAAATCGTCCCAGCTATCCAAATATCCACTTGCAGATTTTTCAAAAAGAGTGTTTCAAACCTGCTCTATCAAAAGAAAGTTTCAACTCTGTTAATTGAGTACACACATAACAAACCAGTTTCTGAGAATTCTTCTGTCTAGCTTTTATGGGAAGGTATTTCCTTTTTCACCACAGGCCTCAAAACGCTCAAAATGTCCATTTCCAGATACTACAAAAAGAGTTTTTGAAACCTGCTCTATGAAAGGGAATGTTCAACTCTGTGACTTGAATGCAAATATCACAAAGATGTTTCTCACAATGCTTCTGTGTAGATGTTATATGAAGATATTACCGTTTCCAACGAAATCGTCAAATCTATCCAAATATCCACCTGCAGATTCTACAAAAAGAGTGTTTCAAACCTGCTCTATGAAATGGAATATTCAGCTCTGTGACTTGAATGCAAACATCACTAAGAATTTTCTGAGAATGATTCTGTCTAGAACTTATAAGATATTCCCTTTTCCAACGAAATCCTCAAAGGTATCCAAATATCCACTTGCAGGTTCTACAAAAAGAATCTTTCAAATCTGCTCTATCAAAACAAAGGTTCAACTGTGTTAGTTGAGTACACACATCACAAACAAGTTTCTGAGAACTCTTCTGCCTAGTTTTTAGGGGAAGATATTTCCTTTTTCAACATAGGCCTCAAAGCGCTCCAAATGTCCACTTCCAGATACTACAAAAAGAGTGTTTCAAACCTGCTCTGTGAAAGGGAATGTTGAACTCTGTGACATGAATGCAAACATCACAAAGATATTTCGCAGAATGCTAATGTCTAGATTTCATATGAAGATATTCCCGTTTCCAACGAAATCCTCAAAGCTATCCAAATATCCACTTGCAGATTCTACAAAAAGAGTATTTCAAAACAGTTCTATGAAGGAAAAGTTCAACTCTGTGAGTTCAGTACACACATCACAAACAAGTGTCTGAGAATGCTTCTGTCTAGTTTTTATGGGAAGAGATTCCCTTTTTCACCTTATGCCTCAAAGCGCTCCAAATGTCCACTTCCAGATACTTCAAAAAGAGTGTTTCAAACCTGCTCTATGAAAGGGAGTGTTCAACACTGTGAGTTGAATGCAAACATCACAAAGTTGTTTCTCACAATGCCTCTGTATAGATTTTATATGAAGTTATTCCTGATTCCAACGAAATCGTCAAAGCTATGCAAATATCCACTTGCAGATTCTACAAAAGGACTGTTTCAAACCAGCTCTATGAAATGGAATGTTCAACTCTGTGACTTGAATGCACACATCACTAAGAAGCTTCTGAGAATGCTTCTGTCTAGATTTTATATGAAGATATTCCCATTTCCAACGAAATCCTCAAACGTATCCAAATATCCACTTGCAGATTCTCCAAAAAGAGTGTTTCAAAACTGTTCTATCAAAAGAAAGGTTCAAATCTGTTAAATTAGTACACACATCACAAACTAGTTTCTGAGAATTCCTCTGTCTAGTTTTCATGGGAAGATATTTCCATTTTCACCATGAGCCTCAAAGCGCTCTAATTATCCACTTGCAGATACTACAAAAAGAGTGTTTCATACCTGCTCTATGAAAGGGAATGTTCAACTCTGTGACTTGAATGGAAACATCACAAAGATGATTCTCACAATGCTTCTGTCTAGATTTTATATGAATATATTAACCTTTCCAACGGAATCGTCAAAGCTATCCAAATATCCACTTGCAGATTCTACAAAAAGACTGTTTCAAACCTGCTCCATAAAATTAAATGTTCAACTCTGTGACTTGTATGCAAACACCACTAAGAAGTTTCTGAGAATGTTTCTGTCTAGATTTTAAATGAAGATATTCCGGTTTCCAAAGAAATCATCAAAGCTGTAAAAATATCCACTTGCAGTTTCTACAAAAAGAGTGTTTCAAAACTGCTATATCAAAAGAAAGGTTCAACTCTGTTAGTTAAGTACACACATCACAAACTAGTTTCTGAGAATTCTTCTGTCTGGTTTTTATGGGAAGATATTTCCATTTTCACCATAGGCATCAAAGCGCTCCAAATATCCATTTCCAGAAGCTACAAAAAGTGTGTTTCAAACTTGCTCTATGAAATGGAATGTTCAACTCTGTGACTTGAATGCAAACATCACTAAGAAGTTACTGAGAAGGCTTCTGTGTAGATTTTATGTGAACATTTTCCCGTTTGCAAAGAAATCGTCAAAGCTATCCAAATATCCACTTGCAGATTCTACAAAAAGAGTGTCTCAAAACAGCTCTACCAAAAGAAAGGTTCAACTCTGTTAGTTGGGTACACACATCACCAACTAGTTTCTGAGAATTCTTCTGTCTAGTTTTTATGGGAAGATATTTCCATTTTCACCACAGGCCTCAAAGCGCTCCAAATATCAACTTCCAGTTACTACAGAAAGAGTGTTTCAAACCTGCTCTATGAAATGGAATGTTCAACTCTGTGACTTCAATGCAAACATCACTAAGAGGTTTCTGAGAATGCTTCTGTCTAGATTTTATATGAAGATATTCCCGTTTCCAAGGAAATCGTCAAAGCTATCCAAATATCTACTTGCAGATTCTACAAAAAGAGTGTTTCAAAACAGCTCTATTAAAAGAAAAGTTCAACTCTGTTAGTTGAGTACCCACATCAGAAACTAGTTTCTGAGTATTCTTCTGTCTAGTTTTTATGGGAAGATATTTCCATTTCCACCATTGGCCTCAAAGTGTTCCAAATGTCCACTTCCAGATACTACAGTAAGAGTGTTTCAAACCTGCTCTATGAAAGGGAATGTTGAACTCTGTGACAGGAATGCAAACATCAGAAAGATGTTTCTCAGAATGCTTCTGTCTAGATTTCATATGAAGATATTCCCGTTTCCAACGAAATCCTCAAAGCTATCTAAATATCCACTTGCAGATTCTACAAAAAGAGTGTTTCAAAACTGCTGTATTGAAAGAAAGGTTCTACGCTGTTAGTTGAGTACACACATCAGAAACTAGTTTCTGAGATCTCTTCTGTCTAGTTTTTTAGGAAAGATGTTTCCTTTTTCACCATAGGCCTCAAAGCACTCCAAATGTCCACTTCCAGATGCTACAAAATGAGTGTTTCAAACCTGCTCTATGAAAGGGAATGTTGAACTCTGTGACATGAATGTAAACATCACAATGATGTTTCTCAGAATGCTTCTGTCTAGATTTTATATGAAGATATTCCCGTCTCCAACGAAATCCTCAAAGCTATCAAAATATCCACTTGCGGATTCTCCAGAAAGACTGTTTCAAAACAACTGTATCAAAAGAAATTTCACCTCTGTGTGTTGAGTACACACATCGCAAACACGTTTCTGAGAATGCTTCTGTCTTTTTTTTATTGGAAGAGTTTCCCTTTTTCACCATATGCCTCAAAGCGCTCCAAATATCCACTTCTGCATACTACAAAATGAGTGTTTCAAACCTGCTCTATGAAAGGGAATGTTCAACTCTGTGAATTGAATGCAAACATCACAAAGATGTTTCTCACAGTGCTTTTGTCTAGATTGTATATGAAGATATTCCCGTTTCCAACGAAATCATCAAAGCTATCCTAATATCCACTTGCAGATTCTACAAAAAGACTGTTTCAAACCTGGTCTATGAAATGGAATGTTCCACTCTGTGACTTCAATGCAAACAACACTAAGAGGTTTCTGAGAATGCTTCTGTCTAGATTTTATATGAAGATATTCCTGTTTCCATCGAAATCCACAAATCTATCCAAATATCCACATGCTGTTTCTACAAAAAGAGTGTTCGAACACTGCTCTATCAAAAGAAAGGTTCAAATCTGTTAGTTGAGTACACACATCACAAACTAGTTTCTGAGAATTCTTCTGTTTATTTTTTATGGGAAGATATTTCCTTTTTCAGCATAGGCCTGAAAATGCTCCAAATGTCCACTTCCAGATACTACAAAAGTGTGTTTCAAACTTGCTCTGTGAAATGGAATGTTCAACTCTGTGACTTGAATGCAAACGTCACTAAGAAGTTTCTGAGAATGTTTCTGTGTAGATTTTATGTGAATAAATTCCCCTTTCCAACGAAATCCTCAAAGCTATACAAATATCCACTAGCAGATTCTACAAAAAGAGTGTTTCAAAACAGCTCTATCAAAAGAAATGTTGAACTCTGTTAGATGAGTAGACACATCACAAACTAGTTTCTGAGAATTCTTCTGTCTAGTTTTTATGGGAAGATATTTCCATTTTCACCATATGCCTCAAAGCGCTCCAAATGTCCACTTCCAGATACTACAAAAAGTGTGTTTCAAACCTGCTCTATTACAGGGAATGTTCAACTCTGTGAGTTGAATGCAAACATCACAAAGATGTTTCTCACAATGCTTCTGTCTAGATTTTATATGAAGATATTCCCGTTTCCAATTGCATTCAACTCCCAGAGTTGGAAATTCCTTTTCATAGAGTAGTTTTCAAAGACTCTTTTTGTAGAATCTGCAAGTGGTCATTGGAAGCACTTCGAGGCCTTCGTTTGAAATCGGAATACCTTCACATAAAAACTAGACAGAATCATTATCAGAAACATGTTTGTTCTTGTTGAACCCTTCTTTTGATAGAGCTGTTTTGAAGCACACTATTTTCAGGATCTGCAACTGGACATTTGGTGTGCTTTGAGGCCTATGGTGAAAAAGTAAATATCATAACATAAAAGCTAGACAGAAGCATTCTGAGAATCTTCTTTGTGATGTGTGTATTCAACTCACAGAGTTGAACTTTTACTTGATAGAGCAGATTGGAAACTCTTTTTGTAGAATTTGCAAGTGGATATTTGGACAGCATTGAGGCCTTCGCTGGAAACAGGAATATCTTCACATAATAACAAGACAGAAGTATTCTCAGAAACTTCTTTGTGATGTGCTCCCTCAACTCACGGAGTTTAACATTTCTTTTGATAGAGCAGTTTTGAACCACTCTCTTTGTAGTATCTGCAAGTGGATATTTGATCGCTTTGAGAATTTCGATGGAAACGGGAATATTTTCACATAAAAACTAGGCAGAAGCATTCTCAGAAACTTCTTTGCGATGCTAGCATTCAACTCACAGAGTTGAACATTCGTTTTCATAGAGCAGTATTGAAACACTCATTTTGTAGAATCTGTAAGTGCAAACTTGGTGTGCTTCATAACCAATGGTGAAAAAAGAAATATGTTACCATAAAAACTAGACAGAAGAATTCTCAGAAATTTCTTGTGCTGGGTGTACTCAACTCACAAAGTTGAACTTTTGTTTTGATAGAGCAGTTTTGAAACTCTCTTTTGGAGAGTCTGCAAGTGGATATTTGGATAGCTTTGAGGATATCGTTGGAAACGTGAATATCTTCAAATAAACACTAGATGGAAGAATTTTCAGAAACTTCTTTGTGATGTTTGCATTCATCTCACAGAGCTGAACATTCCTTTTCGTAGAACAGTTTTGAAACACTCTTTTTGTAGAATCTGCAAGTGGACATTTGAACCGATTTCAGACCCATGGTGAAAAAGGAAATATCTTCACATGAAAAGTAGACAGAAGCATTCTCAGAAACTAATTTGTGATGTGAGTACTCAACTCAAAGAGTTAAACCTTACCCTTGATACAGCAGTTTTGAAACACTCTTGTTGCAGAATTTACATGTGCATATTAGGACAGCATTGAGGATTTCTTTGGAAACAGGAACATCTTCACATAAAACTAGACAGAAGCATTCTTAGAAATTTCTTTTTGATGTGTGCATTCAACTCACAGAGTTGAAACTTTATTTTGATAGAGCAGATTGGAAACCGTCTTTTTGTAGAATTTGCAGGTGGATATTTGGACAGCTTTGAGGACTTCGCTGGAAACGGGTATATCTTCACATGAAACTAGACAGAAGCCTTCTCAGAAACTTCTTTGTGATGCTTGCATTCAACTCACAGAGTTGAACATTCCTTTTCATAGAACAGTTTTGAAACACTGTTTTTGTAGAATCTGCAAGTGGATATTAGGAAAGCTTTGAGGATTTCGTTGGAATCAGGAATATCTTCATATAAAAACAAGACAGAAGCATTCTCAGAAACTTCTTTGTGACGTGTGCATTCAACTAACAGAGTGGAAACTTTATTTGATACAGCTGATAGGAAACCCTCTTTTTGTAGTATTTGCGATTGGATATTTGGACAGCTTTGAGACCTTCACTGGAAACGGGTATATCTTCACATAAAAACTAGACAGAAACATTCTTAGAAACTTCTTCATGATACTTACATTCAACTCACAGAGTTGAACATTCCTATTCATTGAGCAGTTTTGAAACACTCTTTTTGTAGAATCTGTAAGTGGAAACTTGGAGCGCTTTGAGGCCTATAGTGGGAAAGGAAATATTTTCCCATAAAAACTAGACAGAAGCATTCTCAGAAACTTCTTTGTGGTCTGTGTACTCAAATCACAGGGTTCAACTTTTCTTTAGATAGAGCAGTTTTGAAACACTCTTTTTGTAGAGTCTGAAAGTGGATATTTGGATACCTTTGAGAATTTCGTTGGAAAGGGGAATAACTTCACATAAAAACGAGACAGAAGCATTCTCAGAAACTTCCTTGTGATGTTTGCATTTAACTAACGGAGTTGAACATTCCCTTTCATAGAGTAGTTTTGAAGTACTCTTTTTGCAGTATCTGAAAGTGGACATTTGGAGTGCTTTGAGGCCTAAGGTGAAAATGGAAATATCTTCACATAAAAACTCTACAGAAGCATTCTCAGAAACTTCTTTGTGATGTGTGCATTCAACTCACAGAGTTGAAACTTTCTTTTGATAAAGCCGATTGGAAACCCACTTTTTGGAGAATTTGCAAGTGGATATTTGGACAGCTTTGAGGCCTTTGCTTTAAACGGTTATATCTTCACATAAAAACTAGAAAGAAGCATTCTCAGAAACTTCTTTGAGATGCTTGCATTCAACTCACAGAGTTGAACACTACTTTTCCTATAGCAGTTTTGAAACACCCTTTTTGTAGAATCTGTAGGTGGAAACTTGGAGCCCTTTGAGGCCTATTGTGAAAAAGGAAATATCTTCCCAGAAAAACTAGACAGAAGGATTCTCAGAAGCTTCTTCGTGATGTGTGTATTCAACTCACAGCGTTGAACTTTTCTTTTGATAGAGCAGCTTTGACACACTCTTTTTGTAGAGTCTGCAAGTGTATATTTGTATAGCTTTGAGGCTTTCTTTGGAAACGGGAATATCTTCACATAATAACTAGACAGAAGCCCTCTCAGAAATTTCTTTGTGATGTTTGCATTCAACTAGCAGTGTTGAACATTCATTTTCATAGAGCAGTTTTGAAACACTATTTTTGTAGAATCTGCAAGTGGACATTTGGAGCGACTTTAGACCTATGGTGGAAAAGGAATTATCTTCACATGAAAAGTAGACAGAAGCATTCTCAGAAACTATTTGTGGTGCGTGTATTTAACTCAGAGAGTTAAACATTTTCTTTGATACAGCAGTTTTGAATCACCATTCTAGTAGGATTTACAAGTGGATATTATGACAGCACTGAGGATTTCATTGGAAACGGGAATATCTTCACATAAGACTAGACAGAAGCATTCTCAGAAACTTATTTGTGATGTGTGCATTCAACTCACAGAGTTGAAAATTTCTTTTGATAGAGCAGATTGGAAACACTCTTTTTGTAGAATTTGCAATTGGATATTTGGACAGCGTAGAGGACTTTGCTGGAAAAGGATATATCTTCACATAAAAACTAGACAGAAGCGTTCTCAGAAACTACTTTGTGATGCTTGCATTCAACTCACAGAGTTGAACATTCCTCTTCATAGAGCAGTTTTGAAACACTCTTTTTGTAGGATCTGTAAGTGGAAACTTGGAGCGATTTGAGGCCTATGGTGAAAAAGGAAATATCCTCTCATAAAAACTAGACAGAAGCATCCTCAGAAACTTCTTTGTGATGATTGCCTTCAACTCACTGAGTTTAACATTCCCTTTCATAGAGCAGTTTTGAAACACTCTTTTTGTAGTAACTGGAATTGGACATATGGAGCGCTTTGAGGCCTGTGGTGAAAAAGGAAATATATTCACATAAAAACTAGACAGAAGCATTCTCAGAAACTTCTTTGGAATGTGTGCCCTCAACTCACAGACTTGAACATTTCTTTTGATACATCAGTTTTGAAACACCCTTTTGGTAGAATCTGCAAGTGAATATTTGAATAGCTATGAGGCTTTTGTTGGAAAAGGGAATATCTTCACATAAAAACTAGAAAGAAGCATTCTCAGAAACTTCTTTGTGATGCTTGCATTCAACTCACAGAGTTGAACATTCCATTTCATATAGCAGTTTTGAAACACTCTTTTTGTAGAATCTGTAAGTGAAAACTTGGAGCGCTTTGAGGCCTATGTTGAAAAAGGATATATCTTCCCATAAAAACTAGACAGATGAATTCTCAGAAACTTCTTTGTGATGAGTGAACCCAACTCACAGAATTGAACTTTTCTTTTGATACAGCAGTTTTGAAACACTCTTTTTGTAGTGTCTGCAAGTGGATATTTGGATATATTTGAGGATTTCGTTGGGAACGGGGATATCCTCACATAAAAACTAGACAGAAGCATTCTCAGAAACTTCTTTCTGATGTTTGCATTCAACTCACAGAGTTGAACATTCTCTTTCATAGAGCAGTTTTGAAACACTCTTTTTGTAGTATCTGGAAGTGGACACTTGGAGTGCTTTGAGGCCTATGGTGAAAAAGGAAATATCCTCCCATAAAAACTAGACAGAAGAATTCTCAGAAACTTCTTTGTGATGTGTGTACTCAGCTCACAGAGTTGAAATTTTCTTTTGATAGAGCAGTTTTGAAACACGCTTTTTGTAGAGTTTGCAAGTGGATACTTGGTTAGGTTTTTGGATTTCATTGGAAACGGGAATATCTTCACGTAAAATCTAGAAAGAAGCTTTCTCAGATACTTCTTTTTGATGTTTGCATTCATCTCACACAGTTCAACATTCCCTTTAATAGAGCAGTTTTGAAACACTCCTTTGTAGTATCTGGAAGTGGACGTTTGGTGCGATTTGACACATATGGTGAAAAAGGAAATATCTTTACATAAAAAGTAGAAAGAAACATTATCAGAAACTACTTGGTGATGTGTGTACTCAACTCACAGAGTTAAAACTTTCCTTTGACACGGCAGTTTTGAAGCACTCCTCTTGTAGTATTTACAAGTGGATATTAGCACAGTATTGAGGATTTCCTTGGAAACGGGAATATCTTCACATAAAAGTAGACAGAAGCATTCTCAGAAACTTCTTTGCGATTTGCGCATTAAACTCACAGAGTTGAAAGTTTCTGTAGATAGAGCAGATTGCAAACTATCTTTTTGTAGAATTTGCAAATGGATATTTGGAAGCTTTGAGGTTTTCGCTGGAAACGGGTATATCTTCATATAAGTACCAGACAGAAGCATTCTCAGAAACTTCTTTGTGATGCTGGCATTCAACTCACAGAGTTGAACATTCCTTTTCATAGAGCAGTTCTGAAACTGTCTTTTTGTAAAATGCGCAAGTGGAAACTTGGAGCACTTTGAGGCCTATGCTTAAAAAGGAAATATCTTCCCATAAAAGCTACACAGAAGAATTCTCAGAAACTGCTTTGTGATGTGTGTACTCAACACACACAGGTGAACTTTTCTATTGATAGAGCACTTTTGAAATACTCTTTTTGTAGAATCTGCAAGTGGATATTCGGATAGTTTTGAGGCTTTCGTTGGAAACGGGAATATCTTCACATAACTAGGCAGAAGCATTCTCAGAAACTTCTTTGTGATGCTTGCATTCAACTCACAAAGTTGAACATTCTCTTTCATAGAGCAGTTTTGAAACACTCTTTTTGTAGTATCTGGAAGTGGACATTTGGAGAGCTTTGAGGCCTATGGTGAAAAAGGAAATATCTTCACATGAAAATTAGACAGAAGCATTCTCAGAAACTTCTTTGTGATGTGGGTACTCAACTGACAGAGCTGAAACTTACTTTTGATACAGCATTCTTGAACCTCTCTTTTTGTAGGATCTGCAAGTGGATATTTGGATAGCTTTGAGGCTTTCATTGGAAATGGGAATATCTTCACATAAAAACTAGACAGAAGCATTCTCAGAAACTTCTTTGTGATGTGTGTACTCAACTCACAGATTTGAACCTTTCTTTTGATACAGCTGTTTTGAAACACTCTTTTTGTAGAATCTGCAAGTGCATATTTGGATAGCTTTGAGTCTTTCATTGGAAATGGGAATATCTTCACATAAAAACTAGACAAAAGCATTCTCAGAAACTTCTTTGTGATGCTTGCATTCAACTCACAAAGTTGAACATTCCTTTTCATAGAGCACTTTTGATACACTCTTTTTTTGAATCTGTAAGTGGAAACTTTGATCCTTTTGAAGCCTATGGTGAAAAAGGAAATATCTTCCGAGAAAAACTAGACAGAAGAATTCTCAGAAACTTCTTCGTGATGTGTGTACTCAACTCACAGAGTTGAAGTTTTCCTTTAATAGAGCAGTTTTGAAACTCTCTTTTTGTAGAGTCTGCAAGTGGATATTTGGATAGCTTTGAGAATTTCGTTGGAAACGGGATTATCTTCACATAAAAACTAGACAGAAACATTCTCAAAAAGTTCCTTGTGATGCGTGCATTCAACTCACAGAGTTGAATATTGCTTTTCATGGAGTAGTATTGAAAACTCTTTTTGTATAATGTGTAAGTGGAAACTTGGAGCGCTTTGAGGCCTATGGAGAAAAAGGAGATATCTTCCCATAAAAACTAGACAGAAGAATTCTCAGAAACTTCTTTGTGATGAATGTACTCAACTCACAAAGTTGAAATTTTCTTTTGATAGAGCAGTTTTGAAACACTCTTTTTGTAGAATCTGCAAGTGGTTATTTTTTATATCTTTGTGGATTTCATTGGAAACGGGAATATCTTCACGTAAAAACTAGACAGAAGGATTCTCAGAATCTTCTTTGTGACGTTTGCATTCATCTCAGAGAGTTGAACATTCCCTTTCAGACAGCAGTTTTGAAACACTCTTTTTGTAGTATCTGGGAGTGAACATTTGAGCACTTTGAGGCCTATGGTGAGAAACGAAATATCTTCACATAAAAATTAGACAGAAGAATTCTCAGGAACTTCTTGTGATGTGTGTACTCAACTCACAGACTTGAACCTTTCTTTTGTTACAGCAGATTGAAAAACTCTTTTTGTAGAATCTGCAAGTGGACATTTGGAGCAGTTTGAGACCTATGGTGAAAAGGGAAATATTTTCACATAAAAAGTAGACAGAGTAATTCTCAGAAACTTCCTTGTGATGCTTGCTTTCAACTCACAGAGTTGAACATTCCCTTTCATAGAGCAATTTTGAAACACTCTTTTTGTAGTATCTGGAAGTGGATTTTTGGAGCGATTTGAGACCTATGGTGTAAAAGGAAATATCTTCACATAAAAAAGTAGACAGAAGCATTCTCAGAAGCGACTTTGTGATGTGTGTACTCAACTTACAGAGTTAAAACTTTCCTTTGATACAGCAGTTTTCAAACACTCTTGTTTTAGAATTTAAAAGTGGGTATTAGAACTGCATTGAGGATTTCATTGGAAAGGGGATTATCTTCACATAAAACTAAACAGAAGCATTTTCAGAAACTTCTTTGTGATGTGTGCATTCAACTCACACAGTTAAAACTTTCTTTTGGTAGAGCAGATTGGAAATACTCTTTTTGTAGAATTTGCAAGTGGATATTTTGACAGCTATGGGGCCTTCACTGGAAACGGGTATATCTTCACATAAAAAGAAGACAGAAGAATTCTCACAAACTTCTTTGTGATGCTTGCATTCAACTCACAGAGTTGAGCATTCCTTTTCATAGAACAGTTTTGAAACACTCTTTTTGTAGAATCTGTAAGTGGAAACTTGGAGACCTTTGTGTCCAATGGTGGAAAAGGAAATATCTTCCCATAAAAACGAGATAGAAGAATTCTCAGGAACTTATTTTGGAGGTGTGTACTGAACTCATACAGTTGAACTTTTCTTTTGATAGAGCAGTTTTGAAACACTCTTTTTGCATAGTCTGCAAGTGGATATTTGGTTAGCTTTGAGGATTTCGTTGGAAACGGAATATCTTAACATAAAAACTAGACAGAAACATCCTGAGAAACTTCTTTGTGATGCTTGCATTCAACTCACAGAGCTGAACATTCCCTTTCATAGAGCAGTTTTGAAACACTGTTTTTGTAGTATCTGGAAGAGGACATTTGAAGTGCTTTGAGGCCTATGGTGAAAAAGGAAATATCTTCACATAAAAACTAGACAGAAGCATTCTCAGAAACTACTTTGTGATGTGTGTACTCAACTTACAGAGTTAAAACTTTCCTTTGATACGGCAGTTTTGAAACACTCTTGTTGTAGAATTTACAAGTGGATATTAGGACAGCTTTGGGGATTTCGTTGGAAAGGGGAATATCTTCACATAAAACTAAACAGAAGCATTTTCAGAAACTTTTTGTGATGTGTGCACTCAACTGACAGAGATGAAACTTTCATTTGATAGAGCAGATTGGAAATACTCTTTTAGTAGAATTTGCAAGTGGATATTTGGACAGCTTGAAGCCTTCGCTGGAAACGGGTATATCTTCACATATAAACAAGACAGAAGCATTCTCAGGAACTTCTTTGTGATGCTTGCATTCAACTGACAGAGTTGAGCATTCCTCTTCATAGAACAGATTTGAAACACTCTTTTTGTAGAATCTGTAAGTGGAAACTTGGAGCCCTTTTTGTCCAAAGGTGAAAAAGGAAATATCTTCCCATAAAACTAGACAGAATTCTCAGGAACTTCTTTGTGATGTGTGTACTGAACTCATAGTGTTGAACTTTTCTTTTGATAGAGCAGTTTTGAAACACTCTTTTTGTAGAGTCTGCATGTGGATATTTGGATAGCTTTGAGGATTTCGTTGGAAACAGAATATCTTAACATAAAAGCTAGACAGAAGCATCCCGAGAAACTTCTTTGTGATGCTTGAATTCAACTCACAGAGTTGAACATTCCCTTTCATAGAGCAGTTTTGAAAAACTCTTTTTGCAGTATCTGGAAGGGGACATTTGGAGCGCTTTGAGGCCTATGGTGAAAAAGGACTATCTTCACATAAAAACTAGACAGAAGCATTCTCAGAAACTTCTTTGTGATGTATGTACTCAACTCACAGAGTCGAAGCTTTCTTTTGATACCACAGTTTTGAAACAATTTTTTTTGTAGAATCTGCAATTGGATATTTGGATAACTTTGAGGTTTTCAATGGAAACGGGAATATCTTCACATAAAAACTAGACAGAAGCATTGTCAGAAACTTCTTTGTGATGCTTGCATTCAACTCACAGAGTTGAACATTCCTTTTCATAGAGTAGTTTTGAAACACTTTTTTTTATTATCTGGGAGTGGACATTTTGACAGCTTTGTGGCTCATCGTGAAAAAGGAAATATCTTCACATTAAAAGTAGACAGAAGCATCTCAGAAACTTCTTTGTGATGTGGGTACTCAGCTCACACAGTTGAACCTTTCTTTTGATACAGTAGTTTTGAAACACTCTTTGTGTAGAATCTGCAAGTGGATATTTGGATAGCTTTGAGGATTTCGTTGGAAACGGGAATATCTTCACATAAAAACTAGACAAAAGCATTCTCAGAAACTTCTTTGTGATGCTTGCATTCAACTCACAGAATTGAACATTCCTTTCCATAGAGCAGTTTTGAAACAATCTTTTTGTAGAAATTGTAAGTGGAAACGTGAAGTGCTTTGAGGCCTGTGGTGAAAAAGGAAATATCTTCCCATAAAAACTAGACAGAAGAATTCTCAGAAACTTCTTTGTGATATGTGTACTCAACTCAAAGAGCTGAAGTTTTCTTTTGATAGAGCAGTTTGAAACACTCTTTTTGTACAATCTGTAAGTGGATATAAGGATAGCTTTGTGGATTTCGTTGGAAACGGGAATACCTTCATATAGAAACTAGACAGAAGCATTCTCAGAAACTACTTTGTGATTTTTCCATTCAACTCACAGAGTTGAACATTCCCTTTCATAGAGCAGTTTTGAAACACTCTTTTTGTAGTATCTGGAAGTATACATTTGGAGTGTATTAAGGCCTGTGGTGAAAAAGTATATATCTTCACATAAATACCAGACAGAAGCATTCTCAGAAACTTCTTTGTGATGTGTGTACACAACTCATAGAGTTGAACCTTTCTTTTGATGCAGCAGTTTTGAAACACTCTTATTGTAAAATCTGCAAGTGAATATTTGGATAGCTCTGAGGCTTTCGTTTGAAACAGGAATATCTTCACGTAAAAACTAGACAGAAGCATTCTCAGAAAGTTCTTTGTGATGCTTGCATTCAACTCACAGAACTGAGCATTCCTTTTCATAGAGCAGTTTTGATACACTCTTTTTGTAGAGTCTGTAAGTGTAAACTTGGAGAGATTTGAGGCCTATGGTGAAAAAGGGAATATCTTCACATAAAAACTGGACAGAATAATTCTCAGAAACTTCTTTGTGATGCTTGCATTCAACTCACTGATTTGAAAGATTCTTTTGATAGACCAATTGTGATACACTCTTTTTGTAGAGTCTGCAAGTGGATATTTGGATTGTTTTGAGGATTTCATTGGAAACTGGAATATCTTCACTTAAAAACTAGACAGAAACATTCTCAGAAACTTCCTTGTGTTGTTTGCATTCAACTCACCGAGTTGAACATTCCCTTTCATTGAGCAGTTTGAGACACTCTTTTTGTAGTATCTGGAAAGGGACATTTGGAGCGATTAAAGACCTATTGTGAAAAAGGAAATATCTTCCCATAAAAACTAGGCAGAAGCATTCTCAAAAACTAATTTGTGATGTGTGTACTCAACTCACAAAGTTAAACCTTTCATTTGATACAGCAGTTTTGAAACACTCTTCTTGTAGAATTTACAGGTGGATATTAGAACAGCATTGTGGATTTCATTGGAAATGGGAATATCTTCACATAAAACTAGACAGAAGCATTCCCAGAAACTTCTTTGTGATGTATGCATTCAACTCACAGAGTTGAAACTTTCTTTTGATAGAGCAGATTGGAAACACTCTTTTTGTAGAATTTGCAAGTGGATATTTGGACAGCTTTGAGGCCTTCGCTGGAAACGGTTATATCTTCACATAAAAACTAGACCCAGAAGCATTCTCAGAAACTTCTTTGTGATGCTTGCATTCAACTCACAGAGTTGAGCATTCCTTTTAATAGAGCAGTTTTGAAACATTCTTTTTGTAGAATCTGTAAGTGGAAACTTGGAGTGCTTTGAGGCCTATGGTGAAAAAGGAAATATCTTCCCATAAAACTAGGCAGAAGAAATCTCAGAAACTTCTTTGTGATATGTGTACTCAACTCACAGAGTTGAACTTTTCTTTTGATAGAGCAGTTTGAAACACTCTTTTTTTATTATTATTATACTGTAAGTCTTAGGGTACATGTGCACATTATTCATGTTAGTCACATATGTATACATTCCATGCTGGTGCGCTGCACACACTAACTCGTCATCTAGAACTAGGTATATCACTCAATGCTATCCCTTCCCCCTCCCCCCACCCCACAACAGTCCCCAGAGTGTGATATTCCCCTTCCTGTGTCCATGGGATCTCATTGTTCAATTCCCACCTATGAGTGGAATATGCGGTGTTTGGTTTTTTGTTGTTACGATAGTTTACTGAGAATGATGATTTCCATTTTCATCCGTGTCCCAACAAAGGACATGAACTCATCATTTTTTATGGCTGCATAGTATTCCACGGTGTATATGTGTCAGGTTTTCTTAATCCAGTCTATCATTTTTGGACATTTGCGTTGGTTCCAAGTCTTTGCTATTGTGAATAATGTCACAATAAACATACTTGTGCATGTGTCTTTATAGCAGCATTCTTTATAGTCCTTTGGGTATATACCCATTAATGGGATGGCTTGGTCAAATGGTATTTCTAGTTCTAGATCCCTGAGGAATCGCCACACTGAATTCCACAATGGTTGAATTAGTTTACAGTCCCACCAACAGTGTAAAAGTGTTCCTATTTCTCCACATCCTCTCCAGCACTTCTTGTTTCCTGACTTTTTAATGGTTACCATTCTAATTGGTGTGAGATGGTATCTCATTGTGGTTTTGATTTGCATTTCTCTGATGGCCAGTGATGATGAGCATTTTTTCATGTGTTTTTTTGACTGCATAAATATCTTCTTTTGAGAAGTGTCTGTTCATGTTCTTCGCCCACTTTTTGATGGGGTTTTTTGTTTTTTCTTGTAAATTTGTTTGAGCTCATTGTAGATTCTGGATATTAGCCCTTTGTCAGATGAGTAGGTTGTGAAAACTTTCTCCCATTTTGTAGGTTGCCTGTTCAATCTGATGGTAGTTTCTTTTGGTGGCATCACACTATCTGACTTCAAACAATACTACAAGGCTACAGTTACCATAACAGCATGGTACTGGTACCAAAACAGAGATGTAGATCAATGGAAGAGAACACAGCCCTCAGAAATAATGCCACATATCTACAAATAACTGATCCTTGACAAACTTCAGAAAAACAAGCAATGGGGAAAGGATTCCCTATTTAATAAATAGTGCTGGGAAAACTGGCTAGCCATATGTAGAAACCTGAAATTGGATCCCTTCCTTACACCTTATACAAAAATAAATTCAAGATTGATAAAAGACTTAAACGTTACCCCTAAAACCATAAAAACCATAGAAGAAAACCTAGGCATTACCATTCAGGACATAGGCATGGGCAAGGACTTCATGTCTAAAACACCAAAAGCAATGGCAACAAAAGAAAAAACTGACAAATGGGATCTAATGAAACACTCTTTTTGTAGAATCTGCAAGTGGATATTTGGATAGCTTTGAGGATTTCATTGGAAACGGGAATATTTTCACATAAACACTAGACAGAAACATTCTCAGAAACTTCTCTGTGATGTTTGCATTCAACTCAAAGAGTTTAACATTCCTTTTCATAGAGCAGTTTTGAAACACTCTTTTTATAGGATCTGCAAGTAGACATTTTATGCAATGTGAGACCTATGGTGAAAAAATAAATATCTTCACGTAAAAAGTAGGCAGAGTCGTTCTCAGAAACTACTTTCTGATGCGCATACTCAACTCAAAGAGTTAAACCTTTCCTTTGTTACAGCAGTTTTGAAAAACTCTTCTTGCAGAATTAACAAGTGGATATTAGGACAGCAGTGAGGACTTCGTTGGAAATGGGAATAACTTCACATAAATCTAGAGAGAAGGATTCTCAGAAACTATTTTGGAATGTTTGCATTCAGCTCACTGTTTTGAAACTTGCCTTTGATAGAGCAGATTTGAAAGAATTTTTTTGTAAAATTTGCAAATGGATATTTGGAACATTTTGAGGCCTTCGCTGGAAACGGGTATATCTTCACATAAAAACTAGACAGAATCATTCTCAGTAACTTCTTTGTGATGTGTGTACTCAACTCACAGAGTTGAACTTTTCTTTAGATAGAGCAGTTTTGAAACACTCTTTTTATAGGGTCTGCAAGTGGATATTTGTTTAGCTGGGAGGATTTTGTTGGAAAAGGGAATATCTTCACATAAATACTAGACAGAAGCTTTCTCAGAAACTTCTTTGTGATGTCTGTACTCAACTCACATAGTTCAACCTCTCATTTGATACGGCAGTTTTGAAACACTCTTCTTGTAGAATCTGCAAGTGGGTATGTGGATAGCTTTGAGGCTTTCCTTGGAAACGGGAATATCTTCACATAAAAACTAGAGAGAAGCATTCTCAGAAACTTCTTTGTGACGTTTGCATTCAACTCACATAGTTGAACATTCCTTTTTATACAGCAGTTTTGAAACACTCTTCTTGTGAAATCTGCAAGTGGACATTTGGAGCGATTTGATACCTATGGTGAAAAAGGAAATATCTTCACATAAAAATTGGACAGAAGCATTCTCAGAAACTACATTGTGATGGGTGTACTCAACTCACAGAGTTAAACCTTTCCTTTGATACACTAGTTTTGAAACACTGTTCTTGTAGACTTTACAAGTGGATATTTGGACAGCTTTGCGTATTTCGTTGGAAACGTGAATATCTTCACATAAAAACTAGACAGAAGCATTCTGAGAAACTATTTTGTGATGTTTGCATTCAACTCTTGGGGTTGAACATTCACTCTCAAAGAGCAGTTTTGAAACACTCTTTTTGTAGTATCTGGAAGTGGACATTTGGAGCGCTTTGAGTCTCATGGTGAAAAAGCAAATATCTTCACATAAAAATTACACAGAAGCATTCTCAGAAACTTCTTGGTGATGCTTGCATTCAACCCACTGAGTTGAACATTCCTTTTCATAGAGCAGTTTTGAAGGACTCTTTTTGTAGAATCTGGAAGTGGAAACTTGGAGCGCTTTGAGGCCTATGGTGAAAAAGGAAATATCTTCACATAAAAGCTAGACAAAAGAATTCTCAGAAACTCCTTTGTGATGTGTGTACTCAACTCACAGAGTTGAACTTTTCTTTTGATAGAGCAGTTTTGAAACACTCTTTTTGTAGAATTTCCAAGTGGATATTTGGATACGTTTGAGGATTTCCTTGGAAATGGGAATATCTTCACATAAAAACTAGACCGAAGCATTCTCAGAAACTCCTTTGTGATGTTTGCATTCAACGCACAGAGTTGAAAATTCCCTTTCATAGAGCAGTTTTGAAACACGCCTTTTGTAGAATCTGCAAGTGGACATTTGGTTCGATTTGAGACCTAGTTTGAAAAAGGAAATATCTTCACATAAAAAGTAGACAGAAGCATTCTCAGAAGCTACTTTTTGATGTGTGTACTCAACTCACAGAGTTAAACTCTTCCTGTGATACAGCAGATTTTAAAAACTCTTCTTTTGGAATTTACAAGTGCATATTTGTACAACATTGAGGATTTCGTTGGAATCGGGAATATCTTCACATAAAACTAGAGAGAAGCATTCTCAGAAGCTTCTTTGTGATGTGTGCATTCAACTCACTGACTTTAAACTTTCCTTTTTTATAGCAGATTGGAAATATTCTTTTTGTAGAATTTCCAATTGGCTATTTGGACAGTTTTGAGGCCTTCGCTGGAAAATCTATATCTTCACATAAAAACTGGACAGAAGAATCCTCAGAAACTTCTTTGAGATGCCTGCATTCAACTCACAGAGTTGAACCCTCCTTTTCTTAGAGCAGTTTAGAAACACTCTTTTTGTAGAATCTGTAAATGGAAACATAGAGCGATTTGAAGCCTATGATGAAAAAGGAAATATCTTCCCATGAAAACTGGACAGAAGAATTCTCAGAAACCTCTTTGTGATGTGTGTATTAAAATCGCAGAGTTGAATTTTTCTTTTGATAGAGCAGTTTTGAAACGCTCTTTTTGTAGGGTCTGCAAGTGGATATTAGGATAGCTGGGAGGATTTCATTGGAAACGGGAATACATTCACATAAATACTAGACAGAAGCATTCTCAGAAACTTCTTTGTGATGGGTGTACTAAACTCACAGAGTTGGACTTTTCTTTTGATAGAACAGTTTTGAAACACACTTTTTGTAGAGTCTGCAAGTGGATATTTGTATAGCTTTGAGGATTTCGTTGGAAACGGGAATATCTTTACATAAAAAATAGATAGAAGCATTCTCAGAAACTTCTTTGTGATGCCTGCATTCAACTCACTGAGGTGAACATTCCTTTTCATAGAGCAGTTTTGAAACACTCTTTTTGTAGTATCTGTAAGTGGAAACTTGGAGTGCTTTGAGGCCTATGGTGAAAAAGGAAATATCTTCCCATAAAAACTAGAGAAAATAATTCCCAGAAACTTCTTTGTGATGTGTGTACTCAACTCACAGAGTTGAACATTTCTTTTGATAAAGGAGTTTTGCCACACTCTTTCTGTAGAGTCTGCAAGTGGATATTTGCATAGCTTTGAGGATTTCATTGGAAACGGGAATATCTTCACATAAAAACTAGACAGAGGCATTCTCAGAAACCTCTTTGTGATGTTCGCATTCAACTCACAGAGTTGAACATTCCCTTTCATATAGCAGTTTTGAAACACTCTTTTTGTAGTGTCTGAAAGTGGACATTTGGAGCGCTTTGAGGCCTGTGGTGAAAAAGGAAATATCTTCCCATAAAAACTAGACAGAAGAATTCTCAGAAACGTCTTTGCGATGTGTGTACTCAACTCACATAATTGAACTCTTCTTTTCACAGAGCAGTTTTGAAACACTCCTTTTGTAGGCTCTGCAAGTGGATATTTGGATAGCTGTGAGGCTTTCGTTGGAAACGGGAATATCTTCATATTAAAACTAGACAGAAGCAATCTCAGAAACTTCTTTGTGATGTTTGCATTCAGCTCACAGAGTTGAACATTCCCTTTCATAGAGAAGTTTTGAAACACTCTTTTTGTTGTATCTGGAAGTGGACATTTGGAAAGCTTTGATGCCTGCAGTGAAAAAGGAAATATCTTCACGTAAAACCAGACAGAAGCATTCTCAGAAGCTTCTTTGTGATGTGTGTACTCAACTCATAGAGTTAAACTTTTCTTTTGATACAGCAGGTTTGAAACACTGTTCTTCTAGACTTTACCAGTGGATATTAGGACAGCTTTGAGTGTTTCGTTGGAAACGGAAATATCTTCAAATAAAAACTAGACAGAAGCATTCTCAGAAACTGCTCTGTGATGTTTGCATTTAACTCTGGGAGTTGAACATTCCCTTTCAAAGAGCAGCTTTGAAAAATCCTTTTTGTGGTATCTGGAAGTGGACATTTGGAGCGCTTTGAGTCCTGTGGTGAAAAGGAAATATCTTCACATAAAAACTGGACAGAAGAATTCTCCGAAACTACTTTGTGATGTGTGTACTCAACTAACACAGTTGAACCATTCTTTTGATAGAGCAGTTTCGAAACACTCTTTTAGTAGAATCTGCAAGTGGATATTTGGATAGTTTTGAGGCTTTTGTTGGAAACGGGAATATCTTCACATAAAAACTAGACAGAAGCATTCTCAGAAACTTCTTTGTGATGCTTGCATTGAACTCACTGAATTGAACATTCCGTTTCATAGAGCAGTTTTGAAACATTCTTTTTGGAGAATCTGTAAGTGTAATCTTGGAGCACTTTGAGGTCTTCGGTGAAAAAGGAAATATCTTCCCATAAAAACTGGACAGAAAAATTCTCAGAAACTTCTTTGTGATGTGTGTACTCAACTCACAGAGTTAAACCTTTCCTTTGTTACAGCAGTTTTGAAACACTCTTCTTGTTGTATTTACAAGTGGATATTAGTACAGCACTGTGGATTTCATTGGAAACGGGAATATCTTCACATAAAATTAGAGAGAAGCATTCTCAGAAGCTTCTTTGTGATGTGTGCATTCCACTCATTGATTTGAAACTTTCCTTTGATATAGCTGATTGGAAACACTCTTTTTATAGAATTTGCAAGTGGATATTTGAACAGTTTTGAGGCCTTCGCTGGAAATGTGTATATCTTCACATAGAAACTAGACAGAATAATTCTCAGAAACTTCTCTGTGATGGTTGCATTCAACTCACAGAGTTGAACACTCCTTTCATAGAGCAGGTTTGAAACACTCTTTTTGTAAAATCTGTAAGTGGAAACTTGGAGCGCTTTGAGGCCCATGGTGAAAAAGGAAATATCTTCCCATAAAAACTAGAGAGAAGCATTCTCAGAAACTCCATTGTGATGTGTGTACTCAACTCAAAGAGGTGAACCTTTCTTTTCATACAGCAGGTTTGAAACACTCTTTTTGGAGAATCTGCAAGTGGATATTTGGATAGCTTTGAGGTTTTCGTTGGAAACGGGAATACCGTCATATGAAATCTAGACAGAAGCATTCTGAGAAACATCTTTGTGATGTATGCATTGATGTCACAGAGTTCAACATTCCCTTTCATAGAGCAAGTTTGAAACCCTCTTTTTGTAGTATCTGCAAGTGGACATTTGGAGCCCTTTGGGGCCTATGGTGAAAAAGGAAATATCTTCCCTTAAAAACTAGACAGAAGAGTTGTCAGAAACTAGTTTGTGATCTGTGGACTCAACTAACAGAGTTGAACCTTTCTTTTGATAGAGCAGTTTTGAAACACTCCTTTTGTAGAGTCTGCCTGTGGATATTTGGATAGCTTTGAGGATTTTGTTGGAAACGAGAATATCTTCATATAAAATCTAGACAGAAGCATTCTGTGAAACATCTTTGTGATGTTTGCATTCAAGTGAGAGGCGAACATTCCCTTTCATGGAGCAGATTTGAAACACTCTTTTTGTACCATCTGGAAGTGGACATTTGGAGCGCTTTGAGGCCTATGGTGAAAAAGAAAATATCTTCCCATAAAAAGTAGACAGAAGCATTCTCAGAAACTTGTTTGTGATGTGTGTACTCAACTGAGTTGAACCTTTCTTTTGATAGAGTAGTTTTGAAACACTCTTTTTGTAGAATCTGCAAGTGGATATTTGGATAGCTTTGTGGATTTCGTTTTGAACGGGAATATCTTCATATGAAATATAGACAGAAGCATTCTGAGAAACAACTTTGTGATGCTTGCATTCAAGTCACAGACTTGGACATTCCTTTTCATAGAGCAGGTTTGAAACACTCTTTTTGTAGTATTTGGAAGTGGACATTTGGAGCACTTTGAGGCATATGGTGAAAAAGGAAATCTCTTCCATAAAAACTAGACAGAAGCTTTCTCAGAAACCTGTTTGTGATGTGTGTACTCAGGTCACAGAGTTGAACTTTTCTTTTGATAGAGAAGTTTTGAAACACTCTTTTTGTAGAATCTGCAAGTGGATATTTGGATAGTTTGAGGATTTCATTGGAAACGGGAATAACTTCATGTGGAATCTAGAGAGAAGCATTCTGAGAAACATCTTTTTGATGTCTGCATTCAATTCAGAGTTGAACATTCCCTTTCTTTTTTTTTTATTGAATGCATTTTCAGCTTAAGACATTTTCAACTTAATGATGGGCTTCTTTTTTTATTTTATTATTTTTTTTATTTTTTATTGTTTTATTATACTTTCAGTTTTAGGGTAGATGTGCACATTGTGCTGGTTAGTTACATAAGTATACATGTGATATGCTGGTGCACTGCACCCACTAACTTGTCATCTAGCATTAGGTATATCTCCCAATGCTATCCCTCCCCCCTCCACCCACCCCACCACAGTCCCCAGAGTGTGATATTCCCCTTCCTGGGTCCATGTGATCTCATTGTTCAACTCCCACCTATGAGTGAGAATATGCGTTGTTTGGATTTTTGTTCTTGCGATAGTTTAGTTTACTGAGAATGATGATTTCCAATTTCATCCATGTCCTTACAAAGGACATGAAATCATAATTTTTTATGGCTGTATAGTATTCCATGGTGTATATGTGCTACATTTTCTTAATCCTGTCTATCATTGTTGCACATTTGGGTTGGTTCCAAGTCTTTGCTATTGTGAATAATGCCGCAATAACCATACGTGTGCATGTGTCTTTATAGCAGCATGATTTATAGTCCTTTGGGTATATACCCAGTAATGGGATGGCTGGGTCAAATGGTACTTCTAGTTCTAGATCCCTGAGGAATCGCCACACTGACTTCCACAATGGTTGAACTAGTTTACAGTCCCACCAACAGTGTAAAAGTGTTCCTATTTCTCCACATCCTCTCCAGCACCTGTTGTTTCCTGACTTTTTAATGATTGCCATTCTAACTGGTGTGAGATGATATCTCATTGTGGTTTTGATTTGCATTTCTCTGATGGCCAGTGATGATGAGCATTTTTTCATGTGTTTTTTGGCTGCATAAATGTCTTCTTTTGAAAAGTGTCTCTTCACGTCCTTCACCCACTTTTTGATGGGGTTGTTTTTTTCTTGTAAATTTGTTTGAGTTCATTGTAGATTCTGGATATTAGCCCTTTGTCAGATGAATAGGTTGTGAAAATTTTCTCCCATTTTGTAGGTTGCCTCTTCACTCTGATGGTAGTTTCTTTTGCTGTGCAGAAGCTCTTTAGTTTAATTAGATCCCATTTGTCAATTTTGTCTTTTGTTGCCATTGCTTTTGGTGTTTTAGACATGAAGTCCTTGCCCATGCCTATGTCCTGAATGGTAATACCTAGGTTTTCTTCTAGGGTTTTTGTGGTTTTAGGCCGAACGTTTAAGTCTTTAATCCATCTTGAATTGATTTTTGTATAAGGTGTAAGGAAGGGATCCAGTTTCAGCTTTCTACATATGAGTAGCCAGTTTTCCCAGCACCATTTATTAAATAGGGAATCCTTTCCCCATTGCTTGTTTTTCTCAGGTTTGTCAAAGATCAGATAGTTGTAGATATGTGGCGTTATTTCTGAGGGCTCTGTTCTGTTCCATTGATCTATATCTGTGTTTTGGTACCAGTACCATGCTGTTTTGGTTACTGTAGCCTTGTAGTATAGTTTGAAGTCAGGTACTGTGATGCCTCCAGCTTTGTTCTTTTGGCCTATGATCGACTTGGTGATGCGGGCTCTTTTTTGGTTCCATATGAACTTTAAAGTAGTCTTTTCCAATTCTGTGAAGAAAGTCATTGGTAGGTTGATGGGGATGGCATTGAATCTGTAAATTACCTTGGGCAGTATGGCCATTTTCACAATGTTGATTCTTCCTATCCATGATGATGGAATGTTCTTCCATTAGTTTGTATCCTCTTTTATTTCCTTGAGCAGTGGTTTGTAGTTCTCCTTGAAGAGGTCCTTCACATCCCTTGTAAGTTGGATTCCTAGGTATTTTATTCTCTTTGAAGCAATTGTGAATGGGAGTTCACTCACGATTTGGCTCTCTGTTTGTCTGCTGGTGTATAAGAATGTTTGTGATTTTTGTACATTGATTTTGTATCCTGAGACTTTGCTGAAGTTGCTTATCAGCTTAAGGAGCTTTTGGGCTGAGACAATGGGATTTTCTAGATATACAATCATGTCGTCTGCAAACAGGGACAATTTGACTTCCTCTTTTCCTAATTGAATACACTTTATCTCCTTCTCCTGCCTAATTGCCCTGGGCAGAACTTCCAACACTATGTTGAATAGGAGTGGTGAGAGAGGGCATCCCTGTCTTGTGCCAGTTTTCAAAGGGAATGCTTCCAGTTTTTGCCCATTCAGTATGATATTGGCTGTGGGTTTGTCATAGATAGCTCTTATTATTTTGAAATGTGTCCCATCAATACCTAATTTATTGAGAGTTTTTAGCATGAAGCATTGTTGAATTTTGTCAAAGGCTTTTTCTGCATCTATTGAGATAATCATGTGGTTTTTGTCTTTGGCTCTGTTTATATGCTGGATTACATTTATTGATTTGTGTATATTGAACCAGCCTTGCATCCCAGGGATGAAGCCCACTTGATCTTGGTGGATAAGCTTTTTGATGTACTGCTGGATTCGTTTTGCCAGTATTTTATTGAGGATTTTTGCATCAATGTTCATCAAGGATATTGGTCTCAAATTCTCTTTTTTGGTTGTGTCTCTGCCTGGCTTTGGTATCAGAATGATGCTGGCCTCATAAAATGAGTTAGGGAGGATTCCCTCTTTTTCTATTGATTGGAATAGTTTCAGAAGGAATGGTACCAGTTCCTCCTTGTACCTCTGGTAGAATTCGGCTGTGAATCCATCTGGTCCTGGACTCTTTTTGGTTGGTAAGCTATTGATTATTGCCACAATTTCAGATCCTGTTATTGGTCTATTCAGAGATTCAACTTCTTCCTGGTTTAGTCTTGGGAGAGTGTATGTGTCCAGGAATTTATCCATTTCTTCTAGATTTTCTAGTTTATTTGTGTAGAGGTGTTTGTAGTATTCTCTGATGGTAGTTTGTATTTCTGTGGAATCATTGGTGATATCCCCTTTATCATTTTTTATTGTGTCTATTTGATTCTTCTCCCTTTTTTTCTTTATTAGTCTTGCTAGCGGTCTATCAATTTTGTTGATCTTTTCAAAAAACCAGCTCCTGGATTCATTAATTTTTTTGAAGGGTTTTTTGTGTCTCTATTTCCTTCAGTTCTGCTCTGATTTTAGTTATTTCTTGCCTTCTGTTAGCTTTTGAATGTGTTTGCTCTTGCTTTTCTAGTTCTTTTAATTGTGATGTTAGGGTGTCAGTTTTGGATTTTTCCTGCTTTCTCTTGTGGGAATTTAGAGCTATAAATTTCCCTCTACACACTGCTTTGAATGTGTCCCAGAGATTCTGGTATGTTGTGTCTTTGTTCTTGTTGGTTTCAAAGAAGATCTTTATTTCTGCCTTCATTTCGTTATGTACCCAGTAGTCATTCAGGAGCAGGTTGTTCAGTTTCCATGTAGTTGAGTGGTTTTGAGTGAGACTGTTAATCCTGAGTTCTAGTTTGATTGCACTGTGATCTGAGAGATAGTTTGTTATAATCTCTGTTATTATACATTTGCTGAGGAGAGCTTTACTTCCAAATATGTGGTCAATTTTGGAATAGGTGTGGTGTGGTGCTGAAAAAAATGTATATTCTGTTGATTTGGGGTGGAGAGTTCTGTAGATGTCAATTAGGTCCGCTTGGTGCAGAGCTGAGTTCAATTCCTGGGTATCCTTGTTGACTTTCTGTCTCATTGATCTGTCTAATGTTGACAGTGGGGTGTTAAAGTCTCCCATTATTAATGTGTGGGAGTCTAAGTCTCTTTGTAGGTCACTCAGGACTTGCTTTATGAATCTGGGTGCTCCTGTATTGGGTGCATATACGTTTAGGATAGTTAGCTCTTCTTGTTGAATTGATCCCTTTACCATTATGTAATGGCCTTCTTTGTCTCTTTTGATCTTTGTTGGTTTAAAGTCTGCTTTATCAGAGACTAGGATTGCAACCCCTGCTTTTTTTGTTTTCCATTTGCTTGGTAGATCTTCCTCCATCCTTTTATTTTGAGCCTATGTGTGTCTCTGCATGTGAGATGGGTTTCCTAAACACAGCACACTGATGGGTCTTGACTCTTTATCCAATTTGCCAGTCTGTGTCTTTTAATTGGAGCATTTAGTCCATTTACATTTAAAGTTAATATTGTTATGGGTGAATTGGATCCTGTCATTAGGATGTTAGCTGGTTATTTTGCTCGTTAGTTAATGCAGTTTCTTCCTAGTCTCGATGGTCTTTACATTTTGGCATGATTTTTCAGTGGCTGGTACCGGTTGTTCCTTTCCATGTTTAGCACTTCCTTCAGGAGCTCTTTTAGGGCAGGCCTGGTGGTGACAAAATCTCTCAGCATTTGCTTGTCTGTAAAGTATTTCATTTCTCCTTCACTTATGAAGCTTAGTTTGGCTGGATATGAAATTCTGGGTTGAAAATTCTTTTCTTTAAGAATGTTGAATATTGGCCCCCACTCTCTTCTGGCTTGTAGAGGTTCTGCTGAGAGATCCGCTGTTAGTCTGATGGGCTTCCCTTTGAGAGTAACCCGACCTTTCTCTCTGGCTGCTCTTAACATTTTTTCCTTCATTTCAACTTTGGTGAATCTGACAATTATGTTTCTTGGAGTTGCTGTTCTCAAGGAGTATCTTTGTGGCGTTCTCTGTATTTCCTGAATCTGAACGTTGGCCTGCCTTGCTAGATTGGGGAAGTTCTGGATAATATCCTGCAGAGTGTTTTCCAACTTGGTTCCATTCTCCCTGTCACTTTCAGGTACACCAATCAGATGTAGATTTGGTCTTTTCACATAGTCCCATATTTCTTGGAGGCTTTCCTCATTTCTTTTTATTCTTTTTTCTCTAAACTTCCCTTCTCACTTCATTTCTTTCATTTCACCTTCCATTGCTGATACCCTTTCTTCAAATTGATCGCATCGGCTCCTGAGGCTTCTGCATTCTTCACGTAGTTCTCGAGCCTTGGTTTTCAGCTCCATCAGCTCCTTTAAGCACTTCTCTGTATTGGTTATTCTAGTTATACATTCTTCTAAATTTTTTTCAACGTTTTCAACTTGTTTGCCTTTGGTTTGAATGTCCTCCTGTAGCTCAGAGTAATTTGATCATCTGAAGCCTTCTTCTCTCAGCTCGTCAAAGTCATTCTCCATCCAGCTTTGTTCCATTGCTGGTGAGGAACTGTATTCCTTTGAAGGAGGAGAGGCACTCTGCTTTTTAGAGTTTCTAGTTTTTCTGTTCTGTTTTTTCCCCATCTTTGTGGTTTTATCTACTTTTGGTCTTTGATGATGGTGATATACAGATGGGTTTTTGGTGTGGATGTCCTTTCTGTTTGTTAGTTTTCCTTCTAACAGACAGGACCCTCAGCTGCAGGTCTGTTGGAATACCCTGCCTTGAGAGGTGTCAGTGTGCCCCTGCTGGGGGGGTGCCTCCCAGTTAGGCTGCTCAGGGGTCACGGGTCAGGGACCCACTTGAGGAGGCAGTCTCCCCATTCTCAGATCTCCAGCTGCATTCTGGGAGAACCACTGCTCTCTTCAAAGCTGTCAGACAGGGACATTTAAGTCCGCAGAGGTTACTGCTGTATTTTTGTTTGTCTGTGCCCTGCCCCCAGAGGTGGAGCCTACAGAGGCAGGCAGGGCTCCTTGAGCTGTGGTGGGCTCCACCCAGTTGGAGCTTCCTGGCTGCTTTGTTTACCTAAGCAAGCCTGGGCAATGGCGGGCGCCCCTCCCCCAGCCTCACTGCCGCCTTGCAGTTTAATCTCAGACTGCTGTGCTAGCAATCAGGGAGACTCTGTGGGCGTAGGACCCTCCGAGTCAGGTGCGGGATATAATCTCGTGGTGTGCCGTATTTTAAGCTGGTGGGAAAAGCGCAGTATTAGGGTGGGAGTGACCCGATTTTCCAGGTGCTTCCGTCACCCCTTTCTTTGACTGGGAAACGGAACTCCCTGACCCCTTGGGCTTCCCAAGTGAGGCAATGCCTCGCCCTGTTTCAGCTTGCGCAGGGTGCATGCACCCACTGACCTGGGCCGAATGTCTGGCACTCCCTAGTGAGATGATCCTGGTACCTCAGATGGAAATGCAGAAAACACCCGTCTTCTGCGTCGCTCACGCTGGGAGCTATAACTGGAGCTGTTCCTATTCAGCTATCTTGGCTCCTCCCGATGGGTTTCTTCCATTCCTTTTCATAGAGCAGGTTTGAAACACTGTTTTTGTAGTATCTAGGAGTGGACATTTGGAGCGTTTTCAGGCCTATGGTGAAAAAGGAAATATCTTCATATAAAAACTAGACAGAAGCATTCTCAGAAATTTGTGATATGTGTACTGAACTAACAGAGTTGAACCTTTCTTTTGACAGAGCAGTTTTGAAACACTCTTTTTGTACAATCTGCAAGTGGATATTTGGATAGCTTTGAGGATTTCATTGGAAACGGGAATATCTTCATAATAAATCTAGACAGAAGCATTCTGAGAAACATCTTTGTGATGTTTGCATTGAAGTCACAGAGTTGAACATTCCCTTTCATAGAGCAGGTTTCAAACACTCTTTTTGTAGTATCTGGAAGTGGACATTTGGAACGCTTTGAGGCATATGGTGAAAAAGGGAATCTCTTCCCATAAAAAATTGACAGCAGCATTCTCAGAAACTTGTTTGTGATGTGTGTACTCAACTCACAGAGTTGAACCTTTCTTTTGATAGAGGTGTTTTCAAACACTCTTTTTGGAGAAACTGCAAGTGGATATTTGGATAGCTTTGACGATTTCGTTGGAGACGGGAATGTCTTCATATTAAATCTAGACAGAAGCATTCTGAGAAACATGTTTCTGATGTTTGCATTCATGTCACAGAGTTCAACATTCCCTTTCATAGAGCAGGTTAGAAACACTCTTTTTGTAGTATCTGGAAGTGGACATTTGGAGCGCTTTGAGGCATTTGATGAAAAAGGAAATATCTTCCCATGAAAACTAGAGAGAAGAATTCTCCGAAAATAGTTTGTGATGTGTGTACTCAACTAACACAGTTGAACCCTTCTTTTGATAGAGCAGTTTTGAAACACTCTTTTTGTAGAATCTGCAAGTGGATATTTGGATAGCTTTGAGGATTTCATTGGAAATGGGAATATCTTCATATAAAATCTAGAAAGAAGCATTCTCAGAAACCTCTTAGTGATGTTTGCATTGAAGTCACAGAGTTGAACATTCCGTTTCATAGAGCAGTTTTGAAACACACTTTTTGTAGTATCTGGAATTTGACATTTGGAGCGCTTTGAGGCCTATGGTGAAAAAGGAAATATCTTCCCATAATAACTGGCCAGAAGAATTCTCAGAAACTAGTTTGTGATGTGTGTACTCAACTAACACAGTGGAACCTTTCTTTTCATAGAGCAGTTTTGAAACACTCTTTTAGTAGAATCTGCAAGTTGATATTTTGATAGCTTTGAAGATTGCGTTGGAAACGGGAATATCTTCATAGAAAATCTAGACAGAAACATTCTCAGAAACATCTTAGTGATGTTTCCATTCAAGTCACAGAGTTGAACATTCCATTTCATAGAGGACGTTTGAAACACTCTTTCTGTAGTATCTGGAAGTGGACATTTGGAGCGCTTTGGGGCTTTAGGTGAAAATGGAAATATCGTCCCATAAAAACTAGACAGAAGAATTCTCAGAAACTAGCTTGTGATGTGTGTACTCAACTAACAGAGTTGAACATTCCATTTCATAGAGCTGGTTAGAAACAGTCTTTTCGTAGAATCTGCAAGTGGATATTTGGATAGCATTGACGATTTCGTTGGAAACGGGAATATCTTCATATAAAATCTAGACAGAAGCATTCTCAGAAACCTCTTAGTGAAGTTTGCATTCAAGTCACAGAGTTGAACATTCCATTTCATAGAGCAGGTTTGACACAGTCTTTTTGTAGAATCTGCAAGTGGATATTTGGATAGCTTTGACGATTTCTTTGGAAATGGAATATCCTCATATAAAATCTAGACAGAAGCATTCTGAGAAACATCTTTGTGATGTTTGCATTCAACTCACAGTGTTGAACATTCGCTTTCATAGAGCAGGTTTGAAACACTCCTTTTGTAGTATCTGGAAGTGGACATTTGGAGCGCTTTGAGGCCTATGTTGAAAAAGGAAATATTTTCCCTTAAAAACTATGCAGAAGAGTTCTCAGAAACTAGTTTGTGATGTGTGTACTCAAGTAACAGAGTTGAAACTTTCTTTCGATAGAGCGGTTTTGAAACACTCTTTTTGTAGAATCTGCAAGTGGATATTTGGATAGCTTTGAGGATTTCGTTGGAAACGGGAATATCTTCATATAAAATCTAGACAGAAGCATTCTCAGAAACCTTAGTGATGTTTGCATTGAAGTCACAGAGTTGAACATTCCATTTCATAGAGCAGGTTTGAAACAGACTTTTTGTAGTATCTGGAAGTTGACATTTGGAGCGCTTTGAAGCCTATGGTGAAAAAGGAAATATCTTCCCATAATAACTAGCCAGAAGAATTCTCAGAAACTAGTTTGTGATGTGTGTACTCAACTAACAGAGTTGAACCTTTCTTTTGATAGAGCAGTTTTGAAACACTCTTTTTGTAGAATCTGCAGGTGGCTATTTGGATAGCTTTGAGGATTTCGTTGGAAATGGGAATATCTTCATATAAAATCTAGACAGAAACATTCTCAGAAACTTCTTAGTGATGTTTCCATTCAAGTCAGAGAGTTGAACATTCCATTTCATAGAGCAGGTTTGAAACACTCTTTCTGTAGTATCTGGCAGTGGACATTTGGAGCGCTTTGGGGCCTATGGTGAAAATGGAAATATCTTCCCATAAAAACTAGACAGAAGAATTCTCAGAAACCAGTTTGTGATGTATGTACTCCACAAACAGATTTGAACCTTTCTTTTGATAGAGCAGTTTTGAGACACTCTTTTTGTAGAATCCACAAGTGGATATTTGGATAGCTTTGACGATTTCATTGGAAACGGAATATCTTCATATAAAATCTAGACAGAAGCATTGTGAGAAACATCTTTGTGATGTTTGCATTCAACTCACAGAGTTGAACATTGCCTCTCATAGAGCAGGTTTGAAACACTCTTTTTGTAGTATCTGGAAGTGAACATTTGGAGCGTTTTGAGGCATATGGTGAAAAAGGGAATCTCTTCCCATAAAAACTAGACAGAAGCATGCTCAGAAACTTGTTTCCCATGTGTGTACTCAACTAACAGAGTTGAGCCTTTCTTTTGATAGAGCTGTTTTGAAACACTCTTTTTGGAGAATCTGCAAGTGGATATTTGGATAGCTTTGAGGATTTCGTTGGAAACGGGAATACCTTCATATGAAATCTAGACAGAAGCATTCTGAGAAACATCTTTGTGATGTGTGCATTCATGTCACAGAGTTCAACATTCCCTTTCATAGAGCAAGTTTGAAACACTCTTTTTGTAGTATCTGCAAGTGGACATTTGGAGCGCTTTGAGGCCTATGGTGAAAAAGGAAATATCTTCCCTTAAAAACTAGACAGAAGAGTTGTCAGAAACTAGTTTGTGATCTGTGGACTCAACTAACAGAGTTGAACCTTTCTTTCGATAGAGCAGTTTTGAAACACTCCTTTTGTAGAGTCTGCCTGTGGCTATTTGGATTGGTTTGAGGATTTCGTTGGAAACGGGAATATCTTCATATAAAATCTAGACAGAAGCATTCTCCGAAACTTCTTAGTGATGTTTGCATTCAAGTCACAGAGTTGAACATTCCATTTCATAGCGCTGGTTTGAAACAGTCTTTTTGTAGGATGTCCAAGTGGATATTTGGATAGCTTTGACGATTTCGATGGAAATGGGAATATCTTCATATAAAATCTAGGCAGAAGCATTGTGAGAAACATCTTTGTGATGTTTGCATTCAAGTCACAGAGTTGAACATTCCCTTTCATAGAGCAGGATTGAAACACTTTTTGTAGTATCTGGAAGTGGACATTTTGAGTGCTTTGAGGCCTATGGTGAAAATGGAAATATCTTCCCATAAAAAATAGACAGAAGAATCCTCAGAAACTAGTTTGTGATGTGTGTCCTCAACTAACAGAGTTGAACCTTTCTTTTGATAGAGGAGTTTTCAAACACTCTTTTTGTAGAAACTGCAAGTGGATATTTGGATAGCTTTGAGGATTTCTTTGTAAACGGGAATATCTTCATATAAAATCTAGACAGAAGCATTCTGAGAAATTTCTTAGTGATGTTTGCATTCAAGTCACAGAGATGAACATTCCATTTCATAGAGCTGGTTTGAAACAGTCTTTTTGTAGGATCTCCAAGTGGATATTTGGATACCGTTGACGATTTTGATGGAAATGGGAATATCTTCATATAAAATCTAGACAGAAGCATTGTGAGAAACATCTTTGTGATGTTTGCATTCAAGTCACAGAGTTTAACATTCCCTTTCATAGAGCAGGTTTGAAACACTCTTTTTTTTTAGTATCTGGAAGTGGACATTTTGAGCACTTTGAAGCCTATGGTGAAAATGGAAATATCTTCCCATAAAAACTAGACAGAAGAATCCTCAGAAACTAGTTTGTGATGTGTGTACTCAACTAACAGAGTTGAACCTTTCTTTTGATAGAGCAGTTTTCAAACACTCTTTTTGTAGAAACTGCAAGTGGATATTTGGATAGCTTTGAGGATTTCGTTGGAAACGGGATTATCTTCATATAAAATCTAGATAGAAGCATTCTCAGAAACTTCTAAGTGATGTTTGCATTCAAGTCACAGGGTTGAGCATTCCATTTCATAGAGCTGGTTAGAAACAGTCTTTTTGTAGAATCTGCAAGTGGATATTTGGATAGCTTTAAAGATTTCGTTGCAAACGGGAATATGTTCATATAAAATCTAGACAGAAGCATTCTGAGAAATATCTTTGTGATGTTTGCATTCAAGTCACAGAGTTGAACATTCCCTTTCATAGAGCAGGTTTGAAACACTCTTTTTGTAGTATCTGGAAATGGACATTTTGAGCGCTTTCAAATGTCCACTTGCAGATTCTACAAAAAGAGTTTTTCAAAACTGCTCTATCAAAAGAAAGGTTCAACTGTGTGGGTTGAATGCACACATCACAAAGAAATTCCTGGAATGCTTCTGTCTAGTTTTAATGTGAAGCTATTCCCGTATCCAACGAAGGCCTCAAAGCAGTCCACATATCCACTTGCAGAGTCTGCAAAAAGAGTGTTTCAAAACTGCTGTATTAAAAGAAATGTTCAATTCTGAGAGTTGAATGCACACATCACAAGGAAGTTTCTGAGAATGCTGTTGTCTAGTATTTATGTGAAGATATTCCTTTTCCAACGAAGGCCTCTACATGTTCCAAATATCCACTTGCAGATTCTCCTGAAAGAGTGTTTCAAAAATTCCCTATGATAAAGTATGTCCAACTCTGTGAGTTGAATGCAAACATTACAAAGAAGTTTCTGAGAATGCTTCTTTCTAATTTTTAAGTGAAGATATTCCCTTTTCCACCATAGGCCCCAAAGGTCTCCAAATGTCCACATTCAGATTCTGCAAAAAGAGTGTTTCAAACTTGCTCTATCAAAAGAAAGGTTCAGCTCTGTGAGTTGAATGCACAGATCACAAAGAAGTTTCAGAGAATGCTTCTCTCCAATTTTTATGACATGATATTCCCATTTCCAAATAACGTCTCAAAGCGTTGTCCAAATATCCACTTGAAGATTCTACACGAAGAGTGTTTCAAATCTTCTCTATCACAAGAAAAGTTCAACTCTAAGAGTTGAATGTACGCATCACAAAGAAGTTTCTGAGAGTGCTGCTTTCTAGTTTTTATGTGAAGATATTCCCGTTTCCAAAGAAGGCCTCAAAGATTTCCAAATATCCACTTGCAGATTCTACTAAAAGATTGTTTAAAAACTGCTCTATCATTAGGTATGTTCAAGTCTGTGAGTTGAAGGCAGACATCACAAAGAAGTTTCTGAGAATGCCTCTGTCTAGTTTTTATGGGTAGATATTTCCTTTTCCACCATAGACCTTAAAGCGCTCCAAATGTCCACTTGCAGATTCGACAAAAAGAATTTTTCAAACCTGTTCTAAAAAAAGAAGTGTTCAGCTCTGTGAGTTGAATGCACACAGCACAAAGAAGTTTCTGAGAAAGCTTCTGTCTAGCGATTATGTGAAGATATTCCCGTTTCCAATGAAGGCCTCAAAGCTTTCCAAATATCCATTTGCAAGTTCTACCAAAAGAGTATTTCAAAACTGCAGTATGATAAAGTATGTTCAACTCTATGAGTTGAAGGAAAACATCACAAAGAACATTCTGAGAATGCTTCTCTCTAGTTTTTATGGGAAGATATTTCCTTTTCCACCATAAACCTCAAAGCGTTCCAAATGTCCATTTGCCGATGCTAGAAAAAGAGTGTTTCCAAACTGCTCTATCAAAAGAAAGGTTCAACTCTGTGAATTGAATGCACACATCACAAAGAAGTTTCTGAGAATGCTCTGTCTAGTTTTTATGAGAAGATATTCCCGTTTCCAATGATGGCCTCAAAGCTCTCCAAATGTGCACTTGCAGATTCTTCAAAAAGTGTGTTTCAAAACTGCTCTATCAAAAGAAAAGTTCAACTTTGTGAGTTGAATGCCCACATCACAAACAAGTTTCTTAGGATGTTTCTGTCTAGTGTTTATGTGAAGATATTCCCGTTTCCAGTGAAGGCCTCAAAGAAGTCCAAATATACAATTGCAGATTCTACAAAAAGAGCTTTTCAAAACTGCTCTATGAAAATTTATGTTCTACTCTTTGAGATGAATGCAAACATCACAAAAAAGTTTCTGAGAATTCTTCTGTCTCATTTTTATATAAAAATATTTCCTTTTCCACCATTGGCCTCAAACCTCTCCAAATGTCCAAATACAGATTCTACAAAAAGAGTGTTTAAAACCTGCTCTATCAAAAGAAGGGATCAACTCTGTGAGATAAATGAATATATCACAAAGAAGTTTCTGAGAATGATTCTGTCTAGTGTTTATGTGAAGATATTCCCGTTTCCAATGAAGGCCTCAAAGTGGTCCAAATATGCACTTGCAGACCCTAAAAAAAGAGTGATTCAAAACTGCTCTATCAAAAGAAAGGTTCAACTTTGTGAGTTGAATTTACACATCACAAAGAAGTTTCTGAGAATGCTGCTATCTACTTTTTATGTGAAGATATTCCCGTTTCCAAAGAAGGCCTCAAACAGTTTGAAATATCCACTTGCAGATTCTACTAAAAGATTGTTTCAAAACTGCTCTCATAAGGAATGTTCAACTCTGTGAGTTGAAAGCAAACATCACAAAGAAGTTTCTGAGAATGCTTCTGTCTAGTATTTATATGAAGATATTCCCATTTCCAATGAAGGCCCCAAAGCATTCCAAGTCTCCACTTGCAGATTCTACTAAAAGAGTGTTTCCAAATTGCTCTATGATAAGGTAGGTTCAACTCCGTGAGTTGAATGCAAACATCACAAAGAAGTTTCTGAGAATGCTTCTGTCTAGTTTTCATGTGAAGATATTTTCTTTTCCACCATAGGCCTTAAATCACTCCAAATGTCCAATTGCAGATTCTACAAAAAGAGTGTGTCAAACCTGCTCTATCAAAAAAAGGTTCAACTCTCTGAGTTTAATGCACACAGCATGAAGAAGTTTCTGAGAAAGCTTCTGCCTATTGATTATGTGAAGTTATTACCGTTTCCAAAGAAGGCCTCAAAGCGTTCCAAATATCTGCTTGCAGATTCTACTAAAAGAGTGCTTCAAACCTGCTCTATCAAAAGAAAGGTTGAGCTCCGTGAGTTGAATGCACACATCACAAAGAAGTTTCGGAGAATGCTTTGTCTAGATTTTATGTGAATATATTTCTTTTCCACCATAGGCTTCAAACCTCTCCAAATGTCCACATACAGATTCTACAAAAAGAGTGTTTCAAAACTGCTCTATCAAAAGAAAGGTTCAACTCTGTGGGTTGAATGCACACATCACAAAGAAGTTTCTGGGAATGCTTCTGTCTAGTTTTTATGTGAAGCTATTCCCGTATCCAACGAAGGCCTCAAGGCAGTCCACATATCCACTTGCAGATCCTGCAAAAAGAGTGTTTCAAAACTGCTCTATCAAAGGAAATGTTCAATTCTGTGAGTTGAATGTTCACATCACAAAGAAGTTTCTGAGAATGCTGCTGTCTAGTATTTATGTGAAAATATTCCCGTTTCCAACGAAGGCCTCTACACGTTCCAAATATCCACTTGCAGATTATCCTGAGAGTGTTTCAAAAATGCCCTATAACAAAGTATGTCCAACTCTGTGAGTTGAATGCAAACATCACAAAGAAGTTTCTGAGATTGCTTCTGTCTAGTTTTTATGGGAAGATATTTCCTTTTCCACCATAGGCCTCAAAGCTCTCCAAATGTCCACATGCAGATTCTGCGAAAATAGTGTTGCTAACCTGCTCTAACAAAAGAAAGGTTCAGCTCTGTGAGTTGAATGCACACATCGCAAAGAAGTTTCTGAGAATGCTTCTCTCCAGTATTTTGTGAAGATATTTCCTTTTCCACCATAGGCTTCAAAGCTCTCCAAATATCCACTTGTGGATTCTACAACAAGAGTGTTTCAAATCTGCTCTATCAAAAGAAAAGTTCAACTCTGTGAGTTGAATGCGCACATCACAAAGATGTTTCTGAGAATGATTATGTCTAGTGTTCATGTGAAGATATTCCCGTTTCCAATGAAGTCCTCAAAGCTGTCTAAATATCCACTTGCAGATTCTACAAAAAGAGTATTTCAAAACTGCTCTATCAAAAGAAAGGTTCAACTCTGTGGTTGAATGTACTCATGACAAACAAGTTTCTGAGAATTCTGTTGTCTAATTTTTATGTGGATATATTAACGTTTCCAAGAAGGCCTCAAAGCTTTCCAATTATCCTCTTGCAGATTCTACTAAAAGACTGTATGAAAACTGCTCTATGATAAGGTATGTTCAGCTCTGTGAGTTGAAAGCATACTTCCCAGAGAAGTTTCTGAGAATGCTTCTTTCTAGTGTTAGTGTGAAAATAATCCCGTTTCCAACAAAGGCCACAAAGCTGTCCAAATATCCACTTGCAGATACTACAAAAATAGTGTTTCAAATCTGCTCTATCATATGATATGTTCAGCTCTGTGAGTTGAAGGCAAACATCACAAAGAAGTTTTTGAGAACTCTTCTGTCTCGTTTTTATATAAAGATATTTCCTTTTGCACCATAGACCTCAAAGCTTTCCAAATGTCCACTTGCAGATTCTACAAAAAGAGTGTTTCAAACTGCTCTATCAAAAGAAAGTTTCACCTCTGTGGTTGAATGAACACATCACAAAGAAGTTTCTCAGAATGCTGCTGTTTAGTTTTTATATGAAGATATTCCCATTTCCAATGAAGGCCTTAAAGCGTTCGAAATATCCACTTTCAGATTCTACTAAAAGAGTGTTTCAAAACTGCTCTATGATAAGGTATGTTCAACTCTGTGAGATGAATGCACACATCACAAAGGATTTTCTGACAATCCTTCTGTGCAGTGTTTATGTGAAGATACTCCCGTTTCCAAAGAAGGCCTCAAAGCAGTTTAAATATCCACTTGAGATTCTACGAAAAGAGCGTTACAAAACTTCTCTATGAAAACGAAGGTTCAACTCTTTGAATTGAATGCAAACATCACCTAGAAGTTTCTGAGAATGATTCTGTCTAGTTTTTATGGGACGATATTTCCTTTTCCACCTTAGGCCTCAAAGCGCTCCAAATATCCACTTGCGGACTCTACAAAAGGAGTGTTTCAAACCTCCACTATCAAAAGAAAGGTGCAACTCTGTGGGTTGAATGCACACAGCACAAAGAAGTTTCTGAGAAAGCTTCTGTCTAGTGATTATGTGAAGATATTCCCGTTTCCAATGATTGCCTCAAAGCGGTCAAAATATCCACTTGCAGATTCTTCTAAAAGAGTGTTTCAAAACTGCTCTATGAAAAAGTACGTTCAACTCTGTGAGGTGAATGCAAACATCACAAAGAAGTTTCTGAGAATGCTTCTGTCTAGTTTTTATATGAAGATATTTCCTTTTCCACCATAGGCTTCAAAGCACTGCAAATGTCCACTTGCAGATTCTACAAAAACAGTGCTTCAAACCTGCTCTATCAAAAGAAAGGTCCAACTCTGTGGGTTTAATGCACACATCACAAAGAAGTTTCTCAGAATGTTTCTCTCTCGTGTTTATGTGAAGATATTTCTGTTTCCTACGAAGGCCTCAAAGCTCTCCAAATATCCACTTGCAGATTCTACGAAATGTGTGTTTCAAATCTGCTCTGTGAAAAGGAAGGTGAACTCTTTGAGTTGAATGCAAACATCACAAAGAAGTTTCTGAGAATGCTTCTGTCTAGTTTTTATGTTAAGAAATTTCATTTCCCAACATAGGCCTCAGAGCGCTCCAAATGTACACTTGCAGATTCTACAAAATAAGTGTTTCAAACCTGCTCTATCAAAAGAAAGCTTCAACTCTGTGCGTTTAATGCACACATCAAAAAGAAGTTTCTGAGAATGCTTCTGCCTGTTTTTATGTGAAGAAATTCCCATTTACAAAGAAGGCCTCAAAGCCTTCCAATTATCCAATTGCAGATACTACTAAAAGAGTGTTTCAAAACTGCTCTATGTTAAGGTATGGTCAACTCTGTGAGTTGAATGCACACATCAAAAAGCAGTTTCTGAGAATGCTTCTGTCTAGTGTTTATGTGATGATACTCCCGTTTCCAACGATGGCCTCAAAGTTGTCCAAATATCCCCTTGCAGATTCCTCTATAAGAGTGCTTCAAAACTACTCTATGATAAGGTATGTTCAAATCTGTGAGTTGAATGCACACATCACAAAGTAGTTCCTGAGAATGCTTCTGTCTAGTATTTACCTGAAGCTATTCCCTTTTCCAATGAAGGCCTCAAAGAGGTCCAAATTTCCACTTGCAGATTCTACTAAAACAGTATTTCAAAACTGCTCTATGATAAAGTCTGTTCAACTCCGTGAGTTGAATGTACACATCACAAAGCAGTTTCTCAGAATGTTTCTGTCTAATTTTTATGTTAAAGTATTTTCTTTTCAACTTTAGGCCTCAAAGCGATCAAAATGTCCACTTGTAGTTTCTGCAAAAGAGTGTTTCAAACCTTCTCTATCAAAATAAAGGTTAAACTCTGTGAGTTTAATGCACACATCACAAAGAAGTTTCCGAGAATGCTTTGGTCTAGTTTTTATGTGAAGATACTCGCCTTTCCAACAAAGGCCTGAAAGCGGTTCAATTACCCACATGCAGACACTACTAAAAGAGTGTTTCAAAACTGCTCTGTGATAAAGTTTGTTCAACTCTGAGAGTTGAATGCAAACGTCACAAAGAAGTTTCTGAGAATGCTTCTATGTAGTTTTTATGAGAAGATATTTCATTTTCCACCATTGGAATAGAAGCGCTCCAAATGTCCACTGCAGATCCTGCAAAAAGTGTGTTTCAAACCTGCTCTATGAAAAGGAAGGTTCAACTCGGTGAGTTAAGTGCACACATCACAAAGAAGTTTCTGAGAATGTTTCTGTCTAGTTTTTGTGTGAAGATATTCCCTTTTCCACCATACGCCTCAAAGCTCTCCAAACGCACACATGCAGATTCTGCAAAAAGAGTGTTTCAAACGTGCTTTCTCAAAATGAAAGTTCAAGTCTGTGATTGAATGCACACATCACAAAGCAGTTTCGGAGAATGCTGCTGTCTAGTTTTAATGTGAAGGTATTCCTGTTTCTAACGAAGGCCTCAAATCGGTCCAAATATCCACTTGCAGATTCTACAAAAAGAGTGTTTCAAAACTGCTCTATGATAAGGAATGTTCAACACTGTGAGTTGAATGCAAGCATCACAAAGAAGTTTCATAGAATGCTTCTGTTTAGTTTTTATGAGAAGATATTTAATTTTCCACTATAGGCCTCAAAGCACCCCAAGTGTCCATTGCAGATTCTGCAAAAAGAGTGTTTCAAACATGCTCTATCAAAAGAAAGTTTCAACTCTTTGAGTTGAATGCACACATCACAAAGAAGTTTCTGAGAATGCTTCTATCTAGTGTTTATGTGAAGATATTCCCGTTTCCAACGAAGGCCTCAAAGTGGTTCAAATATCCACTTGCAGATTCTACAAAAAGAGTGTTTCAAACCTGCTTTATTAAAGGAAAGCTTCAACTCTGTGAGTTGAATGGACACATCACAAAGAAGTTTCTGAGAATGCTTCTATCTAGTGTTTATTTGCAGATATTCCCGTTTCCAATGAAGGATTCAAAGCGTTCCAAATATCCACTTGCAGATTCTGCAAAAAGAGTGCTTCAAAACTGCTCTATGAAGAGGTATGTACAACCCTGTGATTTGAAAGCAAACATCACAAAGTAGTTCCTTAGAATTCTTCTGTCTGGTTTTTATATAATGATACTTCCTTTCCCACCATAGGCCTCAAAGCTCGCTTTATGTCCACTTGAAGCTTCTACAAAAAGAGGGTTTCAAACCTGCTGTATGAAAAGAAAGGTTCAACTCTGTGAGTTGAATGCACACATCATAAAGAAGGTCCTGAGAATGCTTCTGTCTAGTGTTTATGTGAAGATAATCCCGTTTCCAATGAAGGCCTCAAAGCAGTGCAAATATCCACTTGCAGATTCTACTAAAAGAGTGTTTCAAAAGTGCTCTATGATAAGGTATGTTCAAATCTGTGAAATGAATGCACACATCATAAGAAATTTCTGAGAATGCTTCTGTCTAGTTTTTATAGGAAGATATTTCCTTTTCCACCATAGGCCTCAAAGCGCTCCAAATGTCCACTTGCAGATTCTACTAAAAGAGTGTTTCAAACCTGCTCTATGAAAAGAAAGGTTCAAATCTGTGAGTTGAATGCACACAGTACAAAAAAGTTTTTGAGAAAGCTTCTGTCTAGTGATTATGTGAAGATATTCCCGTTTCCAATGAAGGCCTCAAAGCAGTGCAAATATCCACTTGCAGATTCTACTAAAAGAGTGTTTCAAAAGTGCTCTATGAAAAAGTGTGTTCAACTCTATGAGTTGAATGCAAACATCACAATGTAGTTCCTTAGAATTCTTCTGTCTGGTTTTCATTTAAAGATATTTCCTTTTCCACCATAGGCCTCATAGCTCTAAAAATGTCCAGTGCCGATTATACAAAAAGAGTGTTTCAAACCTGCTCTATCAAAAGAATGATTCAACTCTGTGACTTGAACGCACACATCACAAAGAAGTTTCAGAGAGTGCTTTTGTCTAGTGTTTATGTGAAGATATTCCCGTTTCCAACGAAGGCCTCGAAGTGGTCCAAATATACATTTCCAGATTCTACAAAAAGAGTGTTTCAAAACTGCTCTATCAAAAGAAAGGTTCAACTCTGTGAGTAGAATGCACGCATTACAAAGAAGTTTCTGAGAATGCTTCTCTCTAGTTTTTATGTGAAGATATTTACTTTTCCACCATAGGCCTCAATGCTCTCCAAATGTCCATTGCAGATTCTACAAAAAGAGTGTTTCAAACATGCTCTATCAAAAGAAAGTTTCAACTCTTTGAGTTGAATGCACACATCACAAAGAAGTTTCTGAGAATGCTTCTGCCTGTTTTTATGTAAACATATTCCCGTTTCCAACAAAGGCCTCAAGCATTCCAAATATCCACTTGCATATTCTACGAAAAGAGTGTTTCAAAACTCCTCTATGAAAAGGTATCTTCAACTCTGTGAGTTGAATGCAAACATTGCAAAGAATTTTCTGAGAATTCTTTTGTCTAATATTTATATGAAGGTATAACCTTTTCCACCATAGGCCTCAAAGCTCTCCAAATGTCAACTTGCAGATTGTACAAAAAGGGTGTTTCAAAGCTGCTCTATCAAAAGAAAGGTTCAACTCTTTGAGTTTAATGCATGCATGACAAAGAAGTTTTTGAGAATGCTTCTGTCTAGTGTTTATGTGAAGATATTCCCGTTTCCAACGAAGGCCTCATTGTGGTCCAAATATCCACTTGCAGATTCTATAAAAAGAGTGCCTCAAAACTGCTCCATGGAAAGGTATCTTTAACTCTGTGAGTTGAATGCAAACATCACAAAGACGTTTCTGAGAATGATTCTGTCTAGTTTTTGTGTGAAGATATTTCCTTTTCCACCATAAGCCTCAAAGCTCTCCAAATGTCCACTTGCAGATTCTACAAAAAGAGTGTTTCATACCTGCTCTATGAAAAGAGAGGTTCAACTCTGTGAGTTGAATGCACACATCACAAAGAAGTTTCTGAGAACGCTTCTCTCTAGTTTTTATGTGAAGATACTTCCTTTTCCACCACAGGCGTCAAAGCTCTCCAAATGTCCATTTCAGATTCTACAAAATGAATGTTTCAAACCTGCTCTATCAAAAGAAAGGTTCAACTCTGTGAGTTGAACGCACACACCACAAATAAGTTTATGAGAATGCTTCTGTCTAGTTTTTATGTGACGATATATCCTTTTCCACCATAGGCCTCAAAGAGCTCCAAATGTCCACTTGCAGGTCCTGCAAAAAGAGTGTTTCAACCCTGCTCTATGAAAAGAAAGGTTCAACTCTGTGAGTAGAATGCACACATCACAAATTAGTTTCTGAGAATGCTTCTGTCTAGTTTTTATGTGAAGATATTCCCGTTTACAACGAAGGCCTCAAAGCGGTCCAAATATCCACTTGCAGATTCTATGAAAAGAGTGTTTCAAAACAGCTCTATGACAAGGGAGGTTCAGCTCTGTGAGTTGAATGCAAACATCACAAAGAAGTTTCTGACAATGCTTCTGTCTAGTTTTTATTTATAGATATTTCCTTTTCCACCATAGGCCTCAAAGCTCTCCAAATGTCTGCTTCCAAATTCTACCAAAAAAGTGTTTCAAACCTGCTATATCAAAAGACAGGTTCAATTCTGTGAGTGGAATGCACACATCACAAAGAAGTTTCTGAGAATGATTCTGCCTACTGTTTATGTGAAGATTTCCCCTTTTCCAGCAAAGGCCTCAAAGCAGTCCAAATTTCCACTTGCAGATTCTAGAAAAAGTGTTTACAAACTGCTCCATGAAAAAGTATGTTCGAATCTGTGAGTTGAATAAAAACATCACAAAGAAGTTTCTGAGAATGTTTCTGTCTAATTTTTGTGTGAAGATATTTCTTTTTCCACCATAGGCCTCAAAGCTCTCCAAATGTACACTTGCAGATTCTACAAAAAGAGTATTTCAAAACTGCTGTATCAAAAGAAATGTTCAACTCTTTGTGTTGAATGAACACCTCACAATGTTGTTTCTGAGAATGCTTCTGTCTAGTTTTTATGAGAAGATAATTCCTTTTCCACCATAGGCCTCAAATCTCTCCAAATGTCCACTTGCAGATTCTACAAAAAGAGTGTTTCAAACCTGCTCTATTAAAAGAAAGGTTCAAATCTTTATTTTGAATACACACATCACAAAGAAGTTTCTGAGAATGTATCTGTCTAGTTTTTATGTGAAGATATTCCCGTTTCCAATGAAGGCCTCAAAGCGGTCCAAATATCCACTTGCAGATTCTACTAAAAGAGTGCTTCGAAACTGTTCTATGATAAAGTATGTTCAACTCAGTAAGTTGAATGCACACATCACAAAGAAGTTTCTGAGAATGCTTCTGTCTAGTTTTTATATGAAGATATTCGCTTTTAAAATGAAGGCCTCAAAGGAGTCCAAATATCCACTTGTAGAGTCTACAAAATGAGTGTTTCAAAACTGCTCTATGAAAACGGATTTTCAACTCTGTGAGTTGAATGCAAACATCACAAAGATGTTTCTGAGAATGGTTCTGTCTAGTTTTTATGTGACGATATTTCCTATTCCACCAGAGGCCTCAAAGCGTTCCAATTGTCGAGTTGCAGATTCTACAAAAAGAGTGTTTCATATCTGCTCTATGAAATAAAGTTAACTCTGTGAGTTGAATGCACACATCACAAAGAAGTTTCTGAGAATGCTTCTATCTAGTGTTTATTTGCAGATATTCCCGTTTCCAATGAAGGCTTCAAAGCGTTCCAAATATCCACTTGCAGATTCTGCAAAAAGAGTGCTTCAAAACTGCTCTATGATAAAGTATGTTCAAATCTGTGAGTTGAATGCAAACCTCACAAACTAGTTTCTGAGAATGCTTCTGTCTAGTTTTTATGTGAAGATATTCCCGTTTCCAATGAAGTCCTGAAATCTATTCAAATATCAACTTGCAGCTTATACATAAAGAGTGTTTCAAAACTGCTCCATTAAAAGTTATGTTCAACTCTGTGTGTTGAATGCAAACATCACAATGTAGTTTCTGAGAATGCTGCTGTCTACTTTTTATGTGATGATATTTCCTTTTGAACCATAGGCTTCAAAGCTCTCAAAATATCGAATTGCAGATCCTACAAAAAGAGTGTTTCAAACCTGCTCTATCAAAAGAAAGGTTAAACTCTGAGTTGAATGCACACATTACAAGGAGAGTCTGAGAATCCTTCTGTCTACTGTTTGTGTGGAGATATTCCCGTTTCCAACGAAAGCCTCAAAGCGGTCCAAATATCCACTTGCAGATTCTACAAAAAGAGTGTTTCAAAACTGCTCTAGGACAAGGTATGTTCAACTCTGTGTGTTGAATGCAACCACTGCAAAGAGTTTTCTGAGAATGCTTCTGTCTAGTTTTTATGTGAAGTTATTTCCTTTTCCACCATTGGCCTCCAAGCGCTGCAAATGTCCACTTGCAGATTCTACAAAAAGAGTGTTTCAAACCTACTCTATCAAAAGAAAGGTTCAACTCTCTGAGTTGAATGCACACATCACAAAGAAGTTTCTGAGAATGCTTCTGTCTAGTTTTTATGTAAAAATATTTCCATTTCCACAGTAGGCCTCAGTGTGTTCCAAATGTCCACTTGCAGATTATACAAAAACAGTGTCTCAAAACTGCTCTCTCAAAAAGAAGGTTCAACTCTGTGAATTGAATGCACACATCACAAAGAAGTTTCTGAGAATGCTTCTGTCTAGTGTTTATGTGAAGGTATTCCTGTTTCCACCGAAGGCCTCAAAGCATTCCAAATATCCAATTGCAGATTCTACAAAAAGTGTTTTTCAAAACTGTTCTGTCAAGAGAAATGGTGAACTCGGTGAGTTGAATGCACAAATCACAAAGAAGTTTCTGAGAATGCTTCTGTCTAGTTTTTGTGTGAAGATATTTCCTTTTCCAACATAGGCCTCAAAGCAGTCCAAATATCCACTTGCAGATAGTACAAAAATAGTGTTGCAAAACTGCTCTGTCTAAAGGAATGTTCAACTCTTGGAGTTGAATGCACACATCACAAAATAGTTTCTGTGAATGCTTCTATCTAGTTTCTATATGAACATATTTCCTTTTCTACCATAGGCCTCAAAGCGCTCCAAATATCCACCTGCAGATTCTACAAAAAGAGTGTTTCAAAACTGCTCTACCAAAAGGAAGTTTCAACTCTCTGAGTTTAATGCACACAGCACAAAGAAGTTTCTCTGAATATTTCTGTGTTGTTTTTATTTGAAGATATTTCCTTTTCCAACACAGAGTGCAAAGGGTTCCAAATATCCACTTGCAGTTTCTTCAAAAAGACAGATTATAAACTGCCCAATCAAAAGATAGGTTCATCTCTGTGAGTTGAATGCAACCATCACAAAGAAGTTTCTCTGAATGGTTCTGTGTAGTTTTATTTGAAGATAATTCCTTTTCCACTTGAGGGCACAAATAGCTCCAAATATCCACTTGTATATTCTACAAAACCAGAGATTCAAAACTGATCATTGAAAAGATAAGTTCATCTCAGTGATTTGAATGTACACATCACGCAGAAGTTTCTTAGAATGCTTCTGTGCAGTTTTTATTGAAGATATTTCCTTTTCCACCATAGGGTGCATAGGGTTCCAAATATCCTCTTGCAGATTCTAGAAAAAGAGAAACTCTAAACTGCTCAATCAACAGATAGGTTCAGCTCTGTAAGTTGAATTCCCACATCACAAAGAAGTTTCTCAGAATGCTTCTGAGTAGTTTCTATGTGAAGATGTTTCCTTTTCCACAATAGGCCTCAAAGTTCTCCAAATATCCACTTGCAGATTCTACAAAAACGGTGTTTCAAAACCGCTCAATAAAAAGAAAGTTTCAACTCTGTGAGATGAATGCACACATCACAAAGAAGTTTCTCAGAATGCTTCTGTGTTGTTTTTATGTGAAGATATTTCCTTACCACTATGGGCCTCAATGGGCTCCAAATATCCACTTCCATATTCTACAAAAAGAGTGTTTCAAAACTGTTCAATCGTGAGACAAATTCATTCCTGTGAGATGAATTCACACGTCACGAAGTAGTTTCTCAGAATGCTTCTGTGTAATTTTTATGTGAGGATATTTGCTTTTCCACAGTAGGCCTTAAAGGGCTCCAAATATCCACCTGCAGATTCTGCAAAAAGAGAGGTTCAAAACTGCTCAATAAAAAGATACGTTCAACTCTGTGAGTTGAATGCATACATCACAAAGAAGTTTGTTTGAATGCTTCTTTGTAGTTTTTATTTCAAGATATTTCCTTTTCCACCATAGGGCTCAAAGGGCTCCAAATATCCACTTGCAGATTCTACAAAAAGAGAGATTCAAAACTGCTCAATGAGAAGATAAGATCAACTCTGTGAGTTGAGTGCACGCCTCACAAAGAAATTTCTCAGAATGCTTCTGTGTAGCTTTTATGTGAAGATATTTCCTTTTCCACAACAGGCCTCAAAGCTCTCTAAACATCCACTTACAGATTCTGGAAAAAGAGAGATTCAAAACTGCGCCATCAAAAGATAGGTTCACCTCTGTAAGTTGAATGCACACGTCACAAAGAAGTTTCTCAGAATGCTTCTGTTAAGTTTTTCTGTGAACATATTTGATTTTCCACAGCAGGCCTCACAACGCTCCAAATATGCACTTGCAGATTGTGCAAAAAGAGAGATTCAAAACTGTTCAATCAAAAGATAGGTTCAACTCTGTGAGTTGAATGCATATATCACGAAGAAGTTTCTGAGAATGCTTCTGTGTAGTTTTTATTTGAAGTTATTTCCTTTTCCACAGTAGGCCTCGAAGGTCTCCAAATATCCACCTGCCGATTCTGCATAAAGAGAGATTCAAAACTGCTCAAACAAGAGATAAGTTCACCTCTGTGAGTTGAATGCATACATCACAAAGCAGTTTCTCTGAATGCTTCTATGTAGTTTTTATTTGAAGATATTTCCTTTTCCACCATAGGGCGCAAAGGGCTCCAAATGTGCACTTGCAGATTCTACAAAAAGAGAGATTCAAAACTGCGCAATGACAAGATATGTTCAACACTGTGGGTGGAATGCACACCTCACAAAATTTTCTCAGAATGTTTCTGTGTAGTTTTTATGTGAAGATATTTCCTTTTCCACATAAGGCTTCAAAGCTCACAAAACGTCCACTTGCAGATTCTACAGAGAGATTCAAAACTGCTCAATCAAAAGATAGGTTCAACTCTATGAGTTGACAGCACACATCACAAAGAAGTTTCTCAGAATCTTTATGTGTAGTTTTTATGTGAAGATATTTGATTTTGCACAGCAGGCCTCAAAAGGCTCCAAATATCCACTTGCAGATTCTGCAAAAAGAGGGATTCAAAACTGCTCAATCAAAAGATAGGTACAACCCTGTGAGTTGAATGCATACATCACAAAGAAGTTTCTCTGAATGGTTCTGGGTAGTTCTATTTGAAGATAATTCCTTTTCCACCATAGAGCGCAAAGGGCTCCAAATACCCACTTGCAGAATCTACAAAAACAGAGATTCAAAACTGCACATTGAGAAGATAAGTTCAACTCAGTGAGTTGAATGTGCACATCATGAGGAAGTTACTTAGAATGCTTCTGTGTAGTTTTTATTGAAGATATTTCCTTTTCCACCATAGGGTGCAAAGGGATCCAAATATCCACTTGCAGATTCTAGAAAAAGAGAGACTCTAAACTGCTCAATCAAAAGATAGGTTCAACTCTGTGAGTTGAATCCCCACATCACAAAGAAGTTTCTCAGAATGTTTCCGAGTAGTTTTTATGTGAAGATGTTTCCTTTTCCACAATAGTCCACAAAGTTCTCCAAATATCCACTCGCAGATTCTACAAAAACGGTGTTTCAAAACTGCACAATGAAAAGAAAGGTTCAACTCAGTGAGATGAATGCACACATCACAAAGAAGTTTCTCAGAATCCTTCTGTGTTGTTTTTATGTGAAGATATTTCCTTTCCACTATAGGCCTCAATGGGCTCCAAATATCCACTTCCATATTCTACAAAAATAGTGTTTCAAAACTGCTAAATCATGAGATAGATTCAACCCTGTGAGATGAATGCACACGCCACTAAGTAGTTTCTCAGAATGCTTCTGTGTAATTTTTATGTGAACATATTTGCTTTTCCACAGTAGGCCTCAAAGGGCTCCAAATATCCACCTGCAGATTTTGCAAAAAGAGAGATTCAAAACTGCACAATCAAAAGATACGTTCAACTCTGTGAGTTGAATGCATACATCACAAAGAAGTTTGAATGCTTCTTTGTAGTTTTTATTTCAAGATATTTCCTTTTGCACCACAGGGCTGAAAGGGCTCCAAATATCCACTTGCAGATTCTACAAAAAGAGAGATTCAAAACTGCTCAATGACAAGATAAGATCAATTCTGTGAGTTGAAAGCACAGCTCACAAAGAAGTTTCTCAGAATGTTTCTGTGTAGTTTTTATGTGAAGATATTTCCTTTTCCACAATAGGCCTCCAAGCTCTCCAAACATCCACATACAGATTCTGCAAAAAGAGAGATTCAAAACTGCTCAATCAAAAATTATGTTCAACTCTGTGACTTGAATGTACACATCACAAAGAAGTTTCTCTGAATCTTTCTGTGTAGTTTTTATGTGAACATATTTGATTTTCCACAGTAAGCCTCAAAGGGCTCCAAATATCCACCTGCAGATTCTGCCAAAAGAGGGATTCAAAACTGCTCAATAAAAAGATAGGATCAGCTCTGTGAGTTGAATGCATACATCACTAAGAAGTTTCTCTGAATGGTTCTGTGTAGTTTTATTTGCAGATATTTCCTTTTCCACAATAGGGTGAAAGGGCTCCAAACATCCACTTCCAGATTCTACAAAACATGAGAAGATAAATTCAACTCAGTCAGTTGAATGCACACATCACGAAGAAGTTTCTTAGAATGCTTCTGTGTAGTTTTTATTGAGGATATTTCCTTTTCAACCATAGGGTGCAAAGGGCTCCAACTATCCACTTGCAGATTCTACAACAAGGGAGACTCTAAATTGCTCAATCAAAAGACAGGTTCAACTCTGTGAGTTGAATGCCCACATCACAAAGAAGTTTCTCAGAGTGCTTCTGAGTAGTTTTTATGTGGAGATATTTCCTTTACCACAATAGGCCTCAAAGTTCTCCAAATATCCACTTGCAGATTCTACAAAAAGAGTGTTTCAAAACTGCTCAATCAAAAGAAAGGTTCAACTCTGTGAGATGAATGCACACATCACAAAGAAGTTTCTCAGAATGCTTCTGTGTAGTTTTTATGTGAAGCTATTTCCTTTTCCACAATAGGCCTCAAAGCTCTCCCAACATCCACTTGCAGATTCTGCAAAAAGAGAGATTCAAAACTGCTCAATTGAAAGACAGGTTCAACTCTGTGAGTTGAATGCACACATCACAAAGAAGTTTCTCGGAATGCTTCTCTGTAGTTTTTATGTGGACATATTTGATTTTCCACAGTAGGCCTCACAGCGCTCCAAATATCCACTTGCAGATTCTGCAAAAAGAGAGATTCAAAACTGTTCAATCAAAAGATAGGTTCAACTCTGTGAGTTGAACACATACATCACAAAGAAGTTTCTGAGAATGCTTCTGTGTAGTTTTTATTTGAAGATATTTCCTTTTCCACCATAGGCCGCAGAAGGCTCCAAATATCCACTTGCAGATTCAACTAAAAGAGTGTTTCAAAACTGCTCAATCAAAAGAAAGTTTCAACTCTGTGAGATGAATACACACATCACAAAAAGTTTCCCAGAATGCTTCTGTGTAGTTCTTATTTGACGGTATTTTGTTTTCCACTGTAGGCGTCAAAGCGCTCCAAATATCCACTTGCAGATCCTACAAAAAGAGTGTTTCAAAACTGCTCAATCATAAGCTAGGTTCAACCCTGTGAGATGAATGCACACATCATGAAGAAGTTTCTCAGAATGCTTCTGTGTAGTTTTTATGTGAAGATATTTGTTTTTCCACAGTAGGCCTCAAAGGGTTCCAAATATCCACGTGAAGATTCTGCCAAAAGAGAGATTCAAAACTGCTGATTCAAAAGATAGGTTCAACTCTGTGAGTTGAATGCATACATCACAAAGCAGTTTCTCTGAATGCTTTTGTGTAGTTTTTATCTGGAGATATTTCCTTTTCCACCATAGAGCGCAAAGGTCTCCAAATACGCACTTGGAGATTCTACCAAAAGATAAATTCAAAACTGCTCAATGAGAAGATAAGTTCAACTCTGTGAGTTGAATGCACACCTCACAAATAAGTTTCTGAGAATGCTTCTGTCTAGTTTTTATGTGAAGATAGTTGCTTTTCCACTGTTGGCCTCAAAGGGCTCGAAATATCCACCTTCAGATTGTGCAAAAGAGAGATTCAAAACTGCTCCATCAAAAGATAGGTTCAACTCTGTGAGTTGAATACACACATCACAAAGAAGTTTCTCCGAATGCTTCTGTGTAGTTTTTATTTCAAGATATTTCCTTTTCCACCATAGGGCACAAAGGTCTTCAAATATCCACTTGCAGATCCTACACAAAGAGAGATTGAAAACTCCTCAAAGAGAAGATAATTTCAACTCCGTGAGTTGAATGCACACCTCACAAAGTAGTTTCTCAGAATGCTTCTGTGTAGTTTTTATGTGAAGATATTTCCTTTTCCACAATAGGCCTAAAAGCTTTCCAAACATACACCTGTAGTTTCTGCAAAAAGATAGATTTAAAACTGCTCAATCAAAACGTAGTTTCAACTCTGTGAGTTGAATGCAAACATCACAATGGTATTTCTCAGAATGCTTCTGAGTAGTCTTTATGTGAAGGTATTTCCTTTTCCACAATAGGCCTCAAAGGGCTCCAAATATCCACTTGCAGATTCCACGAAGAGAGTGTTTCAAAACTGCTCAATCAAAAGAAAGTTTCAACTCTGTGAGATGAATGCACACATCACAAAGAAGTTTCTCAGATTGCTTCCTTCTAGATTTTATGTAAAGATATTTCCTTTTCTATCATAAGCCACAAAGCGCTCCAAATGTCCACTTGCGGATTCTACAAAAACGGTTTCCAAACTACGCAATCAAAAGAAAGGTTCAACTCTGTTAGATGACCGTACACATCATAAAAAAGATTATCAGAATTCTTCTATCTGTTTTTTTGTGAAGATATTTCCTTTTACAACTTAAGCCTGAAGGTGCTTGAAATGTCCCCTTGCAGATTAGCCAAAAAGAGTATTTGAAAACTGGTTCTTCTAAAGAAAGATGGAACTCCAGGAAATGAATGCAGACATCACAGAGAACTTTCTCAGAATGCTTCTATCTACTTTTTATGTGAAGACATTCCCTTCTCCACCACAGTCCTCAAAGTGCTGCCAAATGTCCACTTGCAGGTTCTACAAAAAGAGAGTTTCCAATCTGCTCAATCAAAAGAAAGGTTTAACCCCGTGAGATTAATGCACGCATCACAAAGGAGTTTCTCAGATTGCTTCTGTCTAGATTTTGTGTGAAGATATTTCCTTTTCTACCATTGGCCACAAAGAGATCCAAATGTCCACTTGCAGATTCTACAAAACGAGTGTTTCCAAACTACTCAAAAAGAAACGTTCAACTCTGTGAGATGAATGCACTCATCACAAAGAAGTTTCACAGAATTCTTCTGTCTAACTTTTATGTGAAGATATTTCCTGTTCCACCATAGGCCTCATGACGCTCTAAATGTCCGCTTGCAGATTCTACAAAAAGAGAGTTTCAAAACTGCTCAATCAAAAGAAAGGGTTATCTCTGTGAGATGAATGCATATATCACAAACAAGTTTCTCATATTGCTTCTGTCTAGATTTTATGTGGAGATATTTACTTTTCTACCATAGACCACAAAGTGCTCCAAATGTCCACTTGCAGATTCTACAAGAAAGAGTGGTACCAAACTGCTCAATCAAAAGAATGGTTCCACTCTGTGAGAAGAATGCACACATCACAAAGAAGTTTGTCAGAATTCTTCTGTCTAGTTTTTATGTGAAGATATTTCCTTTTCCACCATAGGCCTCAAAGCATTCCAAATATCCACTTGTAGATTCTACAAAAAGAGAGTTTCAAAACTGCTGAATCAAAAGAAAGTTTAAACTCTGTGAGATGAATGTACCCATCACTAAGAAGTTTCTCTGATTGCTTCTCTCTAGATTTTATGTGAAGATATTTCTTTTTCAACCATAGGCCGCAAAGCGCTGCAAATGTCCACTTGCAGATTCTACAAAAAGAGTATTTCCAAACTGCTCAACCAAAAGAAAATTTCAGCTTTGTGAGATGTACATACACATGACAAAGAAGTTTATCAGAATTCTTCTGTCTAGTTTTCATGTGAAGATATTTCCTTTTCCACCATAGGCCTCTAAGCACTCCAAATGTCCACTTCGAGATTCTACAAAAAAAGTGTTTCCAAACTGCTCAATCAAAAGAAAGTTCAACTCTGTGAGATGAATGCCCACATCACAAAGAAGTTTCTCAGATGGCTTCTGTCTAGATTTTATGTGAAAATATTTCCTTTTCTACCATACGCCGCAAAGTTCTCCAAATGTCCACTTGCAGATTCTACAGAAAGAGTGTTTCCAAACTGTTCAATCAAAAGATAGGTTCAAATCTGTGAGATGAATGCACACGTCCGAAAGAAGTTTATCAGAATTCTTCTGTCCAGTTTTTATGTGCAGATATTTCCTTTTCCACTGTTGGCCTCAAAGAGCTCCAAATATCCACTTGCAGATTCTACAAATAGAGAGCTTCAAGACTGCTCAATCAAAAGAAACGTTTAACTCCATGAGAGGAATGCACACATCACACAGAAGTTTCTCAGATTGCTTCTGTCTAGACTTTATGTGAAGATATTTTCTTTCCTACTATAGGCCGCAAAGTGCTGCGAATGTGCACTTTCAGATTCTACAAAAGAGTGTTTCCAACTGGCTGTATCAAAAGAAAGTTTCAACTATGGGAGATGAAAGCACGCATCACAAAGAAGTTTCTCAGAATTCTTCTATCTAGTTTTTATGTGAAGAGATTTCCTTTTCCACCACAGGCCTAAAAGGGCTCCAAATGTCCACTTGCAGATACTACAAAAAGAGAGTTTCAAAACTGTTCAATAAAAAGAAAGGTTTAACTCTGTGAGATGAATGCACACATCACAAAGAAGTTTGTCAGACTGCTTCTGTCTGGATTTTATGTGAATATATTTCGTTTTCTACCATTGGCTGCAAAGTGCTCCAAATGTCCACTTGCAGATTCTACAAAAACAGTGTTTCCAAATGGCTCAATCAAAACAAAGGTTCAACTCTGTGAGATGAACGCATGCATCACAAAGTGATTTCACAGTATTCTTCTGTCTAGTTTTTATGTGAAGATATGTCCTTTTCCACCAAGGGCCTGAAAGAGCTCCAAATGCCCAATTTCAGATTCAACAAAAACAGAGATTCAGAACTACTCATTCAAAGGAAAGTTTTAACTCTGTGAGATAAATGCACACATCAAAAAGAAATTTTTCAGATTGCTTCTGTCTAGATTTAATGTGAAGATATTTCCTTTTCCACCATAGACCTCAAAGCGCTCCAAATATCCACTTGCAGATTCTACAAAAAGGGTGTTTCAAAACTGCTCCAATCAAAAGGAAGTTCTAACGCTGTGAGATGAATGCACACATCACAAATAAGTTTCTCAGATTGCTTCTGTCTAGATTTTATATGAAGATATTTCGTTTTCTACCATATGCCACAAAGTTCTCCAAATGTCCACTTGCAGATTCTACAAAAAGAGTGTTTGCAAACTGCTCAATCAAAAGAAAGGTTCAACTCTGTGAGATGAATGCACACGTCCCAAAGAAGTTTCTCAGAATTCTTCTGTCTAGTTTTTATGTGAAAATATTTCCTTTTCCACCATAGGCCACATAGCGCTCCAAATATCCACTTGCAGATTCTACAAAAAGAGTGTTTCAAAACTGCTCCAATCAAAAGGAAGTTTTAATGCTGTGAGATGAATGCACACGTCACAAAGGAGTTTCTCAGATTGCTTCTGTCTAGATTTTATGTGAAGATATTACCTTTTCTACCACAGGCCTTAAGCGATAAAAATGTCCACATGCAGAGTCTAAAAAAGAATGTTTCCAAACTGCTCAATGAAAAGAAGACTTCAACTCTGTGAGATGAAAGCACACATCACAAAGAAGTTTCTCAGAATTCTTCTGTCTAGTTTTTATGTGAAGATAATTCCTTTTCCACCACAGGCCTCAAAGCGCTCCAAATGTCCACTTGCAGTTTCTACAAAAAGAGAGTTTGAAAACTGCTCAAACAGAAGAAAGTTTTAACCCTGTGAGATGAAAGGTCACATCACAAAGAAGTATCTCAGATTGCTTCTGTCTAGATTTTATGTGAAGACATTTCCTATTCTAACATAGGCTGCAAAGCGCTCTAAATATCCACTTGCAGATCCTTCAAAAACAGTATTTCCATACTGCTCAATGAAAAGAATGATTCAACACTGTATGATGAACGCAAGCATCACAAAGAAGTTTCTCAGAATTCTTCGGTCTGGTTTTTATGTGAAGATAATTGCCTTTTCCAACATAGGCTTCAAAGGCCTCCAAATGTCCACTTGCAGATTCTACAAAAAGAGAGTTTCAAAGCCGCTCAGTCAAAAAATGTTTAATTATGTGAGATAAATGCACATGTCACAAAGAAGTTTCTCAAATTGCTTCTTTCTAGATTTTATCTGAAGATATTTCCTTTTCCAGCATAGGCCTCAAAGTGCTCCAACTGTCCACTTGCAGATTCTACAAAAAGAGTGTTTCAAAACTGCTCAATCAAAAGAAAGGTTTACCTCTTTGAGATGAGTGCACACATAACAAAGGAGTTTCTCAGATTGCTTCTGTCTAGATTTTATGTGAAGATATTTCCTTTTCTACTATAGGCCACAAGGCATACAACATGTCCACTTGCAGATTCTAGAATTTTTCCAAACTGCTCAATCAAAAGAAAGGTTCAACTCTGTGAGATGAAAGGACACATCACAAAGAAGTTTCTCAGATTGCTTCTGTCTAGATTTTATATGAAGATATTTCTTTCTTCTAATATAGGCTACAAAGCGTTCCAAATGTCCACTTGCAGATTTTGCAAAAAGAGTGTTTCCAAACTGCTCAATCAAAAGAAAAGTTCAACTCTGTGAGATGAACGCACACATCACAAATACGTTTCTCAGAATTCTTCTGTCTTGTTATGTGAAGATATTTCCTTTTCCAACATAGGCCTCAAAGCCCTCCAAATGTCCACTTACAGATTTTACAAAACGTGAGTTTCAAAACTGCTCAATCAAAAGAAAGGTTTTACTGTGTGAGATGAATGCACACATCGTAAAGAAGTTTCTCAGATTGCTTCTTTCTAGATTTCATCTGAGGATATTTCCTTTTCCACCATGTGACTCAAAGTACTCCAAATGTCCACTTTCAGATTCTACAAAAAGAGAGTTTCGAAACTTCTCAATCAAAGGAAAGGGTTAACACTGTGAGATGAATGCACACATTTACAAAGAAGTTTCTCAGATTTCTTCTGTCTGGATTTAATGTGAAGATATTTCATTTTCTAAAATAGGCCACAAAGCGCTCCAAATGTCCACTTGCAGATTCTACAAAAAGAGCATTTCCAAAGTGTTCAATCAAAAGAAAGGTTCAACCCTGTTAGATGAATGCACACATGACAAGGCAGTTTCTCAGATTACTTCTGTCTAGATTTTATGTGAAGATATTCCTTTTTTCTACCATAGGCTGCAAAGAGTTCCAAATGTCCACTTGCAAATTCTAGAAAAAGAGTGTTTTCAAACTGCTACATCCAAACAAAAGTTCAACTCTGTGAGATGAATGCACACATCACAAAGACGTTTCTCAGAATTCTTCTGTCTAGTTTTTATATGAAGATATTTCCTTTTCCACCATAGGCCTCAAAGCGTTCCAAATGTTCACTTCCAGATTTAAAAGACAGAGTGTTTCCAAACCGGGTCAATCAAAAGAAAGGTTGAACTCTGTGAGATGAACACATGCATCAAAAAGAAGTTTCTCATAATGCTTCTGTCTAGTTTTTATGTGAAGATATTTCCTTTTCTACCATAGGCCACAAAGCGCTCCAAAGGTCCAATTGCAGATTCTACAAAAAGAGATTTTCAAAACTCCTCAACCAAAGAACATTTTAACTCTGTGAGGCGAATGCACACATCACAAAGAAGTTTCTCAGATTACTTCTGTCTAGATTTTATGTGAAGATATTTCCTTTTCTACCACAGGCCGCAAAGCTCTCCAAATGTCCACTTGCAGATTCAAGAAAAAGACTGTTTCCAAACTGCTCAAACAAAAGAAATTGTCAACTCTGTGAGATGAACGCATGCATCACAAAGAGGTTTCTCAGAATTCCTCTGTCTAGGTTTTATGTGAAGACATTTCCTTTTCCACCACAGACCTCAAGACACTGAAAATGTCCACTTGCAGATTCTACAAAGAGCTTATTTCAAAACTGGTCCTTCAAAAGAAAGGGTCAACTCGGGGAGATGAATGCACACATCACAAAGAAGTTTCTCAGAATACTTCTATTTAGGTTTTATGTGAAGATATTTCCGTTTATACCATAGGCCTCAAAGCTCGACAAATGTCCACTTACAGATTCTACAAAAGGACATTTTGAAAACTGCTCAATCAAAAGAAAAGTTTAACTCTGTAAGATGAAAGCACACATCACAAAGAAGTTTCTCAGAATTCTTCTGTTTAGTTTTTATGTGAAGATATTTTGTATTCAACGATAGGCCTCAAAGTGCTCCAAATGTCCGCTGGTAGATTTTAGAAAAAGAGTTTCCAAACTCCTCAATCAAAAGAAAGGTTCAACTCTGTGAGATGAATGCACACATCACAAAGAAGTTTCTAAGATTGCTTCTGTCTAGATTTTAGGTGAGGATATTTCCTTTTCTACCATAGGCTGCAAAGAGCTTCAAATGTCCACTTGCAGATACTACAAAAATAGTTTCCAAACAGCTCAAACAAATGAAAGTATCAACTCTGTGAGATGAACCCACACATCACAACTGCTTTCTCAGAATTCTTCTGTCTAGTTTTTTTTGTGAAGATAGTTCCTTTTCCACCATTGGCCTCAAAGCTCTCCAAATGTCCACTTGCAGATTCTACTAAAAGAGAATTTCAAAACTGCTAAATCAAAAGAAAGTTTTAACTCTGTGAGAAGAATGCACACATCACAAAGTCGTTTCTCAGATTGCTTCTGTCTAGATTTTATGTGAAGATACTACCTTCTCTACAATAGTCCCCAAAGCGCTCCAAATGTCCACATTCAGATTCTACTAAAAGTGTTTTTGCAACTGCTTTATAAAAATAAGGATTCAACTGTGTGAGATGAAGGCACACATCACAAAGGAGTTTCTCAGAATTCTTCTGTCTAGTTTTTATGTGAAGATACTTCCTTTTCCACCATAGGCCTCAAGTCGCTCCAAATGTCCACTTCCAGATTCTACAAAAAGAGTGTTTCCAAACTGCTCAATCAAAAGAAAGGTTTAACTCTGTGTGATGAATGTACACATCACAAAGAAGTTTCTCAAATTGCTTCTTTCTAGATTTTATGTGAAGATATTTCCTTTTCTACCATACCCGCAAAGTGCTCCAAATATCCACTTGCAGATTCTACAAAAAGAGAGTTTCAAAACTGTTCAATAAAAGAAATCTTTAACTCTGTGAGATGAATGAACACATCATGAAGAACTTTCTCAGATTGCTTCTTTCTAGATTTTAAGTGAAGATATTTCCTTTTCTACCACAGCCCGCAAATCACTCCAAATGTCCACTTGTAGATTCTACAAACAGAGTGTTTCCAAACTGCAGAATCAAAAGAAAGTTTCATCTCTGTGAGATGAACGCACACATCACAAAGAAGTTTCTCAGTATTCTTCAGTCTAGTTTTTCTGTGAAGATATTTCCTTTTCCACCATATGCCTCAAAGCGCTCCAAATGTCCACTTGCAGATTATACAAAAAGACAGTTTCAAAACTGCTCAGTCAAAAGAATGTTTAACTCTGTGAGATGAATGCACACATCACAAAGAAATTTCTCAGATTCCTTCTGTCTAGATTTTATGTGAAGATATTTCCTTTTCTACCATAGGCCGCAAAGAGCTCCAAATGTCCACTTGCATAATCTACAAAAAGAGTTGTTTTCAAACTGGGCAATCAAAAGAAAGGTTCAACTCTGTGAGTTGAACACTCGCATCACAAAGAGGTTTCTAATAATTCTTCTGTCTAGTTTTTATGTGAAGATATTTCCTTTTCCACCATAGGTTGCAAAGCGCTCCAAATGTCCACTTGCAGATTCTACAGAAAGAGTGTTTCCAACAGCTCAATCAAAAGAAACGTTCAACTCTGTGAGATGAATGCACGCATCACAAAGAAGTTTCTCAGAATTATTCTGTCTAGTTTTTATGTGAAGATATTTCCTTTTCCACCATTGACCTCAAAGCACTGCAAATGTCTACTTGCAGATCCTATAAAAAGAGAGTTTCCAAACTGCTCAATCAAAAGAAAAGTTTAACTTTGTGAGATGAATGCACACAACACACAGAAGTTTCTGAGATTGCTTCTGTCTAGATTTTATATGAAGATATTTCCTGTTCTTCCATAGGCCACAAAGCCCTCCAAAGGTCCACTTGCAGATTCGACAAAAAGAGTGGTTGCAAACTGCTTAATCAAAAGGAAGGTTCAACTCTGTGAGATTAATGCACGCATAACAAAGAAGTTTCTCAGAATTCTTCTGTCTGGTTTTTATGGGAAGTTATTTCCTTTTCCACCATTGTACTCAAAGTGCTCCAAATGTCCACTTGCAGATTCTACAAAAAGAGAGTTTCAAGACTGCTCAATCAAAAGAAAGGTTTAACTCTGTCAGATGAATGCACACATCATAAAGAAGGTTTTCAGATTACTTCTGTCTACATCTTATGTGAAGATATTTCCTTTTCCACCATAGGCTGCAAAGAGCTCCAAATGTCCACTTAAAGATTCCTCAAAAAGAGTGTTTCCAAACTGCTCCATCAAAAGAAATGTTCAACTTCGTGAGCTGAACGCACACATCACAAAGAAGTTTGTCAGAATTCTTCTATCTAGTTTTTATGTGAAGATAATCCCTTTTCCACCATAGGCCTCAAAGCGTTCCAAATGTCCACTTTCAGATTCTACAAAAAGAGAGTTTCAAAACTGCTCAGTCAAAAGAAAGGTTTACTCTGTAAGATGAATGCACACGGCACAAAGAAGTTTGTCAGATTGCTTTTATCTAGATTTTATGTGAAGATATTTTCTTTTCTATCATAGGCCACAAAGCGCTCCAAATGTCCAGTTGCAAATTCTACAAAAAGAGTGTTTACAAACTGCTCAATCAAAAGTAAGGTTCAACTCTGTGATATGAACGCATACATCACAAAGTAGTTTCTCAGAATTCTGCTGTCTAGTTTGTATGTGAAGATATTTCCTTTTCCATCATAGGCCTCAAAGTGCTCCAAATGTCCACTTGCAGATTTTACAATAAGAGAGTTTCAAGACAACTCAATCAAAAGAAAGTTTTAACTCTGTGAGATGAATGCACACATCACAAAGAAGTTTCTCAGATTGATTCCATCTAGATTTTATGGGAATATATTTCTTTTCTAACATAGGCGGCAAAGCGCTCCAAATGTCCACTGGCAGATTCCACAAAAAGAGTGTTTCCAAACTGCTTAATCAAAAGAAAGGTTCAACTCTGTGAGATAAAAGCATGCATCACAAAGAAGCTTCTCCAAATTTTTCTGTGTAGTTTTGATATGAAAATATTTCCTTTTCCTCCACAGGCCTCAAAACGCTCCAAATGTTAACTTGCAGATTCTACAAAAAGAGAGATTCAAAACTGCTCAATCAAAATAAAGGCTTAACTCTGTGAGATGAATGCACACATCACAAAGAAGTTTCTAAGAATGCTTCTGTCTAGTTTTTATGTGAAGATATTTCCTTTTCCACCATTAGCCTCAAAGCGCTCCAAATGTCCACTTCCACATTCAACAAAAAGAGAGTTTCAAAACTGCTCAATCAAAAATAAGAGTTAACCCTGTGAGATGAATGCACACATCCCAAAGAAGTTTCTCAGTTTGCTTCTGTCTAGATTTTATGTGAAGATATTTCCTTTTCTAACTTAGGCTGCAAAACCCTTCAAAGTCCACGTACAGAATCTACAAAAAGAGTGCTTCCATAATTCTTAATCAAAAGAAAGGTTCAACTCTGTGAGATGAACGCACACATCACAAAGAAGTTTCTCAGAATTCTTCTCTCTAGTTTTTATGTGAAGATATTTCCTTTTCCACCATAGGCCTCAAAGCACTCCAAATGTCCACTTGCAGATTCTACAAAAAAAGAGTTTCAAAAGTGCTCAATCAAAAGAACGGTTTAACTCTGTGAGATGAATGCACACATCACAAAGAGGTTTCTCACATTGGTTCTGTCTAGATTTTATGTGAAGATATTTCCTTTTATAACGTAGGCCACAAAGCGCTCCTAATGTCCACTTGCAGATTCTACAAAAAGAGTGTCTGCAAACTGCTCAATCAAAAGAAGTTTCAACTCTATGAGAAGAACGCACACATCACAAAGAAGTTTCTCAGAATTCTTCTGTCTAGTTTTTATGTGAAGATATTTCTTTTCCCACTGTAGGCCTCAAAGCACTCAAAATGTCCACTTGCAGATTCTACAAAAAGACGGCTTCAAAACGACTCAACCAAAAGAAAGGTTTGACTCTGTGAGATGAATGCACACATCACAAAGAAGTTTCTGAGATTGCTTCTGTCTAGATTTTATGTGAAGATATTTCCTTTTCTACCATAGGCAACAAAGCACTCCAATAGTCTACTTGCAGATTCTACAAAAAGAATGTTTCTAAACTGCTCAATCAAAAGGAAGATTCAACTTTGTGAGATAAACGCATAAATCACAAAGGAGATTCTCAGAATTCTTCTGTCAAGTTTTTATGTGAAGATATTTCCTTTTCCATCATAGGCCTCAAAACGATCTAAATGTCCACTTGCAAATACTTCAAAAACAGAGTTTCAAAACTGCTCAGTCAAAAGAAAGTTTGAACTCTGTGAGATGAAAGCACACATCACAAAGAAGTTTCTCAGATTGCTTCTGTCTAGATTTTTTGTGAAGATATTACCTTTTCTACCATAGTCCCCATAGCGCTGCAAATGTCCACTTGCAGAATCTACAAAAAGGGTGTTTCAAAACTTCTCAATCAAAAGAAAGTTTCAACTCTTTGAGATGAAGGCACACATTACAAAGAAGATTCTAAGAATGCTTCTGTCTAGTTTTTATTGGAAGACATTTTCTTTTCCACGGTAGTGCTGAAAGCGCTCCAAATGTCCACTAGCAGATTATACGAAAAGAGTGTTTCAAGCCTGCTCTATCAAAAGAAAGGTTCAAATCTGTGAGTTGAATGCACACAGCACAAAGAAGTTTCTGAGAAAGCTTCTGTCTAGTGATTATGTGAAAATATTCCCGTTTCCAATGAAGGCTGGTAAGCAGTCCAAATATCCACTAGCAGATGCTACGAAAAGAGTGTTTCAAAACTGCTCTGTGATACAGTATGTCCAAATATGTGAGTTGAAAGCAAACATCACAAAGAAGTTTCTGAGAAATCTTCTGTCTAGTTTTTATGTGAAGATATTTCCTTCTCCACCATAGGCCTCAAGGCGTTCCAAATGTCCACTTGCAGATTCTACAAAAAGAGTGTTTCTAACCTGTTCTATCAAAAGAAAGGTTCAACTCTGTGAGTTGAATGCACACATCACATAGAAGTTTCTGAGAATGCTTCTGTCTAGTTTTCATGTGAAGATATTTCCTTTTCCACCATAAGCCTCAAAGTTCAGAAATGTCCACTTGCAGATTCTACAAAAAGAGTGTTTCAAAACTGCCCTATCAAAAGAAATGTACAACTCTGTGAGTTGAATGCACACATCAAAAAGAAGTTTCTGAGAATGTTTCTGTCTTGTTTTCATATGAAGATATTCCCGTTTCCAACGAATGCCTCAAAGCAGTCCAAATATCCACTAGCAGATTCTACAAAAAGAGCATTTCAAAACTGCTCTATGACAAATTATGTTCAACTCTGTGAGTAGTTGAATGCAAACATCACAAAGAAGTTTCTGAGAATGCTTCTGTCCAGTGTTTATCTGAAGATATTCCCGTTTCAAACGAAGACCTCAAAGCAGTACAAATATCCACTTGCAGATACTAAAAAAAGAGTGTTTCAAACCTGCTCTATCAAAAGAAAGGTTCAACTCTGTGAGTTGAAGGCACACATCACAAAGAAGTTTCTGAGAATGCTTCTGTCTAGTGTTTATGTGAAGATATTCCCGTTTCAAACGAAGGCCTCAAAGCAGTACAAATAACCACTTGCAGATACTACAAAAAGAGTGTTTCAAAACTGATCTATCAATAGAAAGTTTCAACTCTGTTAGTTGAATGTACACATCACAAAAAATTTCTTAGAATGCTACTGTCTAGTTTTTATGTGAAGATATTCCCGTTTCCATCGAAGGCCTCTAAGTGGTCCAAATATCTGCTTGCAGATTCTTCTAAAAGAGTTTTTCGGATGGAGGAGCCAAGATAGCCGAATAGGAACAGCTCCAGTCTACAGCTCCCACCATGAGCAATGCAGAAAATGGGTGACTTCTGCATTTCCATCTGAGGTACCGGGTTCATCTCACTAGGGAATGCCAGACAGTGGGCGCAGGTCAGTGGGTGCACTCACCATGTGCAAGCCGAAGCAGGGCGAGGCATTGCCTCATTTGGGAAGTGCAAGAGGTCAGGGAGTTCCCTTTCTGAGTCAAAGAAAGGGGTGACGGACGCACCTGGAAAATCGGGTCACTCCCACCCAAATATTGTGCTTTTTGGACCGGCTTAGAAAACGGCCCACCACGAGATTATATCCCGCACCTGGCTAGGAGGGTCCTATGCCCACAAAGTCTAGCTGATTGCTAGCACAGCAGTCTGAGATCAAACTGCAAAGTGGCAGTGAGGCTGGGGGAGGGGCGCCTGCTATTGCCCAGGCTTGATTAGGCAAACAAAGCAGCCAGGAAGCTCCAACTGGGTGGAGCCCACCACAGCTCAAGGAGGCCTGCCTGCCTCTGTAGGCTCCACCTCTGGGGGCAGGGCACAGACAAACAAAAAGACAGCAGTAACCTCTGCAGACTTAAATGTCCCTGTCTGACAGCTTTGAAGAGAGCAGTGGTTCTCCCAGAATGCAGCTGGAGATCTGAGAACGGGCAGACTGCCTCCTCAAGTGGGTCCTTGACCCCTGACCCCCGAGCAGCCTAACTGGAAGGCACCCCCCAGCAGGGGCACACTGACACCTCACACGGCAGGGTATTCCAACAGACTTGCAGCTGAGGGTCCTGTCTGGTAGAAGGAAAACTAACAAACAGAAAGGACATCCACACCAAAAACCCATCTGTACATCACCATCATCAAAGACCAAAAGTAGATAAAACCACAAAGATGGGGAAAAAACAGAACGGAAAAACTGGAAACTCTAAAACGCAGAGTGCCTCTCCTCCTCCAAAGGAACGCAGGTCCTCACCAGCAACGGAACAAAGCTGGATGGAGAATGACTTTGACGAGCTGAGAGAAGAAGGCTTCAGATGATCAAATTACTCTGAGCTACAGGAAGACATTCAAACCAAAGGCAAAGAAGTTGAAAATGTTGAAAAAAATTTAGAAGAATGTATAACTAGAATAACCAATACAGAGAAGTGCTTAAAGGAGATGATGGAGCTGAAAACCAAGGCTCAAGAACTACGTGAAGAATGTAGAAGCCTCAGGAGCTGATGCAATCAACTGGAAGAAAGTGTATCAGCAATGGAAGATGAAATGAATGAAATGAAGTGAGAAGGGAAGTTTAGAGAAAAAAGAATAAAAAGAAATGAGCAAAGCCTCCAAGAAATATGGGACTATGTGAAAAGACCAAATCTAAGTCTGATTGGTGTACCTGAAAGTGATGGGGAGAATGGAACCAAGTTGGAAAACACGCTGCAGGCTATTATCCAGGAGAACTTCCCCAATCTAGCAAGGCAGGCCAACATTCAGATTCAGGAAATACAGAGAACGCCACAAAGATACTCCTTGAGAACAGCAACTCCAAGGCAGATAATTGTCAGATTCACCAAAGTTGAAATGAAGGAAAAAATGTTAAGGGCAACCAGAGAGAAAGGTCGGGTTACCCTCAAAGGGAAGCCCATCAGACTAACAGCAGATCTTTGGCAGAAACCCTACAAGCCAGAAGAGAGTGGGGGTCAATATTCAACATTCTTAAAGAAAAGAATTTTCAACCCAGAATTTCATATCCAGCCAAACTAAGCTTCATAAGTGAAGGAGAAATAAAATACTTTACAGACAAGCAAATGCTGAGAGATTTTGTCACCACCACGCCTGCCCTAAAAGAGCTCCTGAAGGAAACGCTAAACATGGAAAGGAACAACCGGTACCAGTCACTGCAAAATCATGCCAAAATGTAAAGAGCATCGAGACTAGGAAGAAACTGCATTAACTAACGAGCAAAATCACCAGCTAACATCTTAATGACAGGCTCAAATTCAGACATAACAATATTAACTTTAAATGTAAATGGATTAAATGCTCCAATTAAAAGACACAGACTGGCAAATTGGATAAAGAGTCAAGACTCATCAGTGTGCTGTATTCAGGAAACCCGTCTCATGGGCAGAGACACATATAGGCTCAAAATAAAAGGATGGAGGAAGATCTACGAAGCAAATGGAAAACAAAAAAAGGCAGGGGTTGCAATCCTAGTCTCTGATAAAGCAGACTTTAAACCAACAAAGATCAAAAGAGACAAAGAAGGCCATTACATAATGGTAAAGGGATCAATTCAACAAGAAGAGCTAAATATCCTAAATATATATGCACACAATACAGGAGCACCCAGATTCATAAAGCAAGTCCTGAGTGACCTACAAAGAGACTTAGACTCCCACACATTAATAATGGGAGACTTTAACACCCCACTGTCAACATTAGACAGATCAACGAGACAGAAAATCAACAAGGATACCCAGCAATTGAACTCAGCTCTGCACCAAGCGGACCTAATTGACATCTACAGAACTCTTCACCACAAATCAACAGAATATACATTTTTTTCAGCACCACACCACACCTATTCCAAAATTGACCACATACTTGGAAGTAAAGGTCTCCTCAGCAAATGTAAAAGAACAGAAATTATAACAAACTATCTCTCAGACCACAATGCAATCAAACTGGAACTCAGGATTAAGAATCTCACTCAACACCACTCAACTACATGGAAACTGAACAACCTGCTCCTGAATGACTACTGGATACATAACAAAATGAAGGCAGAAATAAAGATGTTCTTTGAAACCAATGAGAACAAAGACACAACATACCAGAATCTCTGGGACGCATTCAAAGCAGTGTGTAGAGGGAAATTGATAGCACTAAATGCCCACAAGAGAAAGCAGGAAAGATCCAAAATTGACACCCTAACATCACAATTAAAAGAACTAGAAAAGCAAGAGCAAACACATTCAAAAGCTAGCAGAAGACAAGAAATAACTAAAATCCGAGCAGAACTGAAGGAAATCGAGACACAAAAAACCCTTCAAAAAATTAATGAATCCAGGAGCTGGTATTTTGAAAGGATCAACAAAATTGATAGACCGCTAGCAAGACTACTAAAGAAAAAAAGGGAGAAGAATCAAATAGACACAATAAAAAATGATAAAGGGGATATCACCACCGATCCCACAGAAATACAAACTACCATCAGAGAATACTACAAACACCTCTACGCAAATAAACTAGAAAATCTGGAAGAAATGGATAAATTCCTGGACACATACACTCTCCCAAGACTAAACCAGGAAGAAGTTGAATCTCTGAATAGACCAATAACAGGATCTGAAATTGTGGCAATAATCAATAGTTTACCAACCAAAAAGAGTGCAGGACCAGATGGATTCACAGCTGAATTCTACCAGAGGTACAAGGAGGAACTGGTACCATTCCTCCTGAAACTATTCCAATCAATAGAAAAAGAGGGAATCCTCCCTAACTCATTTTATGAGGCCAGCATCATTCTGATACGAAAGCCAGGCAGAGACACAACCAAAAAAGAGAATTTGAGACCAATATCCTTGATGAACATTGATGCAAAAATCCTCAATAAAATACTGGCAAAACGAATCCAGCAGCACATCAAAAAGCTTATCCACCATGTTCAAGTGGCCTTCATCCCTGGGATGCAAGGCTGGTTCAATATACGCAAACCGATAAATATAATCCAGCATATAAACAGAGCCAAAGACAAAAACCACATGATTATCTCCATAGATGCAGAAAAAGCCTTTGACAAAATTCAACAACCCTTCATGCTAAAAACTCTCAATAAATTAGGTATTGATGGGACGTATTTCAAAATAATAAGAGCTATCTATGACAAACCTACAGCCAATATCATACTGAATGGGCAAAAACTGGAAGCATTCCCTTTGAAAACTGGCACAAGACAGGGATGCCCTCTCTCACCACTCCTATTCAACATAGTGTTGGAAGTTCTGCCCAGGGCAATTAGTCAGGAGAAGGAGATAAAGTGTATTCAATTAGGAAAAGAGGAAGTCAAATTGTCCCTGTTTGCAGATGACATGATTATATATCTAGAAAACCCCATTGTCTCAGCCCAAAATCTCCTTAAGCTGATAAGAAACTTCAGCAAAGTCTCAGGATACAAAATCAATGTACAAAAATCACAAGCATTCTTATACACCAACAACAGACAAACAGAGAGCCAAATCATGAGTGAACTCCCATTCACTATTGCTTCAATGAGAATAAAATACCTAGGAATCCAACTTACAAGGGACGTGAAGGACCTCTTCAAGGAGAACTACAAACCACGGCTCAAGGAAATAAAAGAGGATACAAACAAATGGAAGAACATTCCATGCTCATGGGTAGGAAGAATCAATATCGTGAAAATGGCCACACTGTCCAAGGTAATTTACAGATTCAATGCCATCCCCATCAACCTACCAATGACTTTCTTCATAGAATTGGAAAAAACTACTTTAAAGTTCATATGGAACCAAAAAAGAGCCCGCATCGCCAAGGCAATCCTAAGCCAAAAGAACAAAGCTGGAGGCATCACAGTACCTGACTTCAAACTATACTACAAGGCTACAGTAACCAAAACAGCATGGTACTGGTACCAAAACACAGATATAGATCAACGGAACAGAACAGAGCCCTCAGAAATAACGCCACATACCTACAACTATCTGATCTTTGACAAACCTGAGAAAAACAAGCAATGGGGAAAGGATTCCCTATTTAATAAATGGTGCTGGGAAAACTGGCTACTCATATGTAGAAAGCTGAAACTGGATCCCTTCCTTACACCTTATACAAAAATCAATTCAAGATGGATTAAAGACTTACATGTTAGACCTAAAACCATAAAAACCCTAGAAGAAAACCTAGGCATTACCATTCAGGACATAGGCATGGACAAGGACTTCATGTCCAAAACACCAAAAGCAATGGCAACAAAAGACAAAATTGACAAATGGGATCTAATTAAACTAAAGAGCTTCTGCACAGCAAAAGAAACTACCACCAGAGTGAACAGGCAACCTATAAAATGGGAGAAAATTTTCGCAACCTATTCATCTGACAAAGGGCTAATATCCAGAATCTACAATGAACTCAAACAAATTTTCAAGAAAAAAACAAACAACCCCATCAACAAGTGGGCGAAGGACATGAACAGACACTTTTCAAAAGAAGACATTTATGCAGCCAAAAAACACATGAAAAAATGCTCATCATCACTGGCCATCAGAGAAATGCAAATCAAAACCACAATGAGATATCATCTCACACCAGTTAGAATGGCAATCATTAAAAAGTCAGGAAACAACAGGTGCTGGAGAGGATGTGGAGAAATAGGAACACTTTTACACTGTTGGTGGGACTGTAAACTAGTTCAACCATTGTGGAAGTCAGTGTGGCAATTTCTCAGGGATCTAGAACTAGAAATACCATTTGACCCAGCCATCCCATTACTGGGTATATACCCAAAGGACTATAAATCATGCTGCTATAAAGACACATGCAAATGTATGTTTATTGTGGCATTATTCACAATAGCAAAGACTTGGAACCAACCCAAATGTCCAACAATGATAGACTGGATTAAGAAAATGTGGCACATATACACCATGGAATACTATGCAGCCATAAAAATGATGAGCTCATGTCCTTTGTAGGGACATGGATGAAATTGGAAATCATCATTCTCAGTAAACTATCACAAGAACAAAAAACCAAACACCGCATATTCTAACTCATAGGTGGGAATTGAACAGTGAGATCACATGGACACAGGAAGGGGAATATCACACTCTGGGGACTGTGGTGGGGTGGGTGGAGGGGGGAGGGATAGCATTGGGAGATATACCTAATGCTAGATGACGAGTTAGTGGGTGCAGCGCACCAGCATGGCACATGTATACATATGTAACTAACCTGCACAATGTGCACATGTACCCTAAAACTTAAAGTATAATTTAAAAAAAAAAAGGAAAAAAAAAGAAAAAAAAACAATGCAAATTGCATGTAAGCATATGAAAAGATGCTTATCATATGTCATCAAGGAAATGCATATTTAAACAACAATGAGATACCAAAACACATCCATTAGAATAATCAAAATTCAAAACACAGAAAGCACCAAATGCTGGCAAAGATGTAGAGCAACAAAAATTCTCATTCACTGCTGGTGGGAATGCAAAACAGTATATTTTCACTTTGGAAGACAATGTGGCAGTTTCTTAGAAAACTAAACAGAGTCTTACCATGCAATTCAGCCATTGCACTCTTTGTCATTTACCCAAATGAGTTCAAAACTTATGTTCACACAAAGACTTGCTGGTGAATATTTATAGCATTTTCACTTATGATTTCCAAGACTCGGAATCAAACAACATATTCTTCAGAAGGTGAATCAACAAATAAACTGTGCTATATCCAATGAAATATTCAGTGCTAAAAAGAAATGAGTTATGATATCAAGCTATGAAATGACACGAAGGAAACTTAAATGTATATTACTAAGTAAAAGAAGCCAATCTGAAAAGGCTACATACTGTATTGTTCCAACTTTATAACATCCTGGAAAAGGTAAAGTATGAAGTGAAATCACAAAGCAGGCTGTGAAAAAACAAAAAGGCTGGATGTGCAGAGGCCTGCAGAGGACAGAAGGCTCTTCCAGTGCATAGGCGTTTATCCAGGAAGTACTCTTAGGTGTCATAGGTCATAAATGAAGAATATGTGTTAAAATCACTGTAGCCAAAATGTTATATTGTGAAGTGAGTCATTTTATTACAAATGTTGCCCCCTCAATGTTCAACTCTGTAGCTTGATGTGGATAAAATGTCTTTTTCTCCTTGCGATTTTTGTGCTTATGCATTCTGGAGAACTGATAAAATCAGAGTCCTCAGAAAAATAGCGTATCTTGACAACCACTCAAGTTGTTTTATTTCTCTATTGTATCTGTGTATATATGTTTTTAAAATAACCATTAAATCCTGTAATACTGCTATTTTATTGAAGATTGGAGATAAAACTTAGAAATATATTCCTAATGAACAGAGATTCTAAAATGCCAGTTAACTTACTTACCATGTCAAAGCAAATAAGCAAAAGAAAATAAAAACCTGCTTTGTTTTTCCATCACCCACATATCCGTCCTCCTTCTCCACCCTCATTTAAAGTCTGTTTCTGTTCATTTTGACATAGAAGCAGGAGTGAGCAATATGCCATGTTATTAATGTGTTTACAAACTATTTTATAATTAGTAATAGTTTCATATCTAATTTTCTAAAATACATATTTCCTTATTTTTATCTTAGAAACAAAGTTATTTCTTCCAGAAAATAGAAATGTTCTATGTAAACATTTAAATTTTCTCATTAAATTATATATCAGTCTTCTCAAAATTGAACTTATTTAATCATGATCTGTCTTGATTTCACAACTTTCTTCCTTAGGAAATTATTCTTTACTAAAACTAAAAATCATTCAAAGATTCAAATAAATTTTGAAAATATTATATCTCATAATAATTTCCTGAACTAAAAAAATAACAATAGAAAGAGATACTTTCATCAGTACATGGTAAAGCAAGCAGTAATCTGGCAGGGTGATTATAGTATACTCTAGGAACCAAACATCATTTCTACATCCTAAATTATTATTTGTTCAATGATTTACTATTCGGAGGACTCAAATAAAGATAATAAAATTTTGAAGATTCTTAATTATATGTATATGTAATGGATGTATGTATGTACAAACCATACACATTAAAGCATCATCAGGTATAAATATTTTTAAATCCCTACATTATTTTAGCATAATTAATTTTTGTACTTTATTATTATGTATGTTATTATATTTAAGACGTAAAAATTTATATTTAAAGTTTTAGCTTCAAATTATTTTGAAAAATGGGAGGGGGTTGTATTTCACATCTTTCACATCAGGTATGTCACCTCAAGACAAGTTAAACAACAGAAAAATTGTTCACACTTCCAAAGAATTTGTAACACAGAAAAGAAAAAAAATGTGTATGTACTCAACATTAAAATCTGTTTGAGATAAAAAAAAAAGAGTTTTTCAAAACTGCTCTATCAAGAGAAAGGTTCAACTCAGTGAGCTGAATGTACACATCACAAACAAGTTTCTGAGAATGATGCTGTCTAGTTTTTATTTGAAGATATTCCCTTTTCCAACGAAGGCCTCAAGGCATTCCAAATATCCACTTGCAGATTCAACTAAAAGAGTGTTTCAAAACAGCTCTATGATAACATATGTTCAATTCTGTGAGTTGAATGCAAACATCACAAAGAAGTTTCTGAGAAAGCTTCTAGCTAATTTTTATTGGAAGATATTTCCTTTTCCACCATAGGCCTCAAAGCACTTTAAATGTCCAGTTACAGATTGTACAAAAAGTGTGTTTCAAACCTGCTCTATGAAAAGTAAGGTTCAACTCTGTGATTTTAATGCACACAACACAAAGAAGTTTCAGAGAACCCTTGTCTAGTGATTATGTGAAGATATTCCCATTTCCATTGAATGCCTCAAAGCAGTCCAAATATCCACTTCAGATTCTACTAAAGGAGTGTTTCAAAACTGATCTATGAAAAGGAAGTTTCAACTCTGAATTGAATGCAAACATCAAAAAGAATTTTCTGAGAATGCTTCTGTCTAGTTTTTAAGTGAAGATATTTCCTTTTCCACCATAGGCCACAAAGCACTCCAAATGTCCACTTGGAGATTCTACAAAATGAGTGTTTCAAACCTGCTCTATCAAAAGAAAGGTTCAGCTCTGTGAGTTGAATGCACACATCACAAAGAAGTTTCTGAGAATGCCTCTGTTTAGTACTTATGTGAAGATATTCCCATTTCCAACAAAGACCTCAAAGCAGTCCAAATATCCACTTGCAGATTCTACAAAGAGTGTTTCAAAAGGGCTCTATGAAATGGTATGTTCAACTCTGTGAGTGGAATGCGAACATCACAGAGAAGTTTCTGAGAATTGTTCTGTCTCGTTTTTATATAAAGATATTTCCTTTTCCACCATAGGCCTCAAAGCTCTCCAAATGTCCACTTGCAGATTCTACAAAAAGAGAGTTTCAATCCTGCTCTATCAAAAGAAAGGTTCATCTCTGTGAGTTGAATGCACACATCACAAAGAAGTTTCTGAGCATGCTTCTGCTAGTATTTATGTGAATATCTTCCCGCTTCCAACGAAGGCCTCAAAGCGGTCCAAATATCCTCTTGCCAATTCTAAAAAAAGAGTGTTTCAAACCTGCACTATCAAAAGAAAGGTTCAACTCTGTGCACTGAATGTACACATCACAAAGAAGTTTCTGAGAATGCTCCTGTATAGTTTTTATGTGATGATATTCTCATTTCCAACGAAGGCCTCAAAGCGTTCCAAATATCCACTTGAAGATTCTACTAAAGAGTGTTTCAAAACTGCTCAGTGATAAAGTATTTTCAACTCTGTGAGTTGAAGGCAAACATGGCAAATGAGTTTCTGAGAATGCTTCTGTCTAGTTTTTATGGGAAGTTATTTCCTTTTCCACTGTAGGCCTGAAAGCGCTCCAAATGTCCACTTGAGATTCTGCAAAAAGAGTGTTTCAAACCTGCTCTATCAAAAGAAAGCTTCAAGTCTGTGAGTTGAATCTACACATCACAAAGAAGTTTCTGAGAATGCTTCTGTCTAGTGTTTATGTGAAGATATAACCGATTCCAACAAAGGCCTCAAAGCTCTCCAAATTTCCACTTGCAGTTTCTACAAAAAGAGTGTTTCAAAACTGCTCTATGAAATGGTATGTTCAACTCTGTGAGTTGAATACAAACATCACAAAGAAGTTTCTGAGAATCCTTCTGTCTAGTTTTTGTGGGAAGATATTTCCTTTTCCACCATAGACCTCAAAGCGCTCCAAATGTCCACTTGCAGATTCTACAAAAAGAGTGTTTCAAACCTGCTCTCTAAAAAGAAAGTTTCAACTCTGTGAGTTGAAGGCACACATCACAAAGAAGTTTGTGAGAATGCTTCTGTCTACTGTTTATGTGAATACATTTCCGTTTCAAACGAAGGCCTCACAGCAGTAAAAATATCCACTTGCAAATTCTCCAAAGGAGTGTTTCAAAACTGCTCTATGAAAAGAAATGTTCAACTCTGTGATTTGAATGTACACATCACAAAGAAGTTTCTGAGAATGCTGCTGTCTAGTTTTTATGTCAAGATATTCCCGTTTCCAACGAAGACCTCAAAGCGGTCCAAATATCCACTTACAGATTCTACTAAATGAGTGTTTCAAAACTGCTTTATTATAAGGTATGTTCAACTCTGTGAGTTGAATGCAAACATCACAAAGAAGTTTCTGAGAATACTTCTGTCTAGTTTTTATGTGAACTTATTTCCTTTTCCACCATAGGCCTCAAAGCGCTCCAGAGGTTCACTTACGGATTCTACAAAAACAGTGTTTCAAACCTGCTCTGTCAAAAGAAAGGTTCAACTCTGTGAGTTGAATGTACACAACACAAAGAAGTTTCTGAGAATGCTTCTGTCTAATTTTTATATAAGGATATTCCCATTTCCAACTAAGGCCACTAAGCTGTCAAAATATCCACTTGTAGATCCTACTAAAAGAGTGTATCAAAACTGCTCTGTGACAAAGTATGTCCAACTCTGTGAGTTGAATGCAAACGTCACAAAGAAGTTTCTGAGAACGCTTCTATCTAGCTTTTATGTGAAGATATTTCCTTTTCCACCGTAGGGCTTAAAGCGCTCCAAATGTCCACTTGCAGATTATAAAAAAAGAGTGTTTCAAACCTGCTCTATCAAAAGAAAGGTTCAAATCTGTGAGTTGAATGCACACAGCACAAAGAAGTTTCTGAGAAAGCTTCTTTCTAGTGATTATGTGAAGATATTCCCGTTTCCAATGAAGGCTGGTAAGAGGTCCAAATATCCACTAGCAGATGCTACGAAAAGAGTGTTTCAAAACTGCTCTATGATACAGTATGTCCAAATCTGTGAGTTGAAAGCAAACATCACAAAGAAGATTCTGAGAATTCTTCTGTCTAGTTTTTATGGGAAGATATTTCCTTCTCCACCATAGGCCTCAAGGCGTTCCAAATGTCCACTTGCAGATTCTACAAAAAGAGTGTTTCTAACCTGTTCTATCAAAAGAAAGTTTCAACTCTGTGAGTTGAAAGCAAACATCACAAGAAGTTTCTGCGAATGCTTCTGTCTAGTGTTTATGTGAAGATATTCCTGTTTCCAACGAAGGCCTCAAAGCAGTCAAAATGTCCACTTGTAGATTCTGAAAAAAGAGTGTTTCAAACATTCTATATCAAAAGAAAGGTTCAACTCTGTGAGATTAATGCACACATCACAAAGAAGTTTCTGAGAATGTTACTGTCTAGTTTTTATATGAACATAATCCCGTTTCCAATGAAGACCTCAAAGCGTTCCAAATATCTACTAGCAGATTCTATGAAAAGGGTGTTTCAAAACTGCTCTATGAAAAGAAACGTTGAAATCTGTGAGTTGAATGCAAACATCACAAAGAAGTTTCCGAGAATGCTTCTGTCTAGTTTTTGTGTGAAGATATTTCCTTTTCCAGCATAGGTCTCAAAGCCATCCAAATGTCCACTTGCAGATCCTACATAAGAGTGTTTCAAACCTGCTCTATCAAAAGAAAGGTACAACTCTGCGAGATGAACGCACACATCACAAAGAAGTTTCTGAGAATGCTTCTGTCTAGTTTTTATGTGAAGATATTCCTGTTTCCAACGAAGGCCTCAAAGCGGTCCAAATATCCACTTGCAAGTTCTACAAAGGAGAGTTTCAAAACTGCTCTATCAAAAGAAAGGTTCAATTCTGTGAGTTGAATGCAAGCACCACAAAGAAGTTTCCGAGAATGCTTCTCTCTAGTTCTTATGTGAAGATATTTCCGTTTCCAACAAAGGCCTCAAAGCGGTCCAAATATCCACTTGCAGATTCCACAAAAAGGGTGTTTCAAATTTGCTCCATGAAAACATATGTTCAACTCTGTGAGTTGAATGCAAACACCACAAAGAAATTTCTGAGAATGCTTCTGTCTAGCTTTTGTGTGAAGTTATTTCTTTTTCCACCATGGGCCTCAAAGCTATCCAAATGTCCACTTGCAAATTCTACAAAAAGTGTGTTTCAAATATGCTCTATCAAAAGAAAGGTTCAACTCTGTGAGTTGAATGTACACATAACTAAGAAGTTTCTGAGAATGCTTCTGTCTAGTTTTTTTGTAAAGATATTCCCGGTTCCAACGAAGGCCTCAAAGTGGTCCAAATATCCACTTGCAGATTCTACTAAAAGAGTGTGTCAATCCTGCTCTATGATAAAGTATCTTCAACTCTGTGAGTTGAATGCAAACATCACAAAGAAGTTTCTGAGAATGATTCTGTCTACTTTTTATGTGAGGATATTTCTTTTTCGACCATAGGGCTCAAAGCTCTCCAAATGTCCACTTGCAGATTCTACAAAAACACTGTTTCGAAACTGCTCTATCAAAAGAAAGGTTGAATTCTGTGAGTTGAATGCACACAGCACAAAGAAGTTTCTGAGAAAACTTCTCTCTAGTGATTATGTGAAGATATTCCCGTTTCCAACGAAAACCTCAAAGCGGTCCAAATATCCACTTGCAGATTCTACTAAAAGAGTGTTTCAAAACTGCTCTATGATAAAGTGTGTCCAACTCTGTGAGTGGAATACTAACATCACAAAGAAGTTTCTGAGAATGCATCTGTCTGGTTTTTATGTGAAGATATTTCCTTTTCCACCATAGACCTAAAAGCGCTTCAAATATCCACTTGCGGATTAGGCAAAAAGAGTGTTTCAAACCTACCCTATCAAAAGAAAGGTTCAACTCTGTGAGCTCAATTCGCACGTCACAAAGAGGTTTCTGAGAATGCTTCTGTCTAGTGATTATGTGAAGATATCCCATTTCCAACGATGGCCTAGAAGCGGTCCAAATATGCACTTGCAGATTCTACTAAAAGAGGGTTTCAAAACTGCTCTATGATAAAGTGTGTCCAACTCTGTGAGTGGAATACTAACATCACAAAGAAGTTTCTGAGAATGCTTTTGTCTAGTTTTTATGTGAAGATATTCCCGATAGCAACGAAAGCCTCAAAGCTATCCAATATCCACTTGCAGATACTACAAAAAGAGTGTTTCAAAACTGTTCTATCAAAAGAAAGGTTCAACTCTGGGAGTTGAATGTGCACATCACAAAGAAGATTCTGAGAATGCTGCTGTCTAGTTTTCAGATGAAGATATTCCCATTTCCAATGAAGGTCTCAAGGCTTTCAATATATCCAATTGCAGATTCCACTAAAAGAGTGTTTCAAAACTGCTCTATGATAAGGTATGTTCAACTCTGTGAGTTCAAGGCAAACATCACAAAGAAGTTTCTGAGAATGCTTTTGTCTAGTTTTTATGGGAAGATATTTGCTTTTCCACAACAGGCCTCAAAGCTCTCCAAATGTTCACTTGCAGACCCTACAAAAAGAGTGTGTCAAACCTGCTCTCTCAAAAGAAATTTCAACTCTGTGAGTTGAATTTGCACGTCACAAAGATGTTTCTGAGAATGCTTCTATCTAGTGATTATGTGAAGATATTCCCGTTTCCAATGAAAGCCTCAAAGCTGTCCAAATGTCCACTTGCAGATTCTACTAAAAGAGTATTTGATTACTGCTCTATGATAAAGTGTGTCCAACTCTGTGAGTGGATTGCTGAATCACAAAGAAGTTTCTGAGAATGCTTCTGTCTAGTTTTTATGTGAAGATATTTCCATTTCAACCATAGGCCTCCAAGCGCTTCAAATATCCACTTACAGATTCTGCAAAAAGAGTGTTTCAAATCTGCTCTATCAAAAGAAAGGTTCAACTCTGTGAGTTGAATTTGCACGTCACAAAGAAGTTTCTGAGAATGCTTCTGTCTAGTGATTATGTGAAGATATTCCCATTTCCAATGAAGGCCTCAAAGCGGTCCAAATATCCACTTGCAGATTCTACAAAAAGAATGTTTCAAACCTGCTCTGTCAAAAAAAAGGTTCAACTCGGTGAGTTGAATGCAAACATCACAAAGAAATTTCTGAGAATTCTTTTGTCTCATTTTTATATAAAGTTATTTCCTTTTCTACAATAGGCCTCAAAGCGCTCCAAATGTCCACTTGCAGACTCTACAAAAAGAGTGTTGCAAACCTGCACTATCACAACAGAGGTTCAACTCTGTGAGTTGAATGCACACATCAAAAATAAGTTTCTGAGTATCCTTCTGTCTAGTGTTTATGTGAAGAAAATCCCGTTTCCAAAGAAGGCAAAAAAGCGGTCCAAATATCCACTTGCAGATTCTAAAAAAAAGAATGTTTCTAAACTTCTCTATCAAAAGAAAGGTTAAACTCTGTGACTTGAATGCACACATCACAAAGAAGTTTCTGAGAATGCTTCTGTCTAGTGTTTATGTGAAGATAATCCCGTTACCAATGAAGGCCTCAAAGCAGTCCAAATATCCACTTGCAGATTCTACTAAAAGAGTGTTTCAAAACTGCTCTATCATACAGTATGTTCAACTCTGTGAATTGAATGGAAACATCACAAAGAAGTTTCTGAGAATGCTTCTTTCTAATTTTTATGTGAAGATATTTGCTTTTCTACCGTAGGCCCCAAAGCGCTCTATATGTCCACTTGCAGATTCTAAAAGAAAGAATATTTCAAACCTGCCTTGTCAAAAGAAAGGTTCAACTCTCTGAGTTGAATCCTCACATCAAAAAGAAGTTTCTGAGAATGCTTATTTCTAGTTTCTATGTGAAGATATTCCCGTTTCCAATGAAGGCCTCAAAGCGGTCCGAACATCCACTTGCAGATTCTACGAAAGGAGTGTTTCAAAACTGCTGTATGAAAACGAAGGTTCAGCTCTGTGAGTTGAATGCAAACATCACAAAGAAGTTTCTGAGAATTCCTCTGTCTAATTTTTATGTGAAGATATATCCTTTTCCACCATAGGTCTGAAAGCTCTCCAAATGTCCACTTGCGGATTCTACAAAAAGAGTGTTTCAAAACTGCTCTATCAAAAGAGAGGTTCAACTCTTGGAGTTTAATGCACACATCACGAAAAAGTTTCTGAGAAAGCTTCTGTCTAGTGATTATGTGAAGATATTCCCGTTTCCAACGAAGGCCTCAAATAAGTCCAAATATCCAGTTGCAGATTCTACAAAAAGAGTGTTTCAAAACTGCACCATGAAAAGGTGTGTTCAACTCTGTGAGTTGAATGCAAACATCACAAAGAAGTTGCTGAGAATGCTTCTGTCTAGTTTTTATGTGATGGTATTTTTCCACAATAGGCCACAAAGCTCTCCAAATGTCCACTTGCAGATCCTACAAAAAAAGTGTTTCAATGCTGCTCTATCAAAAGAATGGTTCAACTCTGTGAGTGGAAAGCACACATCACAAAGAAGTTTCTGAGAACGATTCTATTTAGTGTTTATGTGATAATATTCCCGTTTCCAACGAAGGCCTCTAAGCGGTCCAAATATCCACCTGCAGATTCTACTAAAAGAGTGTTTCAAAACTGCTCTATGAAAAAGTATTTTCAACTCTGTGAGATGAATGCAAACATCACAAAGAAGTTTCTGATAATGCTTCAGTCTACTTTTTATGTGAAGATATTACCTTTTCAACCATACGTCTCAAAACGCACCAAATGTCCACTTGCAGTTTCTGCAAAACGAGTGTTTCAAAACTGCTCTATGAAAAGGAAGGTTCAACTCTGTGAGTTGAATGCGAACATCACAAAGAAGTTTCTGAGAATGCTTCTGTCTAGTATTTATGTGAAGATATTCCCTTTCCCACCATAGGCCTCAAACTCTCCAAATGTCCACTTGCAGATTCTACAAAATGAGTGTTTCAAACCTGCTCTATCAAAAGAAAGCTTCAACACTGTGAGTTGAATGCACACATCCCAAAGAAGTTGCTGAAAATGCTTCTGTCTAGTGTTTATGTGAAGATATTCCCGTTTCCAACAAAGGCCTCCAAGCGGTCCAAATGTCCACTTGCAAATACTACAAAAGGAGTGTTTCAAAACAGCTCTATGAAAAGGTGTGTTCAACTCTGTCAGTTGAATGGAAACATTCCAAAGTAGTTTCTGAGAATTCCTCTGTCTGGTTTTTATTTAAAGATATTTCTTTTTCCACGATAGACCTCAAAGCACCCCAAATGTCCGCTTGCAGATTATACAAAAAGAGAGTTTCAAACCTGCTCTATCAAAAGAAAAGTTCAACTCTGTGAGTTGAATGCACAAGTCACAAAGAAGTTTCTGAGAGTGCTTCCATCTAGTGTTTATGTGAAGATATTACCGTTTGCAACGAAAGCCCCAAAATGGTCCAAATATCCACTTTCAGATTCTACACAAAGAGTGTTTCAAACCTGCTCCATCGAAATAAAGGTTCAACTCCGTGAGTTGAATGCATACATCACAAAGACGTTTCTGAGAATGCTTCTATCTAGTTTTTATATGAAGATATTTCCTTTTCCACCACAGGCCTCAATGCACTCCAAATGTTCACTTGCAGATTCTGCAAAAAGAGTGTTTCAAACCTGCTTTATCAAAAGAAAGCTTCAACTCTGTGAGTTGAATGCACACATCACAAAGAAGTTTCTGAGAATGCTTCTGTCTAGTGTTTCCGTGAAGATATTCCCGTTTCCAATGAAGGCCTCAAAACGATCTAAATATCCACTTGGCAAATATACAAAAAGAGTGTTTCAAAACTGCTCTATGAAAATACATGTTCAACTCTGTGACTTGAATGGAAACATCACAAAGTAGTTTCTGAGAATTCTTCTGTCTGGTTTTTATTTAAAGATATTTTCTTTTCCACCATATGCCTCAAAGCTCTCCAAATGTCCATTTGCAGATTCTACCTCAAAGCTTTCCAAATATCCACTTGCAGATTCTACAAAAAGAGTGTTTCAAAACTGCTCTATCAAAAGAAATATTCAACTCTGTGAGTTGAATGCACACATCACAAAGAAGTTTCTGAGAATGCTTCTGTCTAGTTTCTAGGTGAAGATATTCCAGTATCCAATGAAGGCCTCAAGGCAGTCAAAATATCCACTTGCACATTCTAAAAAAAGAGTGTTTAAAAACTGCTCTATGATAAAGCATGTTCAACTCTGTGAGTTGAATGCACACATCACAAAGAAGTTCCTGAGTATGCTTCTGTCTAGTGTTTATGTGAAGATATTCCCGTTTCCTACAAAGATCTCAAAGCGGTCCAACTATCCACTTGCAGATTCTACAAAAAGAGTGTTTCAAATCTGCTCCACGATAAGGTATGTTAAACTCTGTGAGCTGAATGCAAACATCACAAAGCAGTTCCTGAGAATGCTTCTGTCTAGTTTTTATGTGAAGATATTTCCTTTTCCACCATAGGCCTCAGACCTCTCAAAATGTCAACTTGCAGATCCTACAAAAGGAGTGATTCAAACCTGCTCTATCAAAAGAATGGTTCAACTCTGTGAGTTGAATGCACACATCACAAATAAGTTTCTGAGAATGCTTCGGCCTAGTGTTTATGTGAAGATATTTCCTTTTCCAATGAAGGCCTCAAAGTGGTCCAAATATCCACTTGCAGATTCTACAAAAATAGTGTTTTAAAACTGCTGTATGAAAAGGTATGTTCAACCCTGCGAATTGAAGGCAGACATCAAAAAGAAGTTTCTGAGAATGATTCTGTCTAGTTTTTATGTGAAGATATTTCCTTTACCACAATAGGCTTCAAAGTGCTCCAAACGTCCACTTGCAGATTCCACAAAAAGAGTGTTTCAAACCTGCTCTATCAAAGGAAAGGTTCAACTCTGTAAGTTGAATGCACACATCTCAAAGAAGTTTCTGAGAATTCTTCTGTCCAGTTTTTATATGAAGATATTCAGGTTTCCAACGATGGTCTCAAAGCGTTCCAAATATCCACTTGCAGATTCTACGAAAAGAGTGTTTCAAAACTACTCTATGAAAAGTTATGTTCAACTCTGTGAGTTGAATGCAAACATCACAAAGAAGTTTCTGAGAATCCTTCTTTCTAGTGTTTATGTGAAGATATTCCCGTTTCCAACGAAGGCCTCAAGGCGGTCCAAATATCCACTTGCTGATCCTACTAAAAGAATGTTTCAAAACTGTTCTATGATAAAGTATGTTCAACTCCGTGAGTTGAATGCACACAACACAGAGAAGTTTCTGAGAATGCTTCTGTCTAGTGTTTATGTGAAAATATTCCCGTGTCCAACTAAGGCCTCAAAGTGGTCCACATATCCACTAGCAGATTCCACAAAAAGAGTGTTTCAAAACTACTCCATGAAAAGGTATGTTCAACTATGTGAGTTGAATGCAAGCATCACAGAGAAGTTTCTGAGAATGCTTCTGTGTAATTTTTATGTGAAGATATTTCCTTTTCCACCATAGGCCACAAATCGCTCCAAATGTCCACTTGCAGATTATAGAAAAAGAGTGTTTGAAACCTGCTCTATAAAAAGAAAGGTTGAACTCTGTGAGTTGAATGCACACGTCACAAAGAAGTTTCTGAGAATGCTTCTATCTAGTTTTTATGTGAAGATATTCCGGTTTCCAACAAAGGCGTCAAAGCGGTCCAAATATCCACTTGCAGATACTCCTAAACGAGTGTTTCAAAACTGCTCTATGATAAAGTATGTTCAACTCTGTCAGTTGAATGCAAACATCACAAAGAAGTTTCTGAGAATGCATCTGTCTAGTTTTTATGTGACGATATTCCCGTTTTCAAAGACGGCCTCAAAGCGGTCCAAATATCCATTTGCAGATTCTACAAAAAGAGTGTTTCAAAACTGCTCCATTAAATGATATATTCCACTCTGTGAGTTGAATGCAAACATCACAAAGTAGTTTCTGAGAATGCTTCTGTCTAGTTTTTATGTGATGATATTTCCTTTTACACCATAAGCCTCAAAGGTCTCCAAATGTCCACTTGCAGATCCTACAAAAAGAGTGTTTCAAACCTGCTCTATCAAAAGAATGGTTCAACTTAGTGAGTTGAATGCAGACTTCACAAAGAAGTTTCGAAAATTCTTCAGTCTAGTGTTTATGTGAAGATATTACCATTTCCAATGAAGGCCCCAAAGCGGTCCAAATATCCACTTGCAAATTCTGCAAGAAGAGTGTTTCAAAACTGCCCCATGAAAAAGTATGTTCAACTGTGTGAGTTGAATGCACACAGCACAAAGTAGTTTTTGAGGCAGCTTCTGTTTAGTGATTATGTGAAGATATTCCCGTTTCCAATGAAAACTTCAAATCGGTCTAAACCTGCTCTATAAATAGGTCAAACCTGCCCTATAAAAAGAAGGGTTCAACTCTGTGAGTTGAATGCACACATCAGAAAGAAGTTTCTGAGAATGCTTCTGTCTAGTTTTTATGTGAAGATATTTCCTTTTCCACCAGAGTCCTCAAAACGCTCCAAATGTCCACTTGTAGATTCTACAAAAAGACTGTGTGAAACCTTATCTATCAAAAGAAAGGTTCAACTCCGTGAGGTGAATGCACACAGCATAAATAAGTTTCTGAGAAAGCTTCTGTCTAGTGATTATGTGAAGATATACCCGTTTTCAACGAAGGCCTCAAAGCGGTACAAATATCCACTTGCAGATTCTACTAAGAGAGTGTTTCAAAACTGCTCTATGATAAAGTATGTTCAACTCTGTGAGATGAATGCAAACATCAGAAAGAGGTTTCTGAGAATGCATCTGTCTAGTTTTTATGTGAAGATATATCCTTTTCCATGATAGGCCTCAAAGCGCTCCAATATCCACTTGCAGATTCTACAAAAGGAGTGTTTCAAACCTGCTATATCAAAAAAAGGTTCAACTCTCTGAATTGAATGCACACAACACAAAGAAGTTTCTGAGAATGCTTCTGTCTAGTGTTTATATGAAGATATTCCCGTTTCCAACGGAGGCCTCAAAGCGTTCCAAATATCCACTTGCAGATTCTACTAAAGGGTGTTTCAAAACTGCTCAATGAAAAGGTATGTTCAATTCTCTGAGTTGAATGCAAACATCACAGAGAAGTTTCTGAGAATGCTTCTGTGCAGTTTCTTTGTGAAGATATTTCCTTTTCCACCATAGGCCTCAAAGCGCTCCAAATGTCCACTTGCAGATTCTCCAAAAAGAGTGTTTCTAACCTGCTATGTCAAAAGAAAGGTTCAACTCGGTGAGTTGAATGCACACAGCACAAAGAAGCTTTTGAGACAACTTCTGTTTAGTGATTATGTGAAGATATTCCCTTTTCCAACGAAAGGCTGAAAGCGGTCTAAATATCCACTTGCAGATTCTACTAAAAGAGTGTTTCAAAACTGCTCTATGATAAAGTATGTTCAACTCTGTGAGTTGAATGCAAACATCAGAAAGGAGTTTCTGATAATGTATCTGTCTAGTTTTTATGTGAAGATATTCCCGTTTCCAAAGAAGGCCTCTAAGCGTTCCAACTATCCAGTTGCAGATTCTACAAAAAGAGCGTTTGAAAACTGCTCCATGAAAAGGTATGTTCAAACCTGTGAGTTGAATTCAAACATCACAAAGAAGTTTCTGAGAAAGCTTCTGTCTAGTTTTTATGTGAAGATATTTCCTTTTCCACCATAGGCCTCAAAGCTCTGCGAATGTCCACTTGCAGATTCTACAAAAAGAATGTTTCAAACATGCTCAATCAAAAGAAAGGTTCAACCCTGTCAGATGAATGCTCACATCACAAAGTACTTTCTGAGAATGCTTCTGTCTGGTTTCTATCTGAAGATATTCCCGTTTCCAATGAAGGCCTCAAAGCGGTCCAAATATCCACTTGCAGAATCTACGAAAAGAGTATTTCAAATCTGCTCTATGAAAAGGAAGGTTCAACTCTGTCAGTTGAATGTACACATCACAAAGAAGTTTCTGAGAATACTTCTGTCTGGTTTTTATTTAAAGATATTTCCTTTTCCAGCATAGGCCTCAAAGCTCTCCAAATGTCCACTTGCAGATTCTACAAAAAGAGTGTTTCAAAACTGCTCTATCAAAAGAAAGGTTCAACTCTTTGAGTTTAATGAACACCTTACATAGAAGTTTCTGAGAATGCTTCCATCTAGTGTTTGTGTGAAGATATTCTCGTTTCCAGCGAAGGCCTCAAACGTTCCAAATATCAACTTGCAGATTCTACAAAAAGAGTGCTTCAAAAATGCTAAATGTAAAGGTAGGTTCAACTCTGTGAGTTGAATGCAAACATCCCAAAGTAGTATCTGAGAGCTCTTCTGTCTGGTTTTTACTTAAGATATTTTCTTTTCCATCATAGGCTTCAAAGCTCTCCAAAGGTCTGCTTGCAGATTCTACAAAAAGAGTGTTTCGAACCTGCTCTATCAAAAGAAAAGTTCAACTCTGTGAGTTAAATGCACACATCACCAAGAAGTTCCTGCGTATGCTTCTGTCTAGTTTTTGGGTGAAAATATTTCCATTTCCACCATAGACCTCAAAGCTATCCAAATGTCCTCTTGCAGATACTACAAAAAGGGTTGTTCAAACCAGTTAGATCAAAAGAAAGGTTCAAATCTGTGAGTTCAATGCACACATCACAAAGAAGTTTCTGAGAATGCTTCTGTCTAGTTTTCATGTGATGATATTTCCTTTTCCAACATAGGCCTCAATGCTCTCCAAATGTCCACTTGTAGATTCCACAAAAAGAGTGTTTCAAACCTGCTCTACAAAAAGAAAGTTTCAACTCCGTGAGTTGAATGCACACATCTGAAAGAAGTTTCTGAGAATGGTTCTGTCTAGTGTTTATGTGAAGATATTCCCGTTTCCAACAAAGGCCTCAAAGCGGTCCAAATATCCACTTGCAGATTCTACTAAAGGGTGTTTCAAAACTGCTCTTTCAAAAGGTATGTTCAACTCTGTGAGTTGAATGCAACATCCAAAAGAAGTTTCTGAGAATTCCTCTGTCTGCTTTTTATATAAAGATACTTCCTTTTCCACCATAGGCCTCAAAGCTCTCCAAATGTCCACTTGTTGATCCTACAAAAAGAGTGGTTCAAACCTGCTGTATCAAAAGAAAGGTTCAACTCTATGAGTTGCATGCACACATCACAAAAAGTTTCTGAGAATGCTTTTGTCTACTGTTTATGTGAAGCTATTCCCATTTCCAATGAAGGCCTCAAAGCGGTCCAAATATCCACTTGCAGATTCTACTAAAATAGTGTTTCAAAACTGCTCTATCAAAAGGTATGTTCAACTCTCTGAGTTGAATGCAACATCATAAAGAAGTTTCTGAGAATGCTTCTGTCTAGTTTTCATGTGAAGGTATTTCCTCTTCCACCATAGGCCTCAAAGCGTTCCAAAGGTCCACTTGCAGATTCTACAAAAAGAGTGTTTCAAACCTACTCTATCAAAAGAAAGGTACAACTCTGTGAATTGAATGCACACGTCAGAAAGAAGTTTCTGAGAATGCTTCTGTCTATTAAGTGAAGATATTCCCTTTTGCTACGGAGGCTTCAAATAGGTCCAATTATCTACTTGCAGATTATACGAAAAGAGTGTTTCAAAACTGCTCTTTGAAAAGGAAGGTTCAACACTGTGAGTTGAATGCAAACATCACTAAGAAGTTTCTGAGAATGCTTCTATCTAGTTTTTATGTGAAGATATACCCGTTTCCACCATAGGCCTCAAAGCTATCCAAATGTCCACATGCAGATTCTGCAAAAACAGTGTTTCAAATCTGCTCTATCAAAAGAAAGGTTCAAGTCTGTGAGTTGAATGCGCACATCACAAAGAAGTTTCTGAGAATGCTTCTGTCTAGTTTTTATGGGAAGTTATTTCATTTTCCACCATAGGCCTCAAAGCTCTCCAAATGTCCACTTGCAGAATCTTCAAAAAGACTGTTTCAAACCTGCTGTATCAAAAGAATGGTTCAACTCTGTGAGTTGAATGCACACATCACAAAGAAGTTTCTCAGAATGCTTCTGTGTGGTTTTTATTTGAAGATATTTCCATTTCCACATTAGGTCTCAAAGGTCTCCAAATATCCACCTGCAGATTCTACAAAAAGAGAGATTCAAAACTGCTCAAGGAGAAGATATGTTCAACACTGTGGGTTGAATGCACACCTCACAAAAAGTTTCTCAGAATGTTTCTGTGCAGTTTTTATATGAAGATATTTCCTTTTCCACATAAGGCCTCAGAGCTCTCCAAATATCCACTTGCAGACTCTGCAGAAAGAGAGATTCAAAACTGCTCAATCAAAAGTTAGGTTCAACAGTGTGAGTTGAATACACACATCACGAAGAAGTTTCTGAGAATGCTTCAGTGTAATTTTTATGTGAAGATATTTCCTTTACCACAATAGTCTTCAAAGCTCACCAAATGTCCACTTGCAGATTCTACAAAAACAGAGATTCAAAACTGCTCAATCAAAAGACAGGTTCAACACTGTGAGTTGAATGCACACATCACAAAGAAGTTTCTCAGACTCTTTCTGTGTAGTTTTTACGTGAACATATTTGATTTTCCACAGTAGGCCTCAAAAGGCTCCAAATATCCACTTGCAGATTCTGCAAAAAGAGGGATTCAAAACTGCTCAATCAAAAGAGGTTCAACTCTGTGAGTTGAATGCATACATCACAAAGAAGTTTCTCTGAATGGTTCTGTGTAGTTCTATTTGAAGATAATTCCTTTCCACTGTAGGGCATAAAGGGCTCCAAATATCCACTTGCAGATTCTACAAAAACAGAGATTCAAAACTGCTCATTGAGAAGATAAGCTCAACTCAGTGAGTTGAATGTACACATCACGAAGAAGTTTCCTAGAATGCTTCTGTGTAGTTTTTATTGAAGATATTTCCTTTTCCACCATAGGGCACAAAGGGCTCCAAATATCCACTTGCAGATTCTACAAAAACAGAGATTCAAAACTGCTCATGGAAAAGATAAGTTGAACTCAGTGAGTTGAATGTACACATCACGAAGAAGTTTCTTAGAATGCTTCTGTGTAGTTTTTATTGAGGATATCTCCTTTTCCACCATAGGGCACAAAGGGCTCCAAATATCCATTTGCAGATTCTAGAAAAATAGAGACTCTAAACTGCTCAATCAAAAGATATATTCAACTCTGTGAGTTGAATCCCCACATCACAAAGAAGTTTCTCAGAATGCTTCCGAGTAGTTTTTAAGTGAAGATGTTTCCTTTTCCACAATAGTCCACAAAATTCTCCAAATATCCACTCGCAGATTCTACAAAAACGGTGTTTCAAAACTGCACAATGAAAAGAAAGGTTCAACTCAGTGAGATGAATGCACACATCACAAAGAAGTTTCTCAGAATCCTTCTGTGTTGTTTTTATGTGAAGATATTTCCTTTCCACTATAGGCCTCAATGGGCTCCAAATATCCACTTCCATATTCTAGAAAAATAGTGTTTCAAAACTGCTCAATCATGAGATAGATTCAACCCTGTGAGATGAATGCACATGTCACTAAGTAGTTTCTCAGAATGCTTCTGTGTAATCTTTATGTGAAGATATTTGCTTTTCCACAGTAGGCCTCAAAGGGCTCCAAATATGCACCTGCAGATTTTGCAAAAAGAGAGATTCAAAATTGCTCAATCAAAAGATATGTTCAGTTCTTTGAGTTGAATGCATAAATCACAAAGAAGTTTGTCTGAATGTTTCTTTGTAGTTTTTATTTCAAGATATTTCCTTTTGCACCACAGGGCTGAAAGGGCTCCAAATATCCACTTGCAGATTCTACAAAAAGAGAGATTCAAAACTGCTCAATCAAAAGTTAGATTCAACTCTGTGACTTGAATGCACACATCACAAAGAAGTTTCTCAGAATCTTTCTGTGTAGTTTTTATGTGAGCATATTTGATTTTTCACAGTAGGCCCCAAAGGGCTCCAAATATCCACCTGCAGATTCTGCAAAAAGCGGGATTCAAAACTGCTCCATCAAAAGATAGGATCAGCTCTGTGAGTTGAATGCATACATCACAAAGAAGTTTCTCTGAATGGTTCTGTGTAGTTTTATTTGTAGATATTTCCTTTTCCACAATAGGGTGAAAGGGCTCCAAGCATCCACTTCCAGATTCAACAAAACAGAGATTGAAAACTGCTCAATGAGAAGATAAGTTCAACTCAGTCAGTTGAATGCACACATCATGAAGAAGTTTCTTAGAATGCTTCTGTGTAGTTTTTATTGAAGATAATTCCTTTTCAACCATAGGGTGCAAAGGGCTCCAAATATCCACTTGCAGATTCTAGAAAAAGAGAGACTCTAAACTGCTCAATCAAAAGATAGGTTCAACTCTGTGAGTTGAATCCCCACATCACAAAGAAGTTTCTCAGAGTACTTCTGAGAAGTTTTTATGTGAAGATATTTCCTTTACCACAGTAGGCCTCAAAATTCTCCAAATATCCACTTGCAGATTCTACAAAAAGAGTTTCAAAACTGCTCAATCAAAAGAAAGGTTCAACTCTGTGAGATGAATGCACACATCACAAAGAAGTTTCTCAGAATGCTTCTGTGTAGTTTTTATGTGAAGCTATTTCCTTTTCCACAATAGGCCTCAAAGCTCTCCCAACATCCACTTGCAGATTCTGCAAAAAGAGAGATTCAAAACTGCTCAATTGAAAGACAGGTTCAACTCTGTGAGTTGAATGCACACATCACAAAGAAGTTTCTCAGAATGCTTCTCTGTAGTTTTTGTGTGAACATATTTGATTTTCCACAGTAGGCCTCACAGCGCTCCAAATATCCACTTGCAGATTCTACAAAAAGAGAGATTCAAAACTGTTCAATCAAAAGATAGGTTCAACTCTGTGAGTTGAATGCATACATCATGAAGAAGTTTCTGAGAATGCTTCTGCATAGTTTTCATTTGAAGATATTTCCTTTCCCACCATAGGCCACAGAGGGCTCCAAATATCCACTTGCAGATACAACAAAAAGAGTGTTTCAAATCTGCTCAATCAAAAGAAAGTTTCAACTCTGGGAGATGAATGCATCCATCACAAAGGAGTTTCTCAGAATGCTTCTGTGTAGTTCTTATCTGAAAATATTTGGTTTTACAGTGTAGGCCTCAAAGCGCTACAAATATCCACTTGCAGATTCTACAAAAAGAGTGTTTCAAAACTGCTCAATCATAAGCTAGGTTCAACCCTGTGAGATGAATGCACACATCACGAAGAAGTTTCTCAGAATACTTCTGTGTAGTTTTTATGTGAAGATATTTGCTTTTCCACAGTAGGCCTCAAAGGGTTCCAAATATCCACCTGAAGATTCTGCCAAAAGAGAGATTCAAAACTGCTGATTCAAAAAATAGGTTCAACTCTGTGAGTTGAATGCATACATCACAAAGCAGTTTCTCTGAATGCTTCTGTGTAGTTTTTATTTGAAGATATTTCCTTTTCCACCATAGGGTGCAAAGGGCTCCAAATATCCACTTGGAGATTCTACCAAAAGAGAGATTGAAAACTCCTCAATGAGAAGATAAGTTCAACTTTGTGAGGTGAATGCACACCTCCCAAAGAAGTTTCTCACAATGCTTCTGTGTAGTTTTTATGTGAAGATATTTGCTTTTCCACTGTAGGCCTCAAAGGGCTCGAAATATCCACCTTCAGATTGTACAAAAAGAGAGATTCAAAACAGCTCAATCAAAAGATAGGTTCAACTCTGTGAGTTGAATACACACATCACAAAGAAGTTTCTCTGAATGCTTCTGTGTAGTTTTTATTTCAAGATATTTCCTTTTCCACCATAGGATGCAAAGGTCTTCAAATATCCACATGCAGATTCTACAAAAAGAGAGATAGAAAACTCCTCAATGAGAAGATAATTTCAACTCCGTGAGTTGAATGCACACCTCACAAAGCAGTTTCTCAGAATGCTTCTGTGTAGTTTTTATGTGAAGATATTTCCTTTTCCACAATAGGCTTCAAAGCTTTCCAAACAACCACTTGCGGATTCTGCAAAAAGAGAGATTCAAAACTGCTCAATCAAGACGTAGTTTCCACTCTGTGAGTTGAATCCAAACATCACAATGGTGTTTCTCAGAATACTTCTGAGTAGTTTTTATGTGAAGATATTTCCTTTTCCACAATAGGCCTCAAACGGCTCCAAATATCCACTTGCAGATTCTACGAAGAGAGTGTTTCAAAACTGCTCAATCAAAAGAAAGGTTCAACTCTGTGAGATGAATGCACACATCACAAAGAAGTTTCTCAGATTGCTTCCTTCTAGATTTTATGTGAAGATATTTCCTTTTCTATCATAGGCCGCAAAGTGCTCCAAATGTCCACTTGCCAATTCTACAAAAAGGGTGTTTCCAAACTACGCATTCAAAAGAAAGGTACAACTCTGTTAGATGAACGTACATATCATAAAGAAGATTCTCAGAATTCTTCTACCTGTTTTTTTTGTGAAGATATTTCCTTTTCCAACTTAAGCCTCAAGGTGCTTGAAAAGTCCCTTTGAAGATTCTCCGAAAAGAGTATTTGAAAACTGGTTCTTCTAAAGAAAGGTGGAACTCTGGGAGATGAATGCAGACATCACAGAGAAGTTTATCAGAATGCTTCTACCTACTTTTTATGTGAAGATATTTCCTTCTCCACCACAGGCCTCAAACACTCCAAATGTCCACTTGCAGATTCTACAAAAAGAGAGTTTCCAATCTGCTCAATCAAAAGAAAAGTTTAACTCTGTGAGATTAATGCACACATCACAAAGAATTTTCTCAGATTTCTTCTGTCTGGATTTTATGTGAAGATATTTCCTTTTCTACCATTGGCTGCAAAGAGTTCCAAATGTCCACTTGCAGATGCTACAAAAAGTGTGTTTCCAAATTGCTCAATCAAAAGAAAGGTTCTACTCCGTGAGATGAACGCACTCATCACAAAGAAGTTTCTCAGAATTCTTCTGTCTAATTTTTATGTGAAGATATTTCCTGTTCCACCATAGGCCTCAAGACACTCTAAATGTCTGCTTGCAGATTCTACAAAAAGAGAGTTTCAAAACTGCTCAATCAAAAGAAAGGGTTATCTCTGTGAGATGAATGCATATATCACAAACAAGTTTCTCAGATTTTTCTGTCTAGATTTTATGTGAAGATATTTAATTTTCTACCATAGACCACAAAGCACTCCAAATGTCCACTTGCAGATTCTACAAGAAAGAGTGGTACCAAACTGCTCAATCAAAAGAACGGTTCCACTCTGTGAGAAGAATGCACACATCACAAAGAAGTTTGTCAGAATTCTTCTGTCTGGTTTTTATGTGAAGATATTTCCTTTTCCACCATAGGCCTCAAAGCGTTCCAAATGTCCACTTGCAGATTCTACAAAAAGAGAGTTTGAAAACTGCTCAAACAGAAGAAAGTTTTAACCCTGTGAGATGAAAGGCCACATCACAAAGAAGTATCTCAGATTGCTTCTGTCTAGATTTTATGTGAAGACATTTCCTATTCTAACATAGGCTGCAAAGCGCTCTAAATATCCACTTGCAGATCCTTCAAAAACAGTATTTCCATACTGCTCAATGAAAAGAATGATTCAACACTGTAAGATGAACGCAAGCATCACAAAGAAGTTTCTCAGAATTCTTCGGTCTGGTTTTTATGTGAAGATAATTTCCTTTTCTAACATCGGCTTCAAAGCCCTCCAAATGTGCACTTGCAGATTCTGCAAAAAGAGACTTTCAAAACCGCTCAGTCAAAAAATGTTTAATTCTGTGAGATAAATGCACACGTCACAAAGAAGTTTCTCAAATTGCTTCTTTCTAGATTTTATCTGAAGATATTTCCTTTTCCAGCATAGGCCTCAAAGTGCTCCAACTGTCCACTTGCAGATTCTACAAAAAGAGAGTTTCAAAACTGCTCAACCAAAAGAAAGGTTTACCTCTTTGAGATGAGTACACACATAACAAAGAAGTTTCTCAGATTGCGTCTGTCTAGATTTTATGTGAAGATATTTCCTTTTCTACTGTAGGCCACAAAGCTCTCAACATGTCCACTTGCAGATTCTACGAAAAAAATTTTTCCAAACTGCTCAATCAAAAGAAAGGTTCAACTCTGTGAGATGAATGCACACATTTCAAAGAAGTTTCTCAGAATTCTTCTGCATAGCTTTTCTGTGAAGATATTTCATTTTCCACCCTAGGCCTCAAAGCACTCGAAATGTCCACAGGCAGATTCCACAAAAAGAGTATTTCAAAACTGGTCCATCAAAGGAAAGATTCAGCTCTGTTGAATGAATGCACACATTACAAAGAATTTTCTCAGAATGTTTCTGTCTAGATTTTATGTGAATATAGTCCTTTTTCTACCATAGGCTGCAAAGCGTTCCAAATGTCCACTTACAGGTACTACAAAAAGAGTTTTTACAAACTGCTCAATCAAAGGAAAGGTTCAACTCTGTAAGATGAACCCACATATCACAAAGAAGTTTCTCAAAATTCTTCTGTCCAGTTGTTACGTGAAGATGTTTTCTTTTCCAACATAGGCTTCAAGGCACTCGAAATCTCTACTTGCAGATTCTACAAAAAGAGTATTTCAAAACTGGTCCTTCAAAAGAAAGGTTCAATTCTGGGAGATAAATGCATACATCACAAAAAAGTTTCTCAGAATTCTGTCTAGTTTTTATGTGAAGATATTTCCTTTGCCACCATAGGCCTCAAGGCACTCGAAATGTCCACTTGCAGATTCTACAAAAAGAGTATTTCAAAACTGGTCTTTCAAAAGAAAGGTTCACCTCTGGGAGATGAAGGCACACATCACAAAGAAGTTTACCAAATGCTTCCATCTAGTTTTTACGTGAAGATATTTCCTTTTCCACCATAGGCCTCAAAGCCCTCCAAATATCCACTTCCAGATTCTACAAAAAGGGTGTTTCAAAACTGCTCCAATCAAAAGGAAGTTTTAACGCTGTGAGATGAATGCACACATCACAAATAAGTTTCTCAGATTGCTTCTGTCTAGATTTTATGTGAAGATATTTCCTTTTCTACCATATGCCGCAAAGTTCTCCAAATGTCCACTTGCAGATTCTACAAAAAGAGTGTTTCCAAACTGCTCAATCAAAATAAAGCTTCAACTCTGTGAGATGAATGCACACGTCCCAAAGAAGTTTCTCAGAACTCTTCTGCTTACTTTTTATGTGAAAATATTTTCTTTTCCACCATAGGCCTCAAAGCGCTCCAAATATTCACTTGCAGATTCTACAAAAAGAGTGTTTCAAAACTGCTCCAATCAAAAGGAAGTTTTAATGCTGTGAGATGAGTGCACACATCACAAAGAAGTTTCTCAGATAGCTTCTGTCTAGATTTTATGTGAAGATATTACCTTTTCTACCATAGACTGTAAAGCAATAAAAATTTCCACCTTCAGAGTCTAAAAAAAGAATGTTTCCAAACTGCTCAATAAAAAGAAGAGTTCAACTCTGTGAGATGAAAGCGCACATCACAAAGAAGTTTCTCAGAATTCTTCTGTCTAGTTTTTTTATGAAGATATTTCCTTTTCCACCACAGGCCTCAAAGCTCTCCAAATGTCCACTTGCAGATTCTACGAAAAGAGAGTTTGAAAACTGCTCAATCAAAAGAAAGTTTTAACTTTGTGAGATGAATGCACACATCACAAAGAATTTTCACAGACTGCTTCTGTCTAGATTTTAAGTGAAGATATTTGCTATTCTAACATAGGCTGCAAAGTGCTCTAAATGTCAACTTGCAGATTCCTCAAAAACAGTATTTCCGAACTACTCAATCTAAAGAAAGCTTGAACTCTGTGAGATTAACGCACGCATCACAAAGAAGTTTCTCAGAATTCTTCTGTCTGGTTTTTATGTGAAGATATTTCCTTTTACACCATATACCTCAAAACGCTCCAAATGTCCACTTGCAGATTATTCAAAAAGAGTTTCAAAACTGCTCAATCAAAAGGAAGGATTATCTCTGTAAGATGAATGCACACACCACAAGTTTCTCAGATTCCTTCCATCTAGATTTTATTTTTAATATTTCCTTTTCTACCAGAGGCCACAAAGCTCTCGAAATGTTCACTTGCGGATTCTACAAAGAGAGTGTTTCCAAACTGCTCAATCAAAACAAAGGTTTAACTCTGTGAGATGAATGCACACTAACAAAGAAGTGTCTCAGATTGCTTCTGTCTAGATTTTATGTGAAGATATTTCCTTTTCTACCACAGGCCGCAGAGCACTCCAGATGTCCACTTGCAGATTCTACAAGAAGAGTGTTTCCAAACTGCTCAATCAAAAGAAAGTTTCAACTCTGTGAGATGATTGCACCCATCACAAAGAAGTTTCTCAGAATTCTTCTCTCTAGTTTTTATGTGTAGATATTTCCTTTTCCACTATAGGCCACAAAGCGCTCCAAATGTCCACTTGCAGATTCTACAAAAAGACAGTTTCAAGACTGCTCAATCAAAAAGAAGGTTGCCCTCTGTGAAACGAATTCATACATCACAAAAATGTTTCGCAGATTGCTTCTGTCTAGATTTTATGTGAAGATATTTCTTTTTCTACTGTAGGCTGCAAAGCGCTCTTAATGTCCACTTGCAGATTCTAAAAAAGAGTGTTTCCAACCTGCTCTATGAAAAGAAAGGCTCAACTCTGTGAGATGAATGCATGCATCACAAAGAAGTTTCTCAGAATTCTTCTGTCTAGTTTTTTTTTTGTGAAGATATTTCCTTTGCCACCACAGGCCTCAAATCGCTCCAAATGTCCACTTGCAGATTCTACGAAAAGAGAGTTTCAAAACTGCTCAATCAAAAGAAAGGTTTAACTCTGTGAGATGAAAGGACACATCACAAAGAAGTTTCTCAGAATTCTTCTGTCTAGTTTTTATATGAAAATATTTCCTTTTCCACCACAGGACTCAAAGCGCTCCAAATGTCCAGTTGCAGATTCTACAAAAAGAGAGTTTCAAACTGCTCAATCAAAAGAAAATTTTAACTGTGTGGGATGAATGCACACATCACAAGGAAGTTTATCAGATTGCTTCTGTCTAGTTTTTATGTGAAGATATTTCCCTTTCTACCATAGGCCGCAAAGCGTTGCAAATGTCCACTAGCAGATTCTACAAAAACAGTGTTTCCAAACTGCTCAATGAAAAGAAAGGTTCAACTCTGTGAGATGAATGCACACATCACAAAGAACATGGTCAGAATTTTTCTATCTAGTTTTTATGTGAAGATATTTCCCTTTCCACCATAGGCCCCAAAGTGCTCCAAAAATCCACTTGCAGATTCTACAAAAAGAGAGTTTCAAAACTGCTCTATCAAAAGAAAGTTTTAACTTTGTGAGATGAATGCACACATCACAAAGACGTTTTTCCGATTGCTACTGTCTAGATTTTATGTGAAGATATTTCCTTTTCTAACATAGGCTGTAAAGCGATCCAAATGTCCACTTGCAAATTCTACAAAATGACTGTTTCCAAACTGCTCAATCAAAAGAAAGCTTCAACTCTGTGAGATGAACACACACATCACAAGGAAGTTTCTCAGAATTCTTCTGTGTAGTTTTTAATGTGAAGTAATTTCCTTTTCCACCGTAGGCCTCAAAGTGCTCCAAACGTCCACTTGCAGATTCTACAAAAAGAGAGTTTCAGGAATGCTCAATTAAAAGAAAGTTTTAGCTCTGTGAGATGACCGCACACGTCACAAAGAAGTTTCTCAGATTTCTTCTGTCTAGATTTTATGTGATGATATTTCCTTTTCTACCACAGGCCGCAAAGCGCTCCAAGTATCCACTTGCAGATTCTACAAAAAGATAGTTTCCAAACTGCTCAATCAAAAGAAAGCTTCAACTCTGTGAGATGAATGCACACATCACAAAGAAATTTCTCAGAATCCTTCTGTCTAGTTTTTATATGAAGATTTTCCTTTTCCACCACAGTTCTCAAAACACTCCAAATATCCACTTGCAGATTCTTCAAAAAGAGTGTTTCCAAACTGCTCAATCAAAAGAATCTTTAACTCTGTGAGATGAGCACACTCATCACAAAGAAGTTTCTCAGAATTCTTCTGTCTAGTTTTTATTTGAAGATACTTCCTTTTCCAACATAGGCCTCAGATGGCTCCAAATGTCCACTTTCAGATTCTACAAAAAGAGAGTTTCAAAACTGCTCAAACAAAAGAAAGGTTGAAATCTGTGAGATGAATTCACACATCCCAAAGAAGTTTCCCAGATTGCTTC